>NC_000018.10:50627909-50928576 GCF_000001405.40 Homo sapiens | reverse complement strand
TCTACACTATCCATCACTCAATTAAGAAAAACAAAAACAGTCCGGGCGCAGTGGCTCATGCCTGTAATCCCAGCACTTTGGGAGGCCGAGGCGGGCGGATCACAAGGTCAGGAAATCGAGACCATCCTGGCTAACATGGTAAAACCCCATATCTACTAAAAATACAAAAAAATTAGCCGGGCATGGTGGCGGGCACCCAGCTACTCGGGAGGCTGAGGCAGGAGAATGATGTGAACCTGGGAGGCAGAGTTTGCAGTGAGGTGAGATGACGCCACTGCACTCTAGCCTGGGCAACACAGTGACGCTTCATCTCAAAAAAAAAAAGAAAAAAAAAAGGACAAATTAGCCTTACAAACAAACCTGATAACCAAGACAGAACAAAAGATAGATAATAAAAATGAGTGAGATATTTGTTACCATCAGAAAATTTTAATTGCAATTCACATATTCAAGAAATTAGGTGGGGCACAGTGGCTCATGTCTGTAATCCCAGCACTTTGGGAGGCTGAGGCAGGGGATCACTTGAGGTCAGCAATTTGAGACCAGCCTGGCCAACAAAGCAAGACCTTGTCTCTACAAAAATAAAAATTAAAAAATTAGCTGGGTGTGGTGGTATTTGCCTGTAGTCCCAGCTACTGAGGAAGCTGAGGCAAGAGGATTACTTGAGCCAGGAATTGGAGTCTGCAGTGAGCTATGACTGTGCCACTACACTCCAGCCTGGGCAACCAAGAGAGACCCTGTCTCAAAAAAAAAAAAAAAAAAAAAATTAAATGACAAGATATAATTATTGTTCAAATTATGAGGTATAACAGTACTGTGGTGTGTATATATATATATATATATATATATATATATGGTTTTTTGGGGTTTTTTTTGAGATGGAGTCTTGCTCTGTCACCCAGGCTGGAGTGCAGTGGTGCGATCTCGGCTCAATGCAAGCTCCGCCTCGTGGGTTCACACCATTCTCCTGCCTCAGCCTCCCCAGCAGCTGGGACTAAAGGCACCCGCCACCACATCTGGCTAATTTTTTTTGTATTTTTAGTAGAGACGGGGTTTCACTATGTTAGCCAGGATGGTCTCGATCTCCTGACCTCGTGATCTGCCCACCTCAGCCTCCCAAAGTGCTGGGATTACAGGCGTGAGCCACCGTGCCCGGCCCTGTGGTTATATTTTTAAAAGAATCCTTAGCTTTTGAGAGATACACTGTAATACTTTTCTACTATAAAAAACGTTGTTTTAAAGGAGTGAAGATTAAAAAAATGTATCAGATTTATTACTTACTCTCAAGGATGTAGTCTAGCAATTATAGCTGCTAGACATCATTGTAAACAAGCCTTTAAAAATCACTTCCTAGAGCCACTTAGATCACTTACCACAACAATATAGAAAGTAATTGTGGAGATTACAACTACATCCTTACAGAATGGTAGGAAAAAAACCCAAATGTCAAGTGATTTATAGGCAGATATTTGTAATTGGGCTATAATCCCGTGGTAGTGTCAAAGATCTAAAAGTAGTGAATCTTAAACAGTTCGGATGTAAATAAAAATTTGTTCTCCACAGCGCCAGATGACTCAAAAAAAACAGCCTTAGAAAAGACAAACACTGATGGTGAAGATGCATTTGAAGAGAGTAAAAAGTTTCATGAAATGTGAGTACAAGAAAGCAGTATTTAGAGATTGATTATTTCTACAGTACATGATTTTAAGTCTGTTACTAAATTAATAAATTACTATACAGATAAAACACAAATTCTACAAATGAAAAAATACAGCAACTAAAATTAAGAACCTAACAACAGATGAGCACAGCTGAACAGAGAATCTGCAAACTGGAAAATAGGGCCAAAGGAAATCACCAGATTGAAACACAGAAAGCAAGAGAGATAGTAAATATAGAAAACAGTGTAAAAGATAAATGAGATATATCTCTAACCATATAATTAGAGTCCCATAAGATGAGAGAGACAATGTGGCCAAAGTAGAGATACTGGCTGATATTTTTTCAAAACAGAAAAAACAAAAACCAAAAACAGACATCAAGCCATAGATTCAGGAGCAGTATAATCCCCATGTGGAATAAATACAAAGAAAACCACGCATATGTCCGCCATAGTCAAACTGTTAAAAACCTAAGACAATGCTATATCATCAAAAAGAAAACAAAAGTCAGAAAACAGTAAAATGATATCTTCAAAATGCTCAAGTATTTACCAACTTTTACGTCTATGCAGAGTGAAAATATCCTTCAAAATGAAGGCAAAATAAATTACCAAGAGAATTCATTAGACCTACACTTAAATAAAGGAATTCTTCTGGTAGAAGGAAAATGATCCTAGGTAGAAGCACTTGCAGGAAGAATAGTGATAAATAAATTAAAGTGTAGGTAAATCTGAATAATTTTTGTAAAATATAACAATAATGTATTTTGAGTTTAAAATACATAGAAAATTAAAATTCACAACAATAGTGCAAACAGTGTGAGGGCATTACAGTGGAGTTATAAAGTACCTGTTTCCCATAATTGGTATAAGCAATAATTAATATCAGACTTTGATCACCCATAGATGCATGCTGTAATCTCTAGGGAAACCATTAGAACAATGGTGTAAGAATGTATAACTAATAAGCTAGTGGAGGGAAAATAATATACATATCAATTCATGTGATTATTAATACCTCTGTAAGTGTATATGCTTCTTCAGCCGTGCACTCTGCCTGTGCTGTAGGATTACTTAATGCAAATATTACAGGCCTTTCATTGATAGAGGCCATGGCTCTGATTACATCAGGAGTGAAAAGACGGCCAGCACCTGCAACTCCTGTAATAAGTAAGGGGGAAAAACAGCAACTTCATTATAGGTATAAAAGCAATGCTTATCAATAGCATTTCTACAATAGGCCTACAATAATAAAAACACAGGTAATATCTCATTACAAAGATAGCACTATCTCAGCAATGCAAAATCTATGAGAACACAATCTCAAATCTGAAAAGAAAAAACAGTAAGATGCTGAAAGTTCTCACTTAAATATTTATTGTCTACTATACACATAGTAAATTATGGGAAATTTTATTCTTTTAACTTTTTGTTTTTTGAGACAGAGTCTCGCTCTGTCGCCCAGACTGGAGTGTAGTGGCACAATCTCAGCTCACTGCAACCTCTCCCTCCTGGGTTCAAGTGATTCTCGTGCCTCACCTTCCCAGGTAGCTGGGATTAAAGGTGTGTGCCACCACGCCCGGCTAATTTTTGTATTTTTAGTAGAGATGGGGTTTTGCCATGTTGGCCAGGCTAGTCTCAAACTCCTGACCTCAGGTGATCCGCCTGCCTCGGCCTCCCAGAGTGCTGGAATTACAGGTGTGAGCCACCATGCCCAACCAATTTTTAAAAAGAGTATATGACTATCTTCATCACTCTAATTGGGAAGATAAAACTTGCTACCACATGGATGAAACTTGACATTATGCTAAATAAAATTAGCCAGTCACAAAGAGAAAAATACCATGTCATTCCATTTATATGAGGTAGTTAAATTCATAGAGACAAAAAGTAGAATGGTGGTTGTTAGGGGGTGGGGAGTGGGGAAAATGGGGGGTTGTTTATTTTTATTTATTTATTTTTTGAGATGGAGTCTCACCCGCCGAGGCAGGTGGATCACCTGAGGTCAGGAGTTCAAGACCAGCCTGGTCAACATGGTGAAACCCCATCTCTACTAAAATTACAAAAATTAGCTGGGCGTGGTGGCGGGTACCTGTAATCCCAGCTACTTGGGAGGCTGGGGCAAGAGAATTGCTTGAACCCGGGAGGTGGAAGTTGCAGTGAGCCAACTCCAGCTTGAGTGACAGAGTGAGACTCTGTCTCAAAAAAAAAAACAAAAAACAAGAAAACAAAAAAACTTACAGCTATACAGCAAATTAAATAGCTCCTCTTTTAAACACTTTTACATTTTCTGCTGAGAATGTAATGCCATGATGACATAGTCTGATGGCATCTATGCAATGCCTGATTCAAAACACACTCAAAGTTTTCAGCTTTGTTGCCCACGAAAACTTTGAGTCTGCATAGAATTTTCCTGGTAAAATCTGCAAATGGCTTTGGTTTTTTTCATGTTTTGAGTCCAACAGTCATACCAACTCTAAAAGCAAATCATGATCGACTACACAGTGTCTAGGACCTAAAAGTATAAAGCAACATCTGGTAACTGAATTTCATGCATGGTAACCAAAAAGTTATCACAGAAAACATTGTACATGCTGAAAGCTAGGTAAAACTGCCAATTCATTTTTAGTAATCCTACATGGTAATGATGACTGGCAACATACAGTTAGGGAGTAAAATTATTTATCAGAAAAACTTTACCTACCAATTATAGTTGAAGGCTTCAGTATATTCACTGCATCTTCAAAAGTATCAGGTATGCTCTCTGGGGCTGAGTGAGTAAATGGTTCCTGATAACTATCTATTTTTGCTTTCCGTCCCTAAATTTTGAGATAAAATACAGTATTTTTTTAGTCAATGCATATTAAAGATGAAATAAAAAGACATCATTATGAGTTACACATTGTTTCTACAATAGAAATGTCTTTTCATTTTCATTTACTTTCCTCTTCAACCCATACCTTCCAACTCTATCTTCATCATGTCCATAAACTCAAATATAAAACAAAAATCAAATCTACCATTATTCCTAGAAACTTTCTAGTTCCTCTCAAAAATGCATTTACACTATGAGGTCTTCCTAAGTCCAATGTGGCACAAAAGCCTACAGTCCTTTATCTGGGGTAGATGAGTTTTGGAATTAAGAAATTTTCATATTTAATTTAATTTGATTTATTTATTTTGAAATGGGGTATCACTCTGTCGCCCAGACTTGAGTGCAGTGGCAGCCTCTACCTCCCCGGGCTCAGGTGATCCTCCCACCTCAGCCTCCAGAGTAGCTGGAACTATGGGCACACACCACCATGCCCGGATGATTTTTTTGTAGAGATGGGGTTTTGCCATCTTGCCCAGGCTGGTCTCAAACTCCTGGGCTCAAGTGATCCGTCCACCTCAGCTTCCCAAAGTGGGAAGCTGAGCCACCACATGCATGAGCCACCACTCCTGGCTGAGAATTTTTCATATTTTAGAAATACAATATGGCGTATATCAAATATTACATATTCTCCCTCCCAACAGATACTCCACAACTGAACAAACTTATGAATAGTCACATCAAGTACAAAAGGTTAAGATTACAAAGAGCTTCTTATTAGTTTGAGTCAGGTTTCGCTTCTAGGTAAATTCAAGGCAATCAGATTGGTCACAAAAATAAATTTTGGAAAAAATTTTGGAATTTCAAAGCCTTTAGGATTTCAGAATTGCAGACAGACACCATGGACTTGCACTACCAAGAGTTCAGAAACAAGAGGAACAGGGAATTCTGGTTAAAGATGGCTGAATGAAGAAACATGCTTTCCTTTCCAAATCCCAGGTCAAAAACCATAAAAGTTAAATTTGTAGTAATGCCACAAAGCCAGAAGAGATACCACTGACAGACTAGAACAATGAAGAATTTCTCAAAGATTTAAGGCAGACAAAAACATACTGAATGCAAAAACCAACTGAGAACTCATATTCTTATTTTGGTAAAAAAGAAGACTTCTGAAAAAGTGTATTTCCATCAGAACTCCAAGATAACTCCAGATAAGAAACTGCAGGGGTTAGTAAAGCAGGACACTATCATCAATCGGCTGAGAAAACCAGGCTGAGCAAACAGTGACATAAGAAGCCACTGTTTTCAAAGTTTCAAAATGAAGGGCAGTGTTTAGGATCACCAGGAGACACTGGAAGCCTAATGCCCATAGGCCAAGCTACCTGCACACTGGAAAAGAAATATATAATCTGATGATGAATATGGAGATGGACAGGGTTCTCACTTTGTGCTAAGTAAACACATTGTAGCTACCAATACTGTGTTAGACCTGACCTACCAATATGCTAAAGAATCACAACATATTTGATGAAAACCAACATTACAAAAAGAAGTACCAAACTAACTGTGTACTAGTCAAAACATACATCCCCCAATAGCCTTCTAAATATGTGATGTTTTATCCTTGTGCCTTACATACTAGTAAATATGGTAGTTACAGCCTCTTTGGGAGGCAGCACAGTTTAATTATTCAGAGCACAGGCTTCGCAGTCAGGATACTTGGTTTTGAATCCTACCTCCGTCACTTATAAGCTGATGACTTTGGAAAACTCCCTCGACCTTTTAAACTGTTTCTTCATTTGTAAAACTTCACAGGATTTTTTGAGATGATTAAAGGAGATAATACATGTAAAGTCTTATAACAATGTCTGGTATATAACTACTATTACATTTTAAATTACATGTAGTTTGAGCACTCAAGATTTTTCATTCACATACTTTAACTTTTCATTTTATTTTTTGTACTAATAGAATACTGGTTCTAATTAACAAGAAAAGATTTTAGAACTGGAACAAAGTACATTTAGATAGCTTGCTCCACAGACATAAATGCCAAGCGACAGCTATACCATTATATTTTAATGTGTACATACAAAAATATAACAGCATTGTGTACTGGATTGGTTTAACTATGGAACAGTTTACTTATATTCAATGTGTTACACAGAAGATATATGACATTCTTAAGCTAGTGAAAATGGTAATCAATGCTAACAAAGGTAGTCAGGCCCAAAGGTACTAAGTTAATCTGGGAGATAAGCTCTTTATTATCCATAAATTGGTTTCAGGAGCACATGCTTTTTTCCTGGGGATAGGGTCCACAGATTTTTATTAGATTTCTTCAGGGGATTATGATCTCCAAAGGGTTAAGAATTTCTGCTCACGGCCAGGCACGGTAGCCTCGGGAGGCTCAGGCAGGAGAATTGCTTGAACCCAGGAGGCAGAAGTTGCAGCGAGGTGACATCGCACCACTGCACTCCAGCCTGGGTGACAGAGAGAGACTTCATCTCAAAAAAAATAAATAATAATAAAATTAAAAGAATTTCTGCTCAAATATCAAAACTACTGCAATACTGCAATTTAATTAGGAAGTTCTCAGTTCCTACTAAAAACCTAGTTTTAGGAGTGTCAAACACGATCATACTTGTACAATGGCCATTTGATCTCTTAAGAGCAAGACAACAAAGCAAGAAAGAGTAAGTCTGATGCCAACATAGAGATTATTAATTCAATATGAAGCAGAAGTCTTTGTAAAAGACAACAAGACTAGGGACATCTGTTGAAAAGAGAGTGGAAGGTCCCAATTGGTATAATTTGGAGACTCCAATGAGAAACAAGATTTTAAGGAATAATATTTTAAAAATCCAACTAAAAATATAATACACTCTTTTGCTTCTCCAAATTTTAAATACCTTACCTTAACTAATAAACCATACTTGTCAAACATCCAGATTTTCTTTTGTGCCTCTTGTTCTGACAGGCCATTTTCTACCATAGACATAACTATAAGATTTGCAATTCCAAGAGCAGCCTGTTCAACAAAACATAAATTTTAATATATACTAGAGTACGATGCAATGCTTGAATTACTTTATATATGAAGATTATATGCCATAAGAAATATTTGGTTTATTTTTCCCTTACAAATCAAACAAAAATTCTTCGTGATATTCTCTCGAAACATATTTTAAATTACATGTTTTACAGCAGAACTCTTGATTTCATATCCTCTACCTCAACAAAATTACAGGCTCACTATGCTCTTTCATAAACATCAATATTCTGCCCATTTTCTAATTCTATAAGAGAGGATAGGCTTAAGTTTCAAAAAGCCTTCAAAACTTACCTCTCCTGCTCCAAGGAATAAGATTTTGTGTTCGGAGATTGGTTTACTAATAACTTTTTGTGCTGCAAGAAGACCTGCTAGAGCTACTGCAGCTGTCCCTGTAAGAAAAACAAAGATTTTTACAAATAAAAAATGGGCACATTAAAAATGTTTAAAAAGTAGGAATCAAAACCCTGAAGTTTTTTTGCTTTACCTTGAATATCATCATTGAAAGTACAATATTTTTCTCGGTACTTTCTCAAGAACCTGAATGCATTATGATTTCCAAAGTCTTCGAACTGAATGAGTGTGTTCCGGCCATATCTAAAAACAGCAAAACCCACAATAGTTGTGTTGAAAATAACACTATTAAACAGCTTTCCACCTAATATTCCCTATGATAGCATTCAAAAATAATGTATTATGTTAGTTCAATTAAGGCCATCTGAAAAATTTCAGAGCCTGTGAAAGACTAGATCCAAAATGTAGAAATTATTCAATAAAAAAAGTATGAGGTGTTTAAAAAGAATGTGGCACAATGATAAACCCATGGGCTATCAATCTATGTAAACTATTTTCAAGTGTCCAGGAGGACACTTCCTTTGACTCTGAACCTCAAAAAATATATATTTGATATGTATATTCTCATTACATTAATAGTTAAACAGCAACACAAGAAAGTATATATTAAATAAGAAATTGAAAAATAATTGCTATTTGAGTTCACTGACATTCAGAAAAAGAAGATGTTAATCGTCTAGGTGAGCTCAAGTAGTAAGGGAAGGCTTGAAAAGGAGGTGGGCCCTGAAAGAACAAAAAGTAAAGAGCTAGGAAGAAAAGCAGGCTGTTATTAGGGTGACCCTGAATTTTCAACAGTCTGGCTATATATTTCATGGTTTACATTAAGAGATAAGGGAGAAATTGGTTAATGCAGGTTGGAACCAAATAAGGGAGGATCTCGAATGCTAAATTAGAGAAGAGGGACTTTCTTCTGCATCCCATGTAGAAACAGTGAAGGCTGCAGAGAAAGGAAAATATTCACATATGACTCCCTTTAGGAAGGATAAACCTGCCAGTGATACGTAGCTCATATTGGTGTGGGGAGACGGGAGTGGCAGAAGCAACTAGGAGGCTACTATGATACGAAGACAAGAGATCTGAAGCAGAAGATGCAGGAAGCAAAAGGAGTAACTATGAACTATTAGGATGAATAGAAATTGATAAGGATCAACTGGGAAATGAGGAAGAAGCTGTTACAATGTGAAGGTAATGGGGTAACTAAGAAGGTACTATTTGGTTGTCCAAGATAGGAAAGTGAGAGGAAGAAGGAGAGATGGCAATTTCTGAGAAGATGTAAAGTTCAGCTTTAGACTTGTTGACTTTGACTCTGAAAAGGAATTAATGTTTAAATATCTTCTACGTGCCAGCAATTTTAAAGGTAGGCCAGGGTTAGATCATTAAGGTAAAAGAGTTTGACTTTATCCTATGGCAATAGGAAACCAATCAGAGATTTCAAGCAAAAGAATGACAAAATGAAGCACACGTTTCAAAACAATTAATCTGGTATTAAGGTGGAGACGAACTGGAGAGGAGAGAAACTGGAGGAAGAATTAGAAAACTCCAGAAGAGAGATAAGGAGAGAGCAAGATTGCGGCAATGGAAAACAGGAGACATTTAAGTGGTAGTACCCACTGAATTTGAGGAATATCTGAAATCTGACTGACGGAGAAGGCAGAAGAGTCAAAGATAACACTAAGATCAAAGTTTTGGCAACAGGATGAATGTTACTGCCAATAATAGAAGCTGGGAATACAGAAGATAGGTTGTTTGGAAAGGAAAGGAGTTCAGTGTGGGATATGAATATGCACTCATAACAGAATACCCAGATGGAAGATTCTGATTATTAGAAATGCAGGCCTCACAAGAGCAGTGGAACTACAGATGGGTTTTTATGGGTTTAGTAGTAACATGCATAAAGGTCATAGTTGACATGGCTGAAAGAGAAGAGGACTAGGTAGTTATCCACATTTAGTAAGAGACAGCAAGAACCTGTGAAGATGACAAAAAAAAAAAAAAAGAGAAAGGTGGGAGAAAGACCAAGTTAGGAGGAAGCTGTTTAGCAGTCAAGAGAAGAGAGAGTTTCAAGGACATAGAAGTGGGAAAACCTGAGTTGACGGTGCAAAGAGGTAGAGAAGTGGGAGGACCCAATGGTCAGAGAACTTAAAATACAAAAGCTGCACAAGAGCTTCAGTGGAATGGTGGGCGTGAGCCTGAAGGTCAAGGCTGAAAAAGGTACTGAGCAGTAAGCGTTTGATGGAAGCAGTGAGGGCAGACTTCCCTCAAAATGTCAGGTAACTCAAGAAAGCAAGGCAGACCATGGGTACCACCTCATATCGGCACATCTAATCAGGCAGAAACAGCCAGGCAGAACAAAGTTCTCAAAAATTTAATCGCCTCCTGCTTATCTACACAGGAAAGAAATAAAGGAAAACAAAACAAAACTTTGGTTCTTACCCCACCCACCCCATTAAAGGTGCTTTCATATACTCAAACTTTTAAAAAATACCTGTCAGTAATAGCTTTCATAAACTCATCAATCAGGTCATCATACTGTTGTGTGCGATCTCGTTTCTGGTACAAGCCCATGTAAAATGGGTCTTTTAAGAGTGCCTACAAAATAAACCAAATGTAAAAATAAAATAATTTATATAATCAGTTTAAACACATACAATAAAAATTGCAAAATAAAAAATTACTAATACAATTTTTTAAATGTATTGCCCTACAAGAAACTTTATTTTTTCTTTTTTGAGACAGTCTCACTCTTGTCACCCAGGCTGGAGTGCAATGGTGTGATCTCGGCTCACTGCAACCTCTGTCTTTTGCATTCAAGCAATTCTCTTGCCTCAGCCTTGTAGCTGGGATTACAAGCATGTGCCACCACGCCCAGCTAATTTTTTTTGTATTTTTAGTAGAGTCTGGGTTTCACCATGTTGGCCAGGCTGGTCTCGAACTCCTGACTTTTGGTGATCTGCCTGCCTCGGCCTTCCAATGTCCTGGGATTACAGGTATGAGCCACCATGCCCGGACCAAGAAACTTTTAATAGACTTAATTTACTATTATTTATATAAATATTAAAAGTGGAGTTTAAGAAAAAAAAATCTAATCATAAAACTTTCCCTTCTTAAATTATCATTTTCAAAAAAGGAATATTGTACACATTTTAAAAAATACAGGAGGAAGATAAAGGGGGAAAATGATGTTACTCACGATATTATCAGTTCCCACATCAATACACACTGGCAGGCATCTATCAGGCCGTATTCCTGCACAAGCTGTATACAAACAAAGTTTTCCTACTGGAATTCCCATTCCATAGACACCCAGATCTCCAAGACCCAGAATTCTCTCTCCATCAGTCACTACAACAGCCTTAATCACAAAAAAATGCAAATTAAAAGTTGTCAAAAATGGGGCACTAAAGAAAAGCATTTTTTAAAAGATTGATTCACTTCATATATATTTACTCTTTGCTCTTAAAAATAAAATTGTTTCTTGGCTAATTTCCAATGTAAACCAACAAAGCATACTTAAAATTCTAGGACTTCTGAGTATTATGAGACATTAACTAGATTTGATTTCCCTCTGACTTCGGTTTAGGAATAGAATTCTTCTGACTAGAGGACCAACTTAAATATCTTCAGAAAGATTAAATATGGCAGAGATGAACAAGATTCTGATGGAGAGATTACCATAAGAGAAAAATAAGAGTTTAGAAATAAACAGCATGGTACTCCAACACAATAACCTAGGCCAAACAAAAAAAACCTTAGCAACTGTGAAAAAGAAAAAGGTCTAGAACAAAAAAAATACCTACTTATAAGGAAGGTCTTAAGATGATACTGTGAGTTTAATTATTTGACCAAATTTTTGCTAGAGTATTCAAACCAACGATCATTCAATGTTTATTTTGGAAAGGAGTATAAAGGCAGGTAAGATTATTGCCTACAATAAAATTTACAAAAGCCTACCCAAAGATCTTGAAATAAGTTATTACATTTTATTTTATGAAAGATAACTAAATAGGCCAGGGCTTATATTTGCTATATTTAACATTTTTATATTTGCTAAGGTTCTAAATCTTAGATTTAAAAGAAAAAAAGGCATAACCAAACTTCTCTAACACCATTCATAAACAAAAGTTTTTATGGCATTTTAATGTATTTTCTTTACCTAGAATAATATTAGTGAAATAGAAAAGGAGATTGAGAAGGCAGGAGACACCAGTGGTGCTGATACCGAGAGGGCTCACCTTGTATTCTAGCTCTAATTTCTTTCTCAGAGTCAAACTTTATACCAGTAGCCCATTTTATAACTACTACTATTATCATCACTTCAGCTGCAAAGCACTAAATCTGCATGTATATAAGTGCAAAATAAATGAGAGCAACAATGAAAAACTGTTCTTGGAGATTTAGAGGTAATTTACAAGAAAAGAGAAAACATTGTGAAAAGGAGGGTTGTGCTATTAGTACCTTAACATGATTTTCTGGCCAGTTATCCACAATTGATCTAACATGACCTCTGTCTGAGATCGAAATAAATAATCCCCTGCAACAGAACAAAAACACCTTTGCATTTCACAACAGCTTTGTTTCTAAGTTTTTGTTCATAATTGAAATATTTTGATATTTTAATAAAATATCAAGACATGGTATAATTTCCAAGCAGATTTAGCTAAGTCACACTGGTTTATTTTCAAACATTTTCAAGTACTTCAAACTGTAATTACTGTTCATAGCAGATGCAACAAAGATTATTGTTAAATGATACAGTCATTTTACCCAAGAAGAAATGTAACCACATCTCATGTTCAAATAAACTCAATACACCACCAGGAAAAAAAAAAAAAATCTAAAGCAAGCCACCAATGCAGGAGAGCAGTACAAGGCCAACTAAACTATTGTTAAGACTTACTGAAACTGAAAATTTGAAATTTGAAGGAGCAGGAAGGGAGAGAAGAAAATTACAGTAAAATCACACAAAAGATGAGACACCTGAAGCATCAGGAAAAAGTGAAGTTACTTTTACTTATTTAATATTATTTTTTAATTGGCAAAAATTGGATATACAGTTGACCCTTGAACAATGTGGGTGTTAGAAAATCAAATCAAAAATTTACATATGATTTTCCAAAAACTTAACTACTAATGGCCTATTACTGACCAGAAGCCTTACCAGTAACACACAGATTGACTAACAATTTTTTTTCTTTTTTGACTTGGAGTTTTGCTCTTTCACCCATGCTGCAGTGAAGTGGTACGATCTCGGCTCGCTGCAACCTCTGCCCCTCCACCGAGGGTTCAAGCAATTCTCCTGCCTCAGCCTCCAGAGTAGATGGGATTTTACATGCCCGCCACCATGCCTGGCTAGTTTTTGTATTTTTAGTAGAGATAGGGTTTCGCCATGTTGGCCAGGCTGGTCTCGAACTCCTGACCTCAAGTGATCCACCCGCTTCAGCCTCCCAAAGTGTTAGGATTAAAGGTATGAGTCACTGTGCCTGGCTGACTAACACTATTTTGTATGCCATATGAATTCTATACTGTATTCTTACAATAAAGTAATCTAGAAAAAAGAAAATGTTATTAACAAAATCATAAAGAGGAGGAGGAGGAGGAGGAGGAGGAGGGGTTGGTCTTCCTGTCTCAGGGGTGGCAGAAGCACAGGAAAATCTGAGTATAAATGGACCTTCACACCTGTGTTGTTCAAGGGTCAACTGTATTTATCATGTACAACATGTTTTGAAATATGTATAAATTGTGGAATGGCTAACAAAAAGTCATTTTAGACACAGTATATTGTTACCTAATTCAGATAATCAATCCAGATTTCAAAAGAGAAAGCAAAGAAGGAAGGGAGAGAAGGAGGAAAAAAAGAAGAAACGCAGGTTCTAGAACACAGGTCAGGCAGACATGAGGGCCAGTGGATCCTCATTGCTGTCAAACTGATCTTAGGTTTAACTTTCTCATTGGTATCTTAAATTTGGCACTACTATTACAGTTCAAATCAGTTTAGTTCAGCAATTTCTCAATCTGGCTATATAATGGAATCATCTGATAAGCTTTAAAATGCCAGGGTCCCACCTCCAAAGATTCTGATTTAATTAGCTTAAAGTTTAGATCAATCAACCAACCAATCAAGATTTAATGACCATCTACAAAAACAAAATGAACAACAAAAAAAACCCATAGCACAATGCATTGCATAAACAATATACAGTATTTGCCCTCACACATAAGCCATGCTCTTCATGTTTCAAGTCAGTTCTCAACTCTGGGTATACATCAGAATTACACCAGGCTCTTTTGTGAAACTCCTAAGTCTAGACTAACTGAATCTGAATCTCTGGGGGTGGGGCTCAGGCATCAGTATTTCTAAGTTTCTCTCTATCTTTTAATCATTCTAATAAGAAACTATAAAATAGCTGAACAGCATGGTTATGTCACAGAAATGTTTTAGTTACAGTAATTGTTGGCAGCATCTAGGTTAGAACAGTCTGTTTCTCAGTGTCTTCCAGGGAACACCTGCAACACAATCACTGAGGGTGCTCACTAAAATCCGGACCTCCAGACCTTTTTTCTTTTTCATCAGAAATCTTGGGGATGGGGAGGAGAGGAAAGTTGGCAGAGATCAACATTTTGAGTAAGTCCCACAGGTATTTCTTACACACATTAAAGTTTGAAAGCCACTAGACAAGGCGACAGGAGACTGAATTTCTACACGTGGAAGAATGTGTTAATTGGGCATGGGGAAAATATTATAAGGATTGAGAAAAATAATAATGGATTAGAGGAATAAGAAAACTCAGATTAAGTGAAAACAGCATATGTGTGTGTGTGTGTGTGTGTGTGTGTGTGTATAATATTGCTGATAATTTTCCAAAGAACTGTCACATTGGTTTCTCCAATAGCTCTTTGATAGGTCCTGCTATTCCCATTTTACACATGAGGAAACACATTCATGGGGATCACGCGACTCATTCAAGAACTTGAGTCAGTCCTTGCCATTTCAGTACTCTTCCCACTTATAATGTTTGTAGGTGCTACAACTATTTGGAATGAAAATTCATTAAAAAAAGGAGAACAGGCCAGATGCAGTGGCTCACGCCTGTAAATCCCAGCACTTTGGGAGGCTGAGGCAGGCTGATCACTTGGAGTCAGGAGTTCAAGACCAGCCCAGCCAACATGGTGAAATCCCATCTCTACTAAAAATACAAAAATTAGCAGGCATGGTGGCGTGCACCTGTAATTCCAGCTACTAGGGAGGTTGAGGCACAAGAATTACTTGAACCTGGGAGGCAGAGGTTGCAGTGAGCCAAGATCATACTGCTGCACTCCACTCCAGCCTGGGTGACAAAGTGAGACTCTGTCTCAAAAACAAAAACAAATTAAAACTGATTAAAAAATGAGAAAAAAAAATCTCTTAATTTGACTTTATTGACAAAAATTTTAATGATAATTCTGGATAATCTCCCACCAGAATTAAGACTTTTTTTGGTGGGGGAGCAGGTTCCAGAAGTATGTATGTAATTCCTCTAACAATCACAATAATTTAAAGAAGATTAGAAATGAATTATGCTATTTTTACAAAGATAAAAGTTATGAATATGTTGGGATTTTGTTAATCTCTTTTAATCAAAATTACGTTTTTCTGAGGTGGGAAATGTGATTTGGCTAACAAACATAAAATAGAAATGTAATGGGTGTTATGGAATGATATTTTCCTTATTCAATAATCATTTACAAGCTTTTTTTTAAACAAGCCTTACTTAGGTCTTCTAAAGATGTGTCCATACTGGGAGCAGGCAAGACCAACCGTCGGTGTATATACAATTGGCATTAAACTCTCAATGTCATCTTGCAGTATTCTATAAAACAATTTCTCATTTCTTTCTTGTATTCCCATTATGTAGATATATCTGAAATGAAGCACAGTAAATAATGTCTAAGTCAGCCTGCATTACATTAAAAGTCTTGGCTTATGAAAGTTAAACCTAAATGTCTAAAATTGAAATTGAGCCCCATTCTCACATCACATTCTAAAAAAAACCCAAAACCTTAGATTATTACTATTTAACACCCAGGACTAAAAATTAACAAAAATATGAGGGTACTTAAATAGTAGATGATGATGACGATGAAATAACAATAGAAACAATGTTTACTGAACCCTAACTGTGGGTCAGGCTCTGTAGAAGGCACTGGAAATGCAAAGATCACCATGAGGTCCTTACGCTTAAAGAATCAGTCTTCAAGGAGACTGACATATAAACAAGGAAGCAAAATAAAGTGGCATTAATTCAAACATTTGCTTAACACTATATGCCTGGCACTATTCTCCAGGGATATAAGAAGTTACCTCTATTTTCAAGGAGTTTATAACCCAGGAGCGTTAGAAGTATTATAAGGTCTACACAGAGTGCAGAAGCAGCACAAAAAAGGCAATTGTCAATTGATGTCAATAAATATATAAATAACTTGTTTTTAAATTTAGAGAACAGGGAAATATCAGCTTGAAAGCTTGAAAGTCAGTAATCATCTTGAATTAAATATGTCTAAAGCAGACTTATCTTTCCCCTGACCTTGTTTCTTCTGCTATCACGTGACCAAATGCGAAACCCAGATTCCATTCTTGATTTATTCCTCTCCTACCCTCCCCAACACCAATCCTATAAATCACCAAGTCCTACAGAGTCTACCTGCTAAGTAGCTTTCAAATATATCCATTAGCTCCCTCCACCCTTGCACAGTACAAGCTACCATCATTTCTCAGCTGATTTACCTCAAAAGCCTTCTTACCAGTCTTTATAAATACAATTTCCTCCTACGCTCCAATTCATTCTTCTCTTAAAAACCTAACTGTGATCATTTCTGTTCTCCTTAAGTCGCTTCCAAATAAATCATCGTAAAATAAGGCTCAAGCTCCTAAAATAGTTAACAAAACCTCTGCCTACTTTTCAGCCTCATCTTCTTCATGTTGACTTACTTCAGCTCCTCAAATGCATCACAACTCAACCTGGACTTGCTGCGTTTGATGCACCATTTGCCTGCACTCTCTCCAGGTATAGTCCTATACATGTGCGCTCCAAATGCAGCTCAGGTGGCGTGCTCTCTGGGGGCCCTTTTCTGTCCACTCCCCTCCCCTATCATGTATACATACACGCTTTAGACTTTCCTGTTTTCAGGTCCCATGATAGCCTACTTCCCTCTGTTAACTCTCACTCCACTCCTTGACTTTCTGGCTTCCTCCAGTCTAGACAATACCATAAGTTAGAAATGATCACCTCATATACTTCTATAGTTCCAGGAACTATTAATAGCAATATGTGGCATATAACTGGTGTGCAAATATTTGGTGAATAAATGAGGAGACGTGATCCCTTCAATTTTATTTTCTACATAGCTAATAGTGGAAGAAATGGTATCAACAGATAGAAATTAAAGGGAAGAAGACTTCTCTGCAGTATAGGGAAGTAAACAAACTGGGCTGCTAAAATGGAATGGATGGCTTTGTGAGATGGAAGTAATGTTAAGGAAAGAACAGATGACCTATGAGGCATGTGATAGAGGGAAGCTCTACAAGTCATGGATCTCCTCAATGTTACCACTTTCAATCCTTATTTCACTTTAGTCAGTCTTCTGTGTGCCTCAGTGATGGGCAGCACTCACCTAGGATCATTATAGCTCAGCAATGGTGAATGCCCTTATCCACTCTTGGATCACAATCCTCTACCATTTTGGGTAGCCATATGATGCCCTCACTTCGTCATCCTTCAGAGGGATCTCTAGCTCTTTGACTGCTTCATTTTCTTCCAATTCTATGGGCTCCCTTCAGGATCCTCTTTATTTCCTGCTCTGAATCCCAGGATCAAATCTCTCACTCTGAGCAAATCTCTCCCTGTCATTACTGTTTAGGAATCCCCACATGATTTATCACTGTACTACCCTTCCACAGTGTCTGCCTTTCCACCAGAGATAGTGAACTCTCTGAAGAGAAGGGCTGAGTGTTTTCATTTGTGGAGTTTCAAAGCTTAGAACAATGCCAGGCACATTAGCAGTCCTGAATATTAACTGAATGAATTTATGTAACACCTGCCTTTGCCAGCCCAGCAAACTCCAAGCCTGAATCAGTGTTACATTTCATTTTTTCTATGGAAAAATAACATTGCTGTGCAGAATGGCACCAATACAAACAAGATCTTGCCACCAGGCCATCAGGGTCTGCTCTCACCCCTTTAACCTGCTCTTGTTTAGCCTTTTTCTTTTTTTTTTTTTTTTTCTGAGACAGGGTCTCACTCTGTCACCCAGGCTGGAGTGCAGTGGTGCAATCATGGCTCACTGCAGCCTTGACCTCCTGGGCTTAAGTTATCCTCCTGCGTCAGTCTTCTGAGCTGCTGCAACTAT
This sequence comes from Homo sapiens, assembly GCF_000001405.40. Taxonomy (NCBI): domain Eukaryota; kingdom Metazoa; phylum Chordata; class Mammalia; order Primates; family Hominidae; genus Homo; species Homo sapiens. The sequence goes on along the minus strand of NC_000018.10, from coordinate 50,910,315 downwards.
AGGTATGCGACACCATGCCTGGCTTTTTTTTTTTTTTTTTTTTTTTTGTAGAAACAGGGTCCCACTCTGTTGCCCAGGCTGGTCTGGAACTCCTGGGCTCAAGTGATCCTCCCACCTTGACCTCCCAAAATGCTGGGATTACAGGCATGAGCCACCAAGCCTAGCTTTTGTTCAGCTTTATCTTATAGCCACATGGCTCTTCCAAGCATTTCTCACTCTCCTCACCAACTCTACTCAACCCTGGCCCTTCTAAATCTGAGCGATGACTTTCATATTCTATGTCATAAAAGAAAGCAAGATCATCAGTTAAGATTGAGAGTTCACTACTTCTGCTCAAACATCTCCATACTTATCCTTACTATCTGTATTTATGTTTATTCCAGCTTCGGAGAATGAGCTGTTCTTTGTTCTTGCTCAAGACCAGCCACTCTATCTCCGCATTTGACCCTATGCCTTTTTCCTTTCCCTAGACCTTGCTCTAACAATTATCCTTTCTCCTGGGCTCATTCCTCCTAACTACGATGAAACATTAAATTTTCTTCCAGCTTGAAACATACTTAATCCCAAGTCTTACTTTACTTATTATTTAATATCTTCCTTCCCTCCTTACCTGAACTTCTTGTAAGGGTAGTTTACATTTCCTCCCCCTCCATTCATTTTTCAATCTATCACAGTATCTCTTTTGCTCTATCACATCAAAGAAACCACTCTTACCAGTCACCAATAATCTCCTATACTTAACAAACTCAATTGATATGCTTAGTTCTATATGCAGACCGATCCCTCTACCCAGAATACTTTGCCTGCTACCTGTAACATCCTGTTTACAATTCAGCTTAGGCATCACTCCCTTCAGGAAGCTTTTATCTGATTCCCCAAGTTGAGCTAGATGCCCTCTGCATGCTCTCAGAATATATCTGCTTGTACCTTTTTCTCATTGTACTGTACATTGTGGTCTAGAGACCAATAACAATCATAGCATAACTGTCTGTTGATGACTTTTAGAAGACAGGGCTATGAGTTACTGGGTTGGTCATATATATTAAGTTTGCTGCCTGGTGCAGTGGCTCAAGCCTGTAATCCCAGCACTTTGGGAGGCCAAGGCGGGCAGATTGCTTGAGTCCAGGAGTTCAAAACCAGCCTGGGCAATATGGGCAATATGGTTAAACCCTGTCTCTACTAAAAACTACAAAAATTAGCCGGGTGTGGTGGTGCACTCCTGTAATCCCAGCTACTTGAGAGGCTGAGGTAGGAGAACTGCTTGAGCCCGGGAGGCAGAGGTTGCAGTGAGCTGAAATTGTGCCACTGCACTCCAGCCTGGGCAACAGAGTGAGACCCTGTCTCAAAAAAAAAAAAAAAGAAAAGAAAAGAAAAAGTCCAGGCGCAGTGGCTCATGCCTATAATCCCAGCACTTTGGGAGGCTGAGGCGGGCGGATCACCTGAGGTCAGGAATTTGACACCAGCCTGGCCAACATGGTGAAACTCCATCTCTACTACAAATAAAAAAATTAGCCAGGCATGGTGGTGGGCGCCTGTAATCCCAACTACTCAGGAGGCTGAAGCAGGAGAACTGCTTGAACTTGGGAGGCGGAGACTGCAGTAAGCTGAGATCGCACCACTGCACTCCAGCCTGGGCAACAGAGCGAGACTCCATCTCAAAAAAAGAAACAAAAAAAGTTTGCCAGGGGTAGCTTTGGGTACACCTCTTTTTTATTCTCCAAAGTATCCTAGATTAGGTGATATAATATATGGTCATCCTATCTATTACCCACTTTATAGCCTCAGTGGCTGGTACAGTGTCAAACACAAAGCAGGTGATCAATAAAAGTTTTTGAATAAAATGAGTGCAAATTAGATGGTATCCTTTGCTTCTAATATTCCATTCAAACCTGAATTGCTCTGACTGTAAGCATAAAAACTAATTTGTTAAGTTTTACAATAGTGAATACTTGTGAAGTATTCACCGAAGTGAAAGAAACACAATCTTTATAAAAGTAGTTAACTGACAAAACACAAACTTATATAAGATTGTGTATTTCTCATGCCATAATAACCATAATGCTCATAAGTTTTCTAATCAGAATACCAATAAAAAAAGAAACATCTAAGCAACTCTTACTTTTCCAAAGGGCTAGTCATTTTCTTCAAGTTTCTATGAAATCGTAAGGCTTGAATATCTTGTGTCTCTATTTTGGGAGGTAGAAGTCCTTGAAGACCAAGCATTTGTCGTTCTTGTAAAGTAAATGCCATTCCCTAAAGAGGAGAAATAAAAGGATTAAAAATTATTACTTACTGGGGTAGCAATGACATTGTTCTTCAAAATATAATTTAAATGCAAATTTGAAAAATCAATGACATATTATTTTTGCCCAGGCTTTCAAAACTTTGTAAGACTGATGTCAGTATTGGTCAGGGTGTGGAAAATAGTTATTCTCACAAACCACTGCTGGGAATATAAACTAGTTTAGGCCTTTGGAAGACAGTTTTAAAGTATTCTTAAATTTTTTATATACATATTATTCATCAAGCAATCTGACTTCCAGGGAGCCATTCTAGAGAAACATTCTTAATGGCACACAAAGGCATATACAAAAAGTTTAGTTGTAGCATTGTTTCTAGTTCTCTTGGATATTACAAGCTAACAAAAAGCCCATTAACTACGAAAGAGTTAAGCATCCTATGGTATATTCATACCATGAAATACCATTAAAAGGGGATAGAAGAAATGATGCTTAAGAAAAAATTAATCTATGTCATAAGAAAATCTTTTTCAATTTCTGGCATTTGACTATGGGTTAAATTCTTCGTATCAAAGCAATGTCAATGAAAATGCTGGAGCAAGGCCTTTGGAAAATCTTTTCCTCCATAAAAGCAACAAGAACACTGGACAAATAACCAGAAGCAACTTCTTCAACATTCTGGAAATTTACCAAAGAAATGCAGCAATCAGGGAGCAGTTATTCAGGAAAAATGGCTGGATTTCAGTAAGCAACAAGCTTTGTGAGTTTTAAATCGAAAACTAACACCTCACAATTACTATGAAAATCAGCAGCCTGGAAGCCACCAGGGCAGGAAGAAGGGGCTGGAGATTCTTCTAAGCCCTATTCCAGGAAAATGTCATTATTTGACCTGTCTGGTGGTTCCCTGGAAGACCCCACTTGCAAGGCTATCTTCATTTGACCTAACTTGGCGCTCACCCCATCTGAAAAGCCATTTCCCCAGAAGTGCTTGTTGGAAACAATCAGAGGCAATAATTTAGCATAGCAGCTGCCCAAAGCAGTGGATAACAGTTGAGAAAAACAACAGGGTAACAAAAAGCTCACAAGGAAAAGCTAAAGAATGAGATGACCATGGGGTTGGAGCTTTCAAAAGCCATGAGGTATTACCGGGACTCTAGAAGGTCACATACATGAGCTGTGGACACATCCAGGAAAGACCTGAAAAGATCCTAGCTCACACCTCTGGCTAACCTTAAGGCTCTGTGCAAGAAGGAAGTGAAGGCTTCTGGGTAGTTGTAAACTGCCTGGTTCAGTGCTGGAGGTATGCCGCAACATGCACACAGAGCCACTTGGCAAAAAATGGGAAATTTACTAGTTCCAAGCATTTAAGTCTTTGTCTAATTATCAGCTGACCACAAAACTAACCAATCAGAGACTTCAGTGGGCATGTACAAGAATACAGACTTTATAAAGAATAGTTTGGAGGCCAGGCACGGTGGCTCATGCCTGTAATCCCAGCACTTTGGGAGGCCAAGGTGGGCGGATCACCTGAGGTCAGGAATTCGAGACCAGCTTGGCCAACATGGTGAAACCCTGTCTCTACTAAAAGTACAAAAATTAGCCGGGCGTGGTGGCATGTGCCTGTGGTCCCAGCTACTCGGGGGGCTGAGACAGGAGAATCACTTGAACCTGGGAGGTGGAAGTTGCAGTGAGCCAAGATCATGCCCCTGTACTCCAGCCTAGGCAAAAGAGCAATACTCCATCTCAAAAAAAGAAAAGAATTAGTTTGGAAATATCACTAAACAAGCAAAAGTAGCAGCAATACAACAAACCCTGGGAGGAGTATTTGATTTCCTGAACTGCTACCTTATTTAAAATGTCCAGTTTTCAACAAAAAATCATGAAACTGTCCTTGAGGAAGCCTAAACATTGTACTTACTAGATAAAGACTTTACATTCACATCTTTGAATACATTCAAAGACTTAAAAGACACCATGTCTAAAGAACTAAAGGAAAGTATGAGAATAATGTCCCACCAAATTGAGACTACCAACAAAGAAATTAAATGGAAATTCTGGGAATGAAAGTACTGCAAACCAAAAATAAAATTCTAAGGTCTCCCAACCACCTGAATGGACTTCCTCCTTGGCCAGGGCACTCTTAACATTTAACCTGAAAAGGCTGGTTTAGGTTATGATGGCATGGGGGGTCGGACATGCCTCACTATACTCCTCCAGCATTAACATCAACACAGACCTTAAGCCTGATAAGAAACATTTACAATCTATTCTCTCTGAAGCCTGTTACCTGGAGGCTTCATCTGCATGAAGAAACTCTGGTCTCCAAAGCCTCCTATCATAATCCAGACATTTATTTCTATTGATAATAACTCAACCAACTGCCAATAAGAAAAAATTTAAACCTGCCTATAACCTGGAAGCCCCCACTTCGAGTTGTCCCACCTTTCTGGACTGAACCAATGTGTATCTTAAATGTATTTGATGTCTCATGTGTCTCTAAAATGTACAAAACCAAGCTGTGCCCCCACAACCTGGGGTACATATTTTCAGGATCTCCTGGGGTTGTTTCACAGGCCATGGTCACTCATATTTGGCTCAGAATAAATCTCTTCAAATATTTTACAGAGTTTTAATCTTTTCATCAACAGTACAATAAATGAAAATGAAAAATTTACCAGAGGGGTTCAACAGTAGATTTGAGCAAGTGGGAAAGAATCAGCAAACTTAAAAATAGGTCACCCAAGATTATCTAGTCTAAGATAGAAAGAAAAAAGAATAAAGAAATATGAACTGCCAGGTGCGGTGGCTCACGCCTCTAATCCCAGCACTTTGGGAGCCTTAGGTGGGTGGTTCATGAGGTCAAAAGATCAAGACCATCCTGGCCAACATGGTAAAACCCCATCTCTACTAAAAATACAAAAATTAGCTGAGTGTGGTGGCATGTGCCTGTAGTCCCAGCTACTCGAGAGGCTGAGGCAGGAGAATTGCTTGAACCCGGGAGGCGGAGGCTGCAGTGAGCCAAGATCGTGCCACCGCACTCCAGCCTGGTGACAGAGGGAGATTCCGTCTCAAAAAAAAGATGAACAGAATCTCAGAGATCTGTAAGACACCATCAAGTATGCCAACATATGCATAATGAAGTTTGAGGAGAGGAGAGAAAGAAGCAGAATAATATTTCAAGAGATAATGCCCCAAAACTTCCCAAATATGAGAAACATTAATCCACACATCCAGTAAGCTCAACAACTCCAAGTATTATAAACTCAAAAGAGATCTACACCTAGACAAAGAGAAAAACAAGTTTGCAGATGGAGCATAGTCTAAATGCATTACCATACTTCTCTAAAGAAATAATGTCGGCCAGGCGCAGTGGCTCATGCCTGTAATCCCAGCACTTTGGGAGGCTGAAGCAGGTGGATCACCTGAGGTCAGGAGTTTGAGACCAGCCTGACCAACATGGAGAAACTTCATCTCTACTAAAAATATAAAATTAGGCTGGGCGTGGTGGCTCACGCCTGTAATCCCAACACTGTGGGAGGCGGAGGCAGGCGGATCACAAGGTCAGGAGTTCTGAGACCAGCCTGGCCAATATGGTGAAACCCCATCTCTACTAAAAATACAAAAAAAAAATAAGCCAGGTGTGGTGGTGGGTGCCTGTAGTCCCAGCTACTTGGGAAGCTGAGGCAGGAGAATAGCTTCAACCCAGGAGGTGGAGGTTGCAGTGAGCCGAGATTGCACCACTGCACTCCAGCCTGGCTGACAGAGTGAGACTCTGTCCCAGAAAAAAAAAAAAAAACAGAAGAAAGAAAACATAATCCAATTATATGCTGTCTGTAAGGGACACAAATAAGTGGAAAGTAAAAGGATGGAAAAAGATATACCACACAAATTGTAACCAAAAGAGAGCTAGAGTGGCTATACTAACAATAGACAAAACAGACTTTAAAATGAATGCTGCTACTACAGAGGACATTTTACAATGATGAAAGGGTGAATCTATTATGAAGATATAACTATTATAAATATAGACATACCTAACAACAGAGGTCCAGAATACATGAAGCAGAGCTAACAGAATTGAAGAAAGACAATTCAACAAGTTGGAGACTTTAATACCCACTTTCAATAATGGAGGAGACGCTAGACAATAATAAACATGTGTCTCATGTTTCTCCTTGTATGATTTTATTGAAGGCTGGGAAATACAAAGAAGGTAAAACCAAAACTGTCACTCTTGCGTCTTTTTTTCCAACTCTAGCAAAAGGGTAAAGGAAAAGGCTAAAACGTATGTTTAAATGAACTATGCAGTTCATTTAGAAGTGCTTTGGGCCAGGCACAGTGGTTCATGCCTGTAATCCAAGCATTTTGGGATGCCAGCACGGATAGATTGCTTGAGCCCAGGAGTTTGAGACCAGCTAGGGCAGCATGGTGAAACCTCATCTCTACAAAAATACAAAAATTAGCCAGGTGTGGTGGCACATGCCTGTAGTACCAGGTACTCAGAGGCTGAGGTGGGAGGATCTCCTAAGCCTGGAAGGTCGAGGCTGCAGGGAGCCATGACTGTGCCACTATACTTCTGCCTGGGTGACAAAGTAAGATCCTGTCTCAAAAAAAAAAGTACGCTTTGCCTATCCTTATTGCCAAAGATAAATGGAGTTGACTACACAAGGCTGCACTGCCTATTTCCTATTTAGATTTAAGGGACACTCAAAAGTGATTTATTTATAATGCAGAGTAAAAAATAAAATGATTAAATAATTTTATGTATAGATATTTATGTTAACAGTTGATTAAGTTCTTAAATTTGCTAGGCTGGTGTTAATAAGTGAAGCAAGCCTGTGATGATGACATTAGTTTAAAATGAATGGCCTGGTTAGTTTAGTATTAAGCAGAAATGATCATCCTCTTATCTACTCTTCTCCTACTTTCTCCATCTCCCTTTGCCACTTTTCCCAAGTCTCCCTTTTTCTCATCTATGCAACAGCAATTCCCTCCCTCCCAATTTACATAGCAGAGGTGTACTTCCTCCAGCTGATCCTGAAAGACCCTGAACTATTTTACTTTAGGCACATGCAGTTTCTCCACGAGTCAATATTGACACAAATCTCTTAAACAGACACTTGAACATTCAGGTAAACATGCTAGGGGGCCAGTAAAGGTGCAAAGCTGGGAGTCTCATCAGCCACTGGAATTCCAAATCCAAAGGCTACTACACTATTATGCACCCATATATTTATTATACAGCTTATCAAACATTTTAGAGATATATTTATAGTATACTTTTCCCAGTGGTAAAATTGCATATAAAAGTATATGTTATAATCTTAAAAGTAAGTATACTTTTAAGAGAATCATGGCCAAATAAAAATAGATGATAGAGGCCAGGCACAGTGGCTCACGCCTGTAATCCCAGCACTTTGGGAGGCTGAGGCGAGTGGATCACCTGAGGTCAGGAGTTCGAGATCAGCCTGGACAACACGCTGAAACCCCGTCTCTACCAAAAATACAAAATTAGCCAGGCGTGGTGGCACATGCCTGTAATCCCAGCTACTTGGGATGCTGAGGCAGGAGAATCGCTTGAACCTGGGAGCGGAGGATGTGGTGAGCCAAAATCGCACTATTGCACTCCAGCCTGGGCAACAAGAGTAAATCTCTGTCTCACCAAAAAAGGTGATAGAATAATAGCAATGTGATTTTTAAATCTTTTATTAGTCATATTATTTGTGTAAATAACCAGAAGAAAATTCTAAATTTATTAAAGAACTAGCCGGGAGAAGTTAAAATATAAACAAATAAATTAACAAAACCCTCAGAGAACTAATAACCAGAAAACCAGAGTTCCAGATACAAAGCTTGAGCATGTCCTTAAATCTTAGGGATGGAATCTACAAAATAAAGGAGTTATTGATTCTCTTCTTTAACACTCCTTCTCGAATTAAGTTAATGGTTTGCATAGGTATTTACTATGTACTTAGCTCTTTTAGTTCTGGCAATCTATGGTTCATTATTCTAAATAGAGTCCATTAGGATATTTGAATTTGGCTGAAATAAATTAAGAATCTGTAGTAAAATCTCTTCACAATCTTACATCTTGAAAAGAATACTTGGTTTAAAAGAGATGTTTAGTAGTATTACGGGAGGAACTAGAAAAAGAAAAAAACGTAGATAGCAGGAGTTACTTGAGAATTACTAGGTTATATCAATAGTGTTCAGGTGTTTTTTTAAAAAAATTTCAGAAGGACTCCTATACCTTTAGCCCACTGGGTCATCAATAAAAATGTTGGCATCTCTCTTGCTAAGGCAGCCAACACAGAGGCAGGAAGAACAAAAGTGAAAAACAAAATTGAGGGTCGGAGGCTATGTACATAGTTTAGAGTTGGCTCACCTTGTAATCAAACAATTGTACACTTTTACTGTTGTAATCATAATAGACCTCAGCCTGAATCCTTCCCAAATTTCTTGTTTGAGCACTCTACCCTATGGAAGCATTATTACAGTGTAAAAGAAAGTATCACTTATATCTACCTCTAAAAGCTTTAAATCCACACTAAAAATGAATAGCCAATTCATTTGTTATATATTTTCTCATCTCTCTGATTCAACCAAATATTTATTTTCTGGTACTCATTTCATACTTTAAAGCACATTTTATCTGTATCTTTAAGCCTTGTACAATCTAATATAAGACATATCCTGAGAGTAACAGAAATAATCTAAGACTAAAACAACTCTTTAATACAAATCAGACTCTTTAATACTGATTTACGTTTGTAATGAGAAATGTAAGATAGAAGGCAAACGATTCAGGAGATAGAATCCATTTACACACATTTATAAGCAGGAGATAAAATGCATTCCCTTAACCTCAATACGGATAGGCGCTATGTAGCCAGTGCCTCACTAGCACTCAAATGCTTGTTTAGACTTCTGAAAATGTGTTAATTGAGATGAAATTGCACTAAAAGGGCAAATTATAACTAAGTGGCAAGCTCTGTTCATCACAAATCCACAATTATTCACATCACATGTTCTATGGCTTATGTTGTTTTGGTACAGAAATTAGGTGTTAATACATAAATTTGAAATAAAATATACTCATTGTATTAGCCCATTCTCATGCTGCTATGACGAAATACCAAGACTGAGTAATTTATAAGAAAAGAGGTTTAACTGACTCACAGTTCCACATGGCTGGGGAGACCTCAGGAAACTTACAATTATGGTAGAAGGCCCCTCTACCCAGGGTGGCAGGAGAGAGAATGAGTGCTGAGCGAAGGGGGAAGTCCCTTATAAAGCCACCAGATCTTGTGAGAACTCACTCACTATCACAAGAACAGCATGGGGGAAACCACCCCCACGATTCAGTTACCTCCACCTGGTCCTACCTTTGACACGTGGTAATTATTAAAATTCAAGATGAGATTTGGGTGGTGATGCAGAGCCAAATCATATCACTCAACTGAAAACTTTTTAATGTAATTTAAAATTGTTCTTGGCTGGGCGTAGTGGCTCACGCCTGTAATCCCAGCACTTTGGGAGGCTGAGGTGGGCAGATCACGAGGTCAGCAGATCGCGACCACAGTGAAACACCATCTCTACTAAAAATACAAAAAATTAGCTGAGCATGGTGGCAGGCGCCTGTACTCCCAGCTACTAGGGAGGCTGAGGCAGGAGCATGGCATGAACCCAGAAGGCAGAGCTTGCAGTGAGCCGAGATCACGCCACTGCACTCCAGCCTGGGCAACAGAGCGAGACTCCATCTCAATAAATAAATAAATAAATAAATAAATAAATAAATAAATAAAATTATTCTTACTTTTTTCCTTCTTCCTCCCCCTATTCTTATTTAAAAAAAAAAACTGCATCACTCAATTTTTAAGACTTTGTAAGATGAAATGGGCTTTGTAATGCAAGCCATGAGGAGTGGCTGTAAATACAGATGAAGCTTCACTTGCTCAAAAAATGATAAGAAAACACATAAATCAGTACATGGGGAAAAGAGGTGTGAATAGGGGTATTTCCTAACTTGTTTTACAAGAGTAGGTAACAAAACTCCTATCTAATCCAAACTTATTTTCTGGAAACAAAACCTATGTTTAATTATCTGTGAAACTCCGAGCACCAATCATGTCAGATTTTGTTTTCCTATTTGCTCATCTGTTTATGCATTCATCCATCTACCCAGCATGTACTGAGGCTCTGTGTGTGCTAAGTACTGTGGGGTAAGATAATGAGGATACAGACTAAGATATGGTCATTGTCCTCAATGGAGGAATGAGATAATTCCAACTGAGTATGATACATGGTATTGACAGAAGTGAGCACAAGAATGCTCAAAGGACAGGGGAGTAACTCACCCAGTGTGGTGAGGAATTAGGAAAAAGGGTCACTGAAAACTTCCTAGAGCAGTGGTCCCCATCCTCTTTGGCACCAGTGACCAGTTTCATGGAAGACAATTTTTTTTGAGACAGGGGCTCACTCTGCCACCCAAGCTGCAGTGCAGTGGCACGATCTCACTGCAACCTCCACCTCCTGGGCTCAAGTGATCCTCCCACCTCAGCCTCCTGAGTAGCTGAAACTATAGGCATGCACCACAGTGCTTGGCTAATTTTTTTATATTTTTGGTAGAGACGAGTTCAGGCTGGTAGAGACCAGGCCAGGCTGGTCTCAAACTCTTGACCCCAAGCAATCCACCTCAGCCTCCCAAAGTGCTGGGACTACAGGTGTGAGCCACCACAGCCAGCTGAAGACAATTTTTCTTTTCATGTCTTAGTTGTTATTGAAGTCATTGATGATAGTTACATTTTCATGAGTTTTTATCTTGTTGACTCTATTTCAGGGGGTAGGGAATGGTTTCAGGATGAAACTGTGCCACCTCAGATCATCAGGCATTAGATTCTCATAATTAGTGTGCAACCTAGATCCCTTGCATGCGCAGTTCACAATAGGGTTTGCACTCCTCTGACAGGAGGCAGAGCACAGGCGGTAATGCAAGCCATGAGGAGTGGCTGTAAATACAGATGAAGATTCACTTGCTCAACCACTGCTCACCTTCTGCTGTGTGGGAAAGGATGCAGAGCTGAATTTCAGAAAATTATGAGAAAAGTTAGCCAAATGAGCATGGGGAGAAAAGGAGAAATCCAATTTTATACTTGTATAGCCCTTTAAATGTTTCCAAATGCTATTACCTATATTATTTACATGAAGAAAACTAAGGCCTAGAGAAGTTGAAGGGTTTGCCAAAGTTTCATGGCTAGTAAATGGTAAAGCCCAAATTAGCACCTAAACTCCTGCTTATAACCTAGCATAATGGTGTCCCACCTTTTAAAGTGTAAGAAATTTTGGCCAGGTGTGGTGGCTCATGCCTGTAATCCCAACAGTTTAGGAGGCCAAGGCAGGCGGATCACCTGAGCCCAGGAGTTCAAAACCAGCATAGACAACATGGCAAGACCTCATCTCTACAAAAAAATACAAAAAGTAGCCAGGTGTAGTGGCACGTGCCTGTAGTCTCAGCTACTCGGGAAGGTGAGATGGGAAAATCACCTGAGCCCGGGGAGGTCAAGGCTGCAGTAAGCCATGATAGTGTCATTGCACTCCAGCCTGGGCAACAGAGTGAGAACCTGTCTCAAAAAAATAAAATAAAATGAAATAATACTAGGTTTCTACTTGGGATAATAAAAAAGTTCTGGAACTAGATAGTGGTGATGGTTGCACAACACTAAATAAATTTAATGTCACTGAATTGTATACTTTTAAATAGTTAAAATTGTCAATTTTATATTATGCTTCCTTTACCACAATAAAAAAGTTTTATAAACAAAGAGCAGGTATACCTTGAGTATACAGTGATTACAGACATACATTTAAGAAGATTCAGAATTCAATACTGCCTTTAATTACTATTTTATTAATTACAGCAGCAACATATCCTTAAAGATAATATTTACAAAAATGTGAAAAGTTATTAAGTATACAATATTTGAAGCACAAATGAGATTTCTTTACATGGTAAGTTCCTGAGGAGTCTATAACCCATGAATTGGGAATCACTGGTCTATGTTCTTTAAACAAAAATAAACTCTTCCTGATGTTTAAGGGGTTTCCAGAAGTGGTCCTTCAATGATGTGACCATATAGATGCTATTCAATCTTAGGGATTTCAGAAGGCCAGAATGTTAGACATTCTTTTTTTTCTTTTTCTTTTTCTTTTTTTTTTTGAGATGGAGTTTCGCTCTTCTTGCCCAGGATGGCATGCAATGGCACGATCTCGGCTCACCGCACTCTCCACTTCCGGGTTCAAACGATTCTCCTGCCTCAGCCTCCCAAGTAGCTGGGTTTATAGGCATGCTCCACCACACTCAGCTAATTATGTATTTTTAGTAGAGATGGGGTTTCTCCGTGTTGGTCAGGCTGGTCTCGAACTCCCAACCTCAGGTGATCCGCCCACCTCAGCCTCCCAAAGTGCTGGGATTACAGGCATAAGCCACCATGTCCGGCCTAATTTTGTATTTTTAGTAGAGACGAAGTTTCTCCATGTTGGTCAGGCTGGTCTTGAACTCCTGACCTCAGGTGATCCGCCTGCCTCAGCCTCCCAAGGTGCTGGGATTACAGGAGTGAGCCACTGTGCCTGGCCGACATTATTTTCTTTAGGGAAGTATGGTAATGCACTTAGACTATGCTCCATCTGCAAACTTGTTTGACACTCAATGTACTTTATAAATTTCTTATAATCTCTAAGTCCCCAGAGTAGGTTTTAAATAAATTATTTCCATAAGTATAAAATATAAAACCAATATATTTATCAAATGCGCCCATAGCACTGTAAAAGATACACAGAAGTATTTGAATGGTCCCTGCCCAAAAGGAACCCGAAATATAGTCAAGAAGATATAAACTCAGGAAAATGTAACTACCATCAATGACTTCAATAACAGCTTAAACCATGAAAAGAAGCACAAAGCAACACCTATTGATTACTTGCCACAGGAACAGGAAGAAACTGCTATGGGGTTTCAGAGAAGGGAGTAATTACTCCAGTCCATGGTGGTGTAAAAAGGTTCTACAGGAGAACTGGATTTGAAATGAGGTGCATCTTAAAGAGCAAATGAGATTTGGAGAGGTCAGGCACAAACAAGAGAAGATCAGAATATCCTTCATTAAGCTTCATTTAACACACTAACTGCTTGCTGAACTCATTCTGTGTCATGTACCAAGAATACAAAGGTGAGGTGCTCTGTGTGACCCATGGTCAAATTCCCCTTTGTAGGCCTGAAACCCCTCAAAACTTATCATAGGATAACAATTAACAATTAACTATTTTCCCTGATAGTGGGAAACAAACGGGACTGGCAAGTTTTTTATGACTGTTCTTTTAAAATAAGTCACACTTTTCATTTGAATTTACCTTTCCCCAAAAGGTAAATTTCATATATTGCAATAAACTCAATGTATCCTCTTGCAATCTTCTTGTAAAAAAAATCTCTTCCCAGAACTTTTACTTACTATTTAATATTGCCACTAAAAAACAGGCAGGCACTTGTCCACCGAACCAAACATAGATGAAGGATGAAGTAATGACTGGATCTCAATATTGCACGTCACTTTTGTCACAAGAGTACAATAAAGAGCCAGGAGTCTCTCTATTTTGAAGCAGTCATCTAATCATTCTAATTAATGGGCACAATTTTTTGTGTGCAATGGTTTGTGTCCAAAAAGATAAGTGGAGGTGGGGTGATGTGGACTTTACATAAAGGTTCATTTCACAATTTTGACCCTACTTTCCAAGGGCCTAACTGATTAGCTCAGGGTGAGTACCTGATATGAGCTGGGGAAATGTAAATATCTCACATGTGGCCCAAAGTCCTGGCCAAAGCACTATTCTGGGATTTTTTATTTTTTATTTTTTAAAGCTAGAACTAGGAATCAAAGTCAATCCTTTTCTGGTGGTAAAAGTCATGAGGATGAAATTGAGGAGGTATAAAGCAACCACGATTTTGCCATGTGGAGAAGCGTGAAAATTTCATGTAAACAACTATCTCTGAACAACCTTAGCATAAAGCTACAAAAATATGTCACACCTTATCAGTCTTAAATATATCAAACTTTAATAAGAAGAGAGAAAATGTACATTGATATTAATGTTACTAACCTTGTTTGTTCTTGGGTTCAGCATAAGTGGCTTGCCTTTTTCTTTTATGTGCAAATGTCGACATGCCAAAGTACAAGTGGTGGAAACTACTCTTAACCGGGACAACATCTTTTCTTTCACCTGAGAAAAACAAAGCAAATAAACCACTGAAGAGAATCATATTATAGGCCTTCATGTCCATCGGGTATCAGTTTTCAAAACACATTTATGTTTCCACAGGCTGCAACAGTTTTAAAAAGGTAACAAGAGGCGAAGGTGAAAACTTACTTTTTCTGATAACACTCTTATGTTCTTGGGAAATAATCACTGCTACTCTTTAAGTACCACCTACTATGTATCAGACACTGCAAAAAACATTTAACCTCTTTCTAGTCACACAAGTGTGGCAAGGTATGCATCTCCCACTTGTAACAGAAACACATTAAGAGGTAACATAGTAAATAGCAAAGTGAGTTCCATTTTAATGAGTGAGAGTTTAGCTTGAAGGTGGAAAAGTAAATAATAAGAAAGCAGAGACACAGAGGAAGAAAAACTATCCTGATTCTTAATCTAGACCTAGAATTTTAATGGACTATGTTTAATGTTTAAATTTAACGTACTAGAATTTTTTGTCTTAGAAAACCTGTTATTTAATATAAACAAATCATATAAATTGGCTAGAAAACATATAAAGTAATTGTAATTACTTTATATAAAATAATGTATAAAATAATTGCATCCATCATAAACATGGACATTTTTAAAGAGAAAACTATACATTAAATCTAAAATATTTAGTGATAATAGTCTTCTACTTACCAATTATCTCACCAAAAATCAGAATTTGAAATGCTTATTTATTTCTTTAAACATTACAAATCATTGTAATTATTATGCTGTGAAGTTTTTTAAAATGGATTTCTATTTGTGGAGAAATCCATGATATGTGTGAAGGGGCAGCAAAACCATTTACATAAGGATTTTTTTTTTTTTTGAAGCTCATATATCATAAAAGTAACCATTTTAAACTGAACAATTCAGAGGCATTTCAAAAAAATTTTTTTTTTTTTTTTGAGATGGAGTCTCGCTCTGTTGCCCAGGCTGGAGTGCAGTGGCATGATCTCAGCTCACTGCAAGCTCCACCTCCCGGGTTCACGCCATTCTCCTGCCTCAGCCTCCCGAGTAGCTGGGACTACAGGCGCCCGCCACCACGCCCAGCTAATTTTTTTGTATTTTTATTTTTAGTATATAAGGGGTTTCACTGTGTTGTCCAGGATGGTCTCGATCTCCTGACCTTGTGATCTGCCTGCCTCGGCCTCCCAAAGTGCTGGGATTACAGGCGTGAGCCACCGTTCCCGGCCAAAATAGGGATTTTTTTTTTTGAGATGGAGTCTCTTTCTGTCACCCAGGCTGGAGTGCAACGGCGCGATCACGGCTCACTGCAACCTCTGCCTCCCGGATTCAAGCTATTCTCCTGCCTTAGCCTTCTGAGTAGCTGGGATTACAGGAACCCGCCATCATGCCCAGCTAATTTTTTTTCTGTATTTTTGTAGAGACAGGGTTTCACCATGTTGGCCAGGCTGGTCTTGAACTCCTGACCTCAGGTGATCCACCTGCCTCGGCCTCCCAAAGTGCTGAGATTACAGGCGTGGGCCACCGCGCCCGGCCAAAAAGGGATGTTTTAAATGTGTTGCTTGATCATTTATTCCTGGACACTGAAACACTCCAGTTTGCAAGTAACTTTGCTGAAGTTGTTTTCTGCCTCCCATACCACTTCCATCCATCAACCTTTGAAATCAAGTGTGATTTGATGTTTCAAGACCACTTGTATGAGGCTTAGAGTTTCATCAACACATCCATGTATGGATGGTAAGCCTGATATTAAATATGACGCAGTCAGGGTTAGAAGACCTTCAACATTGCCAAGAATGTTTCACTCATATTAAATAGTCATAGATGTAATTAAACTGTAAATAATTAAAGCATGAAGGACATAAATGAAAAGAATGTCTGAATGATTTAAAAGGTTTCCTGTTCTTTGTCAAAAAAGTGGAAAACACTGTACAGGTAGCCAGGCCAAGATAGTAGGGATGGTTTTGTTCACAGCTTCAAAGAAGAAATTTAAGAATTAATTGTGGGCCTTAAGAAAACACTGACAAAGAATGTAGAAAATGGGAAGAGCAGAAAGAGTAAGAGGAAAAGGCAGCAGTAGAAAATCTTCAATGTATTGTTAAAAAAATGATTTAATTTCTGAATATGTTCTGTCAGTAGAACAAAACTACAAAATCACACGTAGGAGATTTGAGACCCTTTTAAGAAATATCTGAGCTGTTCAAAAGACAGTAAGACAGAAAAATAACCAGTAGCTGAGCCTACACAAACTTTTTGAGTCAAACACAAGCCAATTACTTCCTCAGTTACCAAGGCTAACTACTGGGGAGGCATCAAACTCTAACAAATTCCTGATGGCCTTTTCAGGGGAAAGGTAACACAACATATTGAAATTATGTATTTTGCTCATCTGAATGGTCTTATTCATTAAGCAGGTGCTACATCATTATCCTCATCCTTTTTCATTGCTGGATTTTTATCATAGCCGTAATAGTGTAGCAGAAATAACCATGATGAAAAGTAAGTGTTCAGGTTTCTTTTTAGAAATTAATTTATGCTACCATCTTGATGCTTTAAGTTCAAAATACCATAAAATTACAATTTTGCATATACACTCTTTATTACTATTATTCTGTATATTTATGCTTATTATTTTATAATAAGTATTGAAGCAAATTTAAAGGTGTTTTTTTTTTTTTTTTTTTTTTTTTTTTGAGATAGAGTCTTACCCAGTTGCCCAGGCTGGAGTGCAATGGCACGATCTTGGCTCGCTACAACCTCTGCCTCCCGGTTTCAAGTGATTCTCCTGCCCCAGCCTCCCGAGTAGCTGGGATTACAGGTGTGCGCCACCATACCCAGCTGATTTTTTGTATCTTTAGTAGAGACAGGGTTTCACCATGTTGGCCAGGCTGGTCTCGAACTCCTGACCTTGTGATCCGCCCACCTCGGCCTCCCAAAGTGTTGGGATTACAGGCGTGAGCCACTGCACCTGCCCTTAAAGAGTAATTTTTTGCTATACTTTTCACTTCATGACTCCACTGAATTGTTTTTCTTAGAATAAAAAAGCAGCATTATTTTGGGCCCATTTACAACGAAGGTCTAAAGCTGCAGATGATATAACTGCCACCTAGAAAATCTGAGACAATCAACTGAAAAAAATACTAGAACTAATAAGAAGACTTCAGCAAAGTGGCTGATTATATCAGCAATAATAAGTTAAGATATGTAATAGGATAAAAGATTCTATTTACAATACTAATACAAATTATAAAATACCTAGGAATACACCAACACAGAAACTAACAGACATAAAGAAGTCCTAAATATATGGATAGAAATACCCATTTCTGGATGGGAATAGTCAACAGTAAACATTTCAGTTTCCCCTCAAACAATCCACAGTTCTAAGGCAATTCCAACAAAAATTCCAAGAATATTTACAGAGCTTACATTTTTATTTTTTTAGAGACAAGATCTCATTCTGAGCTCAGGCTAGAGTGCAGTGGCACAATCATAGCTCACTGCAGCCTTGAACTTTATGGAGCTTTAGACTCAGCTTAAATATATATTTGAAAGAGCACATGTGAGAAAATCCAAGAAATTTTGAAAAAGAATAGGTAGAAGGATTTGCCACTACAGTTAGCAAAACCTTTCAAACAGATTAAAGATATTAACATTTTTT
The DNA here is from genome assembly GCF_000001405.40 of Homo sapiens. Classification (NCBI taxonomy): domain Eukaryota; kingdom Metazoa; phylum Chordata; class Mammalia; order Primates; family Hominidae; genus Homo; species Homo sapiens. The sequence goes on along the minus strand of NC_000018.10, from coordinate 50,892,156 downwards.
CAAAAAGTAAAGCAACTATAAAGAATTACAAGTCCAGGCCGGGTGCAGTGGCTCACCCCTGTAATCCCAGCACTTTGGGAGGCCGAGGCAGGCAGATTGTTTGAGTTCAGCAGTTCGAGACCAGCATGGTCAATATGGTGAAACTCCATCTCTACCAAAAAAAAAAAACCCACACACACAAAAATAAAATTAGCTGGGTGTGGTGGTGTACACCTGTGGTACTAGCTAAGTTGGGAAGACTGGATGAGTCTGCGAGGCAGAGCTGCAGTGAGCCGAGACTGTGCCATTGCACTCCAGCCTGGATGACAGAGTGAGACCCCATCTCAAAAAAAAAAAAAAAAATTATAAGTCCAATTCCAGGTGGGCGTCCTGGTGTCATGGAGTAATGGGTCTGTGACCAATGCCCCCCACAAATTTGTGTGATACTAGAGACACCATACATACACACCATCCTTCACTGTCTATGGCAACAAGAGTCTTCTGCTATCTTAGCCTCTTTGTGGGAGTGAATTCTTTTGGGGATCATGCGGAACCAATTCTGTGCCATTTAAAAAATTCCACTCATGTCTATGGTATTCTAAACCTGCAAAGCTACCTCTGGGACTTTCCATGAAAAAGGCTTATTGGCTTAGGTGCTTATGGAATAAATTAATTGGCTGTATTTATGAGAAAATTTTGCAGAGACCTCTCATCTTTTCAGAGACCTATGAAAAGACACAAAAGGAACAGAGCAAGCAGAATTCAGATTTAAAACAAAGTAAAACTCCTTTGTATGCTCAAACTGCCTGCTTTGGATCCCCTGTGGGATTTATAAAGAAGGCCACTCCACCTTGTAGTCTGGTAGTTCAGATTAACCTTCCTCGGTGTCTCCTCTGACATATTCAAACTCCCTCTTGAAAAAGCTTAAATTCTCTCTATTTGAAATAAGCTAGTTTAAAAATTGTTGGTAAAATAGGAATGTCTCAAAATTGTCAATATTAAATATAATTCAGACATTTTTGCCTTGGGTCTACTGGTTAGATTTACACAGTTTCTTCTACGTATTTTAAGGTCATCAAACTATTGCTCCTGAGATATTTTTAATATTTGTTTGATTTGTCTGAGCTTATGTTTTTGGTTTTGAGCCTTTAAATTCTGCAGTCTACACAGGTGACCATGGTGAGGCCCAGGTACATACGTTTATCTTCAGTACCTGGGCCACCAGCTGCAGGGCAGAGCCAGGCTCAATATGGCCCTGCCCTCCTGGTCCAGCAGTGCCTCCTGGCCATGCTAGAAGGGGTTGGGTCCTCCAGACGTAGTCGTAATAGCTCTGTCCAGAACTCTGTACCTGGTACATAGCAATTAAAATTGCTTCCTACTAGGTTTTATACTGGAAATTAGTAAGAGTCAAAATTGTAATATATGTAATTAAAACAACTAGATATAAAGAAAAACAATGCTTTTACAAGAAAGGCAGGATGCTTTTTGGTGAGGAAGGTTATAAGAAAGACAAAAGATGTGTTTTTTGTTGAAAAAAGGAATTCTGTCTAGTTTAGAGGTTATTTAAAGGTTTCATAATGAAGGAAAAAATGATATAGATAAAACTAAATGGATAAAACAAGTTGGGGAAGAAAAAAACCTGAAATAATTTTGTAAGTAGTTGTAAAAAATTTACGGAAATCTTATGTTGTGTGGTCAAAGCTGACTGAGATTGAATTTGTTTATAAGGTTTTATTAAAATTCACTTTAATAATAATACATTGAGGCCCTGCACAGTGGTGCATGCCTGGAATCCCACCACTTTGGGAGGCTGAGATGGGTGGATCACTTGAGCTCAGGAGTTCGAGACTAGCCTGGGCAACATAGTAAGACCTTGTCTCTACAAAAAGTACAAAAAAAGAAAATAATAATAATATATTGAATTTGGTTTTCTCTTCTGAAGATTTTTGTGTAGTATTAATAAAAAATAACAAAATATTATAGTTTGCCTTTTGAGTAAGCTGCAAAATAGAAGAAACATTCTGTTTGCATCATGCTGTCTTTATTAGGCCTTTTGATTTTTTTTTGGAAAATGGGGTTGCTTTTCTATCAAAGAGTGAGGATTCTTGATTTTTGAAATCTCTTGATTTTTGAAATCACTTCAGCTAAATGAATATTATTTCATTTCATCACAGTGACCTTTGATACTATTTTTGATCAAGTGTTTTAAACCTTTGACATAATTAACAGGCTTCCCCAAATCAAATTTCAAATTCTAAATTACATCTTTTTGACCTTAAACTAACTCTTGGACATTCCAAAAGGGCCTGTGGAAGTCCAAGCGAAACATATTAGGCTTATTGGGCATGTTAAATTATATGGGAAGCATTGCCAAATAAGAATAATGTTTAACCATTTCCTAGAATCCCATTAACATGAACAGGTTAATATGTGTTCCAAAACTGCATGAGATTCCTAGAAATCTGATACGTCTTAGGAAATGTTGTCAGTCATAATTCTAATGTTAAATTGTTATATGTCACAGAAATAACTAAATTTCCTTGTCAAATGTATCATTATTAGGAACGCTTAACAAGTCTTTAACCATGGCCCATTTTTAAGTCTTCTTATCCACAATAAATTGCTTTATTCTAATATGTCTTCAAAAAATCCCCCTTTATTATAAAGGATACAGATGAAGAGCCAGATAAAGAGATGTAGAGGGCAAGGCATTGGGGGCAAGGGGATGCAGGGTTTCCATGCCCTCTCTGGACAGGCCACTCTGCCAGCACCATGTGTTCAGCAACCCAGAAGCTCAGCAAATCTTGTCGTTCAAAAGTTTTATAGAGCTTAATGTCCAGCACCCCCTTCCCCAAAGCTCATGGATAGGGCTGAAAGTTCTAACCCTCTAATCACTTGGTCTTTCTAGTGATCAGCCATACCCTGAGGCTGCCTAGGGGCTCTACCCTAAGTCACCTCAGGTGACTAGCATACACTCAGGTGTGATCAAAAGGGGATCATTATGACAAAAAACACTCCTATCATGGGGGGGAGGGAATTAATGGATAAAAATATACAACTTGACAGAAGGAATAAGACCTAGTGTTAGATCAGTAAGGTGAATATAGTTTATAACAATCTACTGTACATTTAAAAATAGCTAAAAGAGAAGAACTGGAATGTTTCTAGTATAAATACAAATATTGAAAGTGATGGATATCCAGAATACACTGGCTTGATCTTTACAAATTATATGAATATATTAAATTATCACACGTACCCTGAAACTATGTACATCTATTATGCATCAGTTTAAAAAAAATTTTTTTTAAAGACACTCTTATCATTCAGGAAATCCAAGGGTTTGAGGAGCTCTGTGACAGAATCAGGAAGATCAATATATTTAGTATAATACCACACTATTTAATACATTGTTATGACCCTGATACCCTTTATAGAGCTTCCTTCCTAAAGCATTAGAGTATGTATCATATTACCAAGTACATAAACCTAAATAGTGCTTTATTCTAATTAGATGTACACACTTAGATTTTCCTTGAATCACAATTATAGTTATCACGAGTCTTAGACATCACCTAGTTTAAATATCTTAATTTAAATGAAAAAAAAATAAAGCCCAGAAACAGAAATGGACATGTCCAATATCACTCAGCTTACCAGTCGTAGTCCAGGGTTTTTATTTTGTTTTCCCTTCCTGTTCCAAAATTTTCAGCCTCTAAGCCTTTGGTTCTGTTGTTTTTGTTTCATAAATGTATTCCCTCCCATTCCTTTCTAAATCCCATTTTTCAAGACAAAATTTCATTTCGTATATTTTCATTTTTTTTTTTTTTTTTGAGACAGGGTCTTGCTCTGTTGCCTAGGCTAGAGTGCAGTGGCATGATCACAGCTCACTGCAGCCTCGACCTCGGGGGCTCAAGCAATCCTCCCACCTCAGCCTCTCAAGTAGCTGGGATGACAGGCATGTGCCATCATGCCCAGCTAATTTTTGTAGTTTTTTTTGTAGAGAAAGAGTTTCACCATTTTGCACAGGGTGGTCTCCAACTTCTGGGCTCAAGTGATCTGCCAGCCTCAACCTCCCAAAGTGTTATGATTACAGGCGTGAGCCACTGAGCCTGGCCTCATTTCTTAATTAAGCAATTTATCCACCACCTAACTTCTTATATAGCTCTTTAGTTATCTATTTCTGATATTCCATCTTTTCACTTCAATTATTTTATGTCTATATTTCTATTTGGTTCTGTTTTATGGTCACCAGTTCATGCTTCATAACTTTAAATTCTGGCTTCATTAAATATTTATTTTAAAGATCTTTTCTAATGTCTTTAGTGCCTGGATATAAATTTTCAGTCTCTTTCATGGCATAATTTTTGTCTATAAGCTCACTTTGCAATCTTTGATGGTGGTCCCATACACGTTGTGTGTTGTGGAAACCAACCCTTGGAGGCAGTTTTAAGTTTGCCTCTATATGAGATCCTGAGAGTTTACAAGCTAAAACTAGTTTCTACATTAGTTTCTGTGTTAGATGGTTACATACCTCAGGTAGAATTCCAAAGCCAAATTCAAACAAGTTGAGGTTTAGGATTCTACTTATGGTGTGGGATGGATGGTTTAATTCTCGTCTCAACCTCAGTGAGGATACAGTCTTCATTTATGGAGAGAAAAGTGTTTCCCCATTCTCAGCTTCCCAAAATATGTCTAGTTTTGATTCTGAAGGTTGAACAGGCCTTGGGAACTCAGTTTCCGTCTCCTGGCAAGCAATAAACACTTCAGATCCTAAGTAGTATTCATGTACTGTGTTTGTTCCCTGTCTACCCATGGAACATTTGTCTTCAATCAAGCTCACTGCTATAGGTTCTTTCTTCACTCCTGCATGTGGAGATTTCTCTCTTGCTTTCAAACTTGGCTCTGTGTTGTTTCAATTTTACTTACCATCTCTGTGTTTTTAGAGCAAGAAAGGGAGATTTCAACATGTGACTAATCGATCACTTTAAACTGGAAGTTGATTCAGTTTAAACATATATTATACTTATTTACTCATCTATTGAGCACCTACGTCAGGGCCGGAATGAGGCCTAGGGTTAGTATTGCTCTCATATTCTTACTTAACACTACAGGAATCCATGTCTTTTTAGCTGCTGTGAAACTTACACCATCAGATTTGGTTTTCTTTTTTCTTTTTGCGACAGAGTCTTGCCGTCACACAGGCTGGAGTGCAGTGGCACGATCTCAGCTCACTGCAGCCTCCGTCTCCTGGATTCAGTGATTCTCCTGCCTCAGCCTCCTGAGTAGCTGGGACTATAGGCATGCACCACCATGCCCGGCTAATTTTTTGTATTTTTGGTAGAGACGGGGTCTCTCTATGTTGCCCAGGCTGGTCTCAAACTCCTGGCCTCAATTGATCTGTCAGTCTTGGCCTCCCAAAGTGCTGAGATTACAGGTGTGAGCCACTGCATCCAGCCAGATTTGGTTTTCTCTAGGTAAACATCAAAAGCATTAAACAGAATCTATTAAATCACCACCATGCAGTATTCTCTTAATGTTCTATTACCAGTAAGTTATAAAGTCCTAAATAAAGCTCTCCTTTGTGCTTTTTAAAAGAAATATGAACATGAACAAAACCAAGAAAAAGAACTTGGCCAGGTGCAGTGGCTCACGCCTGTAATCCCAACACTTTGGGAGGCTGAGGTGAGCGGATCACTTGAGGTCAGGAGTTCAAGACCAGCCTAGCCAACATGGTGAAACCCCATCTCTCCTAAAAATACAAAAATTAGCTGGGCAGGGTGGTACGTGCTTGTAATCCCAGCTACTCAGGAGGCTGAGGCATGAGAATCTCTTGAACCTGGGAGGTGAAGGTTACAGTGAGCCGAGATCATGCCACTGCACTCCAGCCTGGGCAACGGAGTGAGACTCCATCTCAAAAAAAAAAAAAAATCTAACTTACCCTTTCTCAATTTTAAATTAAAAAATAGACACATACCTGTATAGGCTTCCCAAGTTTTCCTTTTTTTTTAAATTTTAAATTTGTGTGGGTATATAGTATAAATATATACACACACACACATATATATAGAACCAGCATTGTGTACTTATGAATTGTCTTCACTATCTGAATCTAATAATGGATATCTATTAAATGTGTACAATCTAAAAGAAGAAACAGTGGTAGAGCCTGCTTTGAGCAAACTCCATTGATTTTATTTTTAAGAGAGAGAATTTGCTATATAAGAGAATTCTTCACTGGACTTCTTTAAATAGCAAGATTTTTCAGGCTATTTTTAAATTTTAAGTTACTCAAATTTGACTTTTATACATCTTTTCAGGATTATCTTGCATAAAAGCTCCATGTCACTTTATTTCCATTTATTATTATACTGCAGAAAGTACCAGCAGTTGGCTCTAAAAGTACAAATTATATATACATGTTTCTACACTTTTAAAAATTATTAATCAGTATCATATGAATAATAATGTTAATTATAGCAGCACAGTGTTAAAAATATATATATATACCAAGTAGCTTTCTCCCCAGAATCCCCAACATGGTGACAAAAGTATTATTAACAAAATTGGGATGGTTGATACTCTGCTAAGTGATGAAAAAAAACCATTTAAATTTTATAAATTGTCATTTAAAAAAAGTTTTATATATTTTTTTTTTTAGAGACAGTATCTCACTCTGTCACTCAGGCTGGAATACAGTTGTATAATCACAGCTAACTGCAGTCTTGAACTCCTGGGCTCAAGTGATTCACCTGCTTTAGCCTCCCAAGTAGTTGAGACTACAGGTACAAGCCACTGTGCCCGGCTAATTTTAATATTTTGTACAGCTGGCGTTTGCTATGTTGCCCAGGCTGGTCTTGAACTCTTGGCCTCAAGCAATCGTCCGATCTCAGCCTGTGAGTTGCTGGGATTAGAGGCATGAGCCATCACACCCAGCTAAAAAGAAGTTCTAAAAGAATTCATCATATGTTTATGTGGCTCTTCCAGGAGAGATAGCATTATTTACTACAGTTAAAACTTTGGGCCTGGCGTGGTGGCTCATGCCTGAAATCCCAGCACTTTGGGAGGCTGAGGCAGGCAGATCACCTGAGACCAGGAGTTCGGGATCAGACTGGCCAACATGGCAAAACCCTGTCTCTACTAAAAACACAAAAAATTAGCTGGGTGTGGTGACCGGCGCCTGCAATCCCAGCTACTCGGGAGACTGAGGTGGGAGAATTGCTTGAACCCGAGAGGCGGCGGCTGCAGTGAGCCGAGATTGCACCACTGCACTGCAGCCTGGGCAACAAGAGCGAAACTCCGTTTCAGACACACACACACACACACACACACACAAACACACACAAACTTTGGTGATTAGTACTGCAAGGTAGGCAAATCTAAAATGGTATGGAATACATTTTATTTTGAATCAAAGGCAATCCCCAAAAAATACATTTTGGAATCAGTAGTTAAGATCAGGTTGCTGATATACGAAATCTTCTATTTTCAACTCCTAGTTAAAATCTTGCTCCTATCAAATAATGAATTTGGGCCTGGCGCAGTGGCTCACGCCTGTAATCCCAGCCCTTTGGGAGGCCGAGGCAGGTGGAACATGACGTCAAGATTTCAAAGCTATCCTGATCAACATGGTGAAACCCAGTCTCTACTAAAAGTACAAAAATTAGCCGGGCATGGTGGTGCGTGCCTGTAGTCCCAGCTACTCGGGAGGCTGAAGCAGGAGAATTGCTTGAACTCAGGAGGCAGAGGTTGCAGTGAGCTGAGATCACGCCACTGCACTCTAGCCTTATGACAGATTGAGGCTCTGTCTCAAAATAAACAAATAAATAAAATAATGAATTTGGCTTGTATATAAAGATAACACCACCTCTCAAATCTACCTCATAGAAAACTGTGATGATTAAATGAGAGAATATATGCAAAAGAGTATTATAATTAAAGATAAAACATATATTATTCAAACTATTAGATAATTTTATTAGCAAGTGATAGAGTAAAATAAAATATAAAAGTAATTTTAATAGTGTCTTTAGTAGGCATAATTAAAAAAAAACTTAAGGAAAAAAACAATCTTTGCCGAAATTGGAACTTAGAACACTTACAGACAGAAACAGACAGGTGGGCTTAATATCTGCTGGAGACAAGACAGAACGAGGAAAACACACACCTAACTCCTTATGTTACACAAAGATGACAGAAGGAGAACTATAGGAGTGAGTGAAGTAAAAACAGGAAATAAAAGAAGGTGGGGATTCGAATTTTGAATGACTAAGTAAAATCAAGCTATTTACTGGAGAGTTTCTTTTTTTGTTTTTTAGACAGAGTCTTGCTCTGTCACCCAGGCTGGAGTGTAATGGCACAATCTTGGCTCACTGCAACCTCCACCTCCTAGGTCAAGCAATTCTCCTGCCTCAGCCTCCCGAGTAGCTAGCACTACAGGTGCCCACCACCATGCCCGTTTACTTTTTTGTATTTTTAGTAGAGATGGGGTTTCACCATATTGGCCAGGCTGGTCTCAAACTCCTGATCTCAGGTGATCCGCCCGCCTCGGCCTCCCAAAGTGCTGGGATTACAGGTGTGAGCCACCACACCCAGCAGGAGAGTTTCTTGAATACTGGAATATGCCCGTGGTTTCTTGCCCTGGTATGGTCACTGCCTTGCCCCTTCCATGAGTAAGCACAGACAAAAGAACTACCTCAAACAGGGAAGCAGTGGAACTCACCCTCTGGGTGGTATTTACAAACTGGACTGGGACTAAAGCTGTTAAGACATTGGCTGCTGGAGACTATTCTCCCTGGCCCCCTACCTGGAGGGAGAAGGAAATAGTCAACACCTGAGAAAGACTGTTCACAGGAGACCAAAACCCTAGACACTGTTCACTAGAAAGAGCTCATGACAGGGCAACAAGCACAGGCTTTGCTGTCAGACAGACTGGAGAGTGAATCTGGACTGGACTCAGCTAATTACCAGTTCAGAATCAGTTGTGTCACCCAGGCATTCCTGAATGATCTCTGAATTGGTGTTAGTTTAGGACATGTTTTTGACTGGTCTATGACCAAAGGAGGAAAAACTAACACAATGTAATATAGTTTTTCATAATATTAAATTTATTCTGTTTTTATGTTGTAACTATGACCTTCCTACCTTTGTGGTGGTAAAAATGTCCCTTTTTTAAGGAAAGGATCAGGACAGTAGATTGCAGTAGTTTTTTTGTTTGTTTTTTTGAGATAGAGTCTCAAAAATCACTGTCGCCCAGGCTGGAGTACAGTGGTGTGATCTCAGCTCACTGCAACCTCTGACTTCCAGGTTCAAGCGATTCTCCTGCCTCAGCCTACTGAGTAGCTGGGATTATAGGTGTGTGCTACCATGCCCAGCAAATTTTTGTATTTTTAGTAGAGACGGGGTTTCACCATGTTGGGCAGGCTGGTCTCGAACTCCTGACCTCAAGTGATCCATCCACCTCTGGCTCCCAAAGTGCTGGGATTACAGACATGAACCAATGTGCCTGACCAGATTGCAGTAGTGTTTAAGAAGATTCTCAACCTTGACAGAAATAAAAGTTGGAGATCTTACGTCTGGTCCCAATTGTCCCCCACACATAACAGTTTTTTACTTGTTGGCAAAGTCCAAAAGTCTGGAAGCCATTGACTTAGATGTTTCATTTTTCTCATCAATAAAGTGGGGGAGGGGAAACTTGCAGAATTCTGTGTAGTAATGTTGATATATACATATTATTAATAGTGTCAAGCCTTTAGAGCTTTACAATAGCATCACTATAAAGAGCTTGACTACTTGATTTCAAAGTTTGCTTTAAAAAACCCATACGAAATAGTCTAGCAGAGTGGTCAAAGGGCAAGTTCTGGAGTCAAACTGCCTGGATTTAAATCCCGTGGCGAACACCTGTAATCCCCAGCACTTTGGGAGGCCAAGGTGGGTGGGTTGCTTGAGCTCAAGAGTTCCAGGTCAGCCCGGGCAACATGACAAAACCCCATCTCTACAAAAAATTTAAAAACTAGCTGGGGGTAGTGGCACACACCTGCAGTCCTGGCTACTTCAGAGGCTGAGGCAGGAGGATGGCTTGAGCATGGGAGGTTGAGGTTGCAGTGAACCATAACAGCACCACTGCACTCTAGCCTAGGTAAAAGTGAGACCCTCTCTCAAAAACAAAAACAAAACAAAATAAATCCTGGCTTTGCCATTTGCTAGCTCTGTGATGCTGAGTAAATCACAACCTCCCCAATTTGCATTTTCTCATCAGTAAAATGGGAACGTTAAACTACAAGACCTATTTAATAGGCTATTTTAAGATTTAAATTAGATAATTCATTAAGATGCTTATCACAATGCCCTCTAGGTGCTCTAGAAAGGCTAGTTATCATAAGCATTACTATTAGTAGTTGTAGACTAAGGTGGTCACAAGGTGCCTTCTAAATGCCTGCTTGTTTCTGCATCAACATCTTTTAATGATCAAATTAATATAAGAGGCTATAAGGATAATCATGATTAACATTTATTCAAAATATTTCAAATCAAATCTCAAAGTCAAGAATGAGAATCTGGATGGTATACAAATACAGGCAACATCAAATGTCATCCTAAACAAGTATATACAGAATATATTTTTTATCACTTTTGAAATTTGTACATATTGATCAAAGGAGGTACAATATGCCACCATAAAATCAAAATCGTAACTTTCAAATAAAATAGTTAATTTCTAATAAAAGTTATCTTTTTATAAAGTCAATGTAATTTTTATTTAGTGTGAATTTTGTCCTGTAATATTAATCCTTAGTAAATATAGGTTTTAATGTTATTTGTGTTTTAAAATACGGCTAGTTCACCGGGCATGGTGGCTCACTCCTGTAATCCCAGCACTTTGGGAGGCCGAAGGAGGTGGAGCACTTGAGGTCAGCAGTTCGAGACCAGCCTGAAAAACATGGTGAAACCCTGTCTCTACTCAAAATACACACACACACAAATTAGCCGGGCATGGTGGTGCATGCCTGTAGTCCCAGCTACTCAGAAGGCTGAGGCAGAAGAAGCGCTTGAACGCGGAAGGCAGAAGTTGCAGTGAGTGGAGATCGCAACACTGCACTCCAGCCTGGGCAACAAGAGCAAAACTCCGTCTTAAAGAGAATAAAATATGTCTAGTTTGTCTGAAATTCACCAAAATCAATTAGAGTTTTTAACTTAATATACAGATTATACATACATAGCTGTAAGTTTTTAATTTTACAAAAGAAGTTCCCAAATGGTAAATGGGTTTTTTCCTTTATGAATATTTTGTTTTCATAAATATATTAAAAGACAAAAACATATAAACACCCTCTAAGGGTGTCACCCATAAGCAGTTCTCAGAAATAGCTACTAAGCATAAATATATTATTCTCAAGAGAATATTTCTACAGAAGCATAGCCCAACATTTCCTATTAATGCATGATAAAAGTCATATTAGGAGCTAGGCGCGGTCGCTAACGCCTGTAATCCCAGCACTTTGGAAGGTCAAGGTGGGTAGATCACTTGAGGTCAGGAGTTCGAGACCAGCCTGGCCAATACGGCGAAGCCCCCGTCTCTATTAAAATTACAAAAATTAGCTGCCCTCAGGTGATCCACCCACGTCGGCCTCCCAGAAGTGCTGGAATTACATGCGTGAGCCACCGCGAACGGCCTATATGTATGTTTTTAAAAACAACTGTTTCTCTCATCTAATTTACAGAGTATTTGTAAATTGAAAATCAAAATTATGGGTACAACATCGCAATTAGCTTAACAACATGAGCAATGCTTAAGGAGTATACACGTTTAAGGGAGTGGGGGTGGAGGATGCAGCTATGAAGTTAGACCACTTGAGTTTGAATCTAGGCTTTGTCACGTTAAAACTGTGGTCTTAGGCAAGTTACTTAACCTACCTAAACCTTAGTTTCCTGGTTTGTAAAGTGGAGGCAGTAACAGTATCAACCTCAAAGGGTTATTTTGAGATAATCCGTGTAGAAACTAGCGCTCTGCCTGTCACTAGCAATTAATACATGCTACTATTGTTATCGTTATCAACTGCAACACTAACAGAAATAGCAATGCTATTAACCTCTTTGCTTAGAGGTGATAGCCACAAGCATCAGGAAGGTAAATCCACAGACAGAAGATGATAAAACGTTTTGTAAGAAAGCACGTGTTAATTTGATCACGCTTCTCACCACAAGCAACGTAAATTTTCTAGAATTATCTCTGGAACCAAAAAAGAAAGTCGAAACCTAGGACCACCTAGGTAACACCACATGCAGAGATAGTTATCGCCAGCGTGAAAGAAACACCTGCCAATCCCGGTCCACAGATGGCATTTAATAATAGACGGAATCGGTCCAATCTCAGAACTCTCCAGCCCGCAGCAAGTCTTTTTTTAAAGGGAGGAGCCACACACACAGCCTAACTCCTGCCGTTAACTCGGCCCGACTGAATAAAGGAGATAGGCTTGCCAAAGGGTTTCCAGCCACAGAAGTCCTTTTGTGGAGGGGTGCAGAAAGAGCGAGAAAGAGATGCTGGCGTTTGGAGGCCCAGGGCCTCGCTCCCGGGCGAGAGCGGGGCGCCCAGGCACCAGCCGGCGGAGGAACCTGGAAATCGCGCGCCGGGTAGAGCCGCGGCCGCTGGAACCTGGGTCGCCGCGATGTAGCCGGTCCCTCGCCCTCAGCCCGGACTCCGCAGACCGCTTCCCTTCCCCCAGCCCCCACCGCCAGGCCGGGAACGGCGGGGGCCGCACGCGCGGAGGCCGGAGGCGCGGCAGCGCTGGGCTCTCGGGGCCGGGCCAGGGGAGGCCGGCGCCCGCTCCTCTCCCGGACCCCCGCCCGGGCCCCACCGCGCCGGGCCTTACCAGAGGTCTCGCGCCGCGACAGGTGGTACACCCGGCGGAGAGGCCGCGCCCTGCCGCCCGCCCTGGCGATGCTCAGCTCCCGCGCCGCCCGGCCCTCCCCTTCTGCGAGCCTCCCGGAGCCGCCGTCAGCTCAGGCTCACACTGGCGCGGGCGGCCCCACACGCAGAGGCGGCCCGAAGAGCGGCCGAGAGAGGGGAGGGCGCGAGGAGCCGGCCAGCCGCGGGGCCCGGAAGGCGTGGCCCACGGTGGAGACGGACGGGCTCGCGGGCCAATTGGAGGCAGGAACCGGCCGGAGGGGCGGGCTCCGTCTGGAGGCTTAGCTGCCGGCGCTGGGGTTCCTGTCCTCCGCGCCTTCCTCAACCCAGCTCCTGGAGGTTACGGTTCTGAGGCGGGGCGGGCGGCCTCGTGGACGCGATGCTGAGGATGTGAGAAGTGCAGTGCGGAGGAGGAGGTGGAGCTCCGCCGCTCCATGAAGGAAGCCGGGGCTGGCCGACCGCGCCCCCCAGCACTCCTGGCCCGGGGGTCCCAGTCTCCGAACCCGCGGAGGCCAGGGAAGCTGGGAGTTGGGGTCTGTCCTGCCTGAGCCACAGAGGAAGGGGGAGAACGGGAGGGCAGGAGACGGCAAAGGAAGGAAGAAGAGGACCCAGGAAATGCGAGGCTTCCGCACTTCAGCGACGCTTTCACTTTCCGAGCTGTTTTGTGTGCTTAGGACTTGCTCTTCTGCAGAATTCTTTGCCACTCCTCATGGCTGCTGGCAAGGTTATTGGCCTGCGGTGAATTTACCAATCACCTCCACTGTCACAGTCACCATAAATAGATGCTCAATGTTCTGCCTCAGAAAAGCACCGGAACACTTAATTGTCTTGTCCTTGAAAGCCGCAGGGACCGTGCCTTCCAACATCCCTACCCCCGCCCTCCCAACGGTTGTGACATGGGAGGATATTTCTTCACCCTTATTTCAGAAAATGTTATCACCCAAAACTCTTTACTATAATGAGCTTGTGTACTCTTAAAACAAGGCATGGTAATGACAATTTCAAAAATAAGATGTAAAATATAAAAAAAGAGGCAAGGCAGAATAAAATTAAAAGTGATGGAAATGTAGGATTGAGAAGATGGAGTGGAAGTAGGGAAGAGTGAATTGCTCCCTCCTAAACTCTGACAATTAAATAAAATCTGGGGCAATCGCCCCTCTCTGAACATTGAAGGGTGGGGCCTGTGAGGAGGAAACTCCAGTTAGGTGATAATCCATAGGTGTGGTTGCTATAATAACCACCGCAGGCAAGGAGAGGTTATAAATATGAATGACCTAAAGTAACTCTGCTTGCCAGGAACTTACAAGATGCAGCAGGTTGGATGAAGGAAACTAAACATTACCAGTGTCTTTCTACATAAATGCTTCATTAGTAGAGGTGAAATTCTTTTGTCTTTGAAAGACAGTTGTGGGGGTGTTGGGGGGTAGATGGGGAATGGGGAGATGTTGGTCAAAGGGTAAAAAGTTTCAGGAGTAAGTTTTAGAAATATCGCACAGCATGGTGACTATAGTTCATAATGTATATTTCGCAATGGCTGAAAGAGTAGATTTAAAATATTCTCACCAAAAAGAAATAAGCATGTAAGGTGATGGATATATTAGCCTAATTTGATCATTCCACAATGTATTGAAACATTACATTGTATCCCATTGCATTAAAGTATATACATTTTTTTTCTTTCGAGATGGAGTCTTGCTCTGTCGCCCAGGCTGGAGTGCGGTGGCGTGATCTTGACTCACCGAAACCTCCGCCTTGCAGGTTCAAGCGATTCTTTTGACTTAGCCTCCCAAGTAGCTGGGATTACAGGCACCCGCCACCATGCCTAGCTGATTTTTGTGTTTTTAGTAGAGCCGGGGTTTCTCACCATGTTTCCCAGGCTAGTCTCGAATTTCTGGCCTCAAGTGATCTGCTTGCTTCGGCCTCCCAAAGTGCTGGGATTACAGACATGAGTCACCCGCGCCCGACCATAATTATATACAATTGTTTGTCAATTTAAAGAATTTAAGGACAGTTTGTCCTACATTCGAATAATCCCAGATTGAAAGTTGTAGAGAGCTATCATGGAGGGAACTTATTTTGCTTACATTGAAGTCAATTTATTCCTTATTAAATACCCGCTACTGTCAAGGAGGTAGAAACTGCTGTTTTCTGGTCTGCTCTGACAACAATTTCTTTCCCCTTAGCCACTTACAGTGATTGGTCAAAGGCTTCCTAATGAAAACAGAATTCCATCCTGGCTAACTCAGTGAAACCCCGTCTCTACTAAAAATACAAAAAATTAGCCGGGCTTGGTGGCGGCCGCCTGTAGTCCCAGCTTCTCGGGAGGCTGAGGAAGGAGAATGGTGTGAACCCAGGAGGCGGAGCTTGCAGTGAGCTGAGATCACGCCACTGCACTCCAGCCTGGGCGACAGAGGGAGACTCCATCTCAAAAAAAAAAAGAAAAGAAAAAGAAAACAGAACTAACTTTTTCTGCTACTGTGCACACACAGTCACCACAGAACACAATACTTCACCTTTAGTCACCAAAATGTGTGTGGGTTGCTCTTCACCAACAACCAGTTCTTCAGCTGTGACCTGGTGGGTGTCCTATCATTTAACTCAATTCTGATGCTATCTACCAGGAGATAGTGTCGCATCGCACAGGTTGAGGGCTCAGTCTCACAAGAGTGTCCCCCACTTCAGATGCCAGTCACAAGTCCCAGGTTGCCATTACCCTGTCACTGGGTTATATTAATTTGCTAGGATGGCTCACAAAACTCAAGGAAACACTTTACGTACGTTACAAAGGATGTCATAAAGGACACAGATGAACAGCCAGATGGAAGAGATGCATGGGGCACAGTATGTGGCAAGGGGTGTGGAGCTTCCATGCCCTCTCTTGGCTTACCACCCTCCATATGCCTTCACGTGTTCAGCAATCAGGAAGCTCTTTGAACCCTGTCCTTCTGGAGTTTTATGGAGGCTTCCTTACATAGGTGTGATTGATTACATCATTGACCATTGGAGATCAACTCAACCCTTATCTCCTCTTCCTTCCCAGGAGGTCAGGGGGCAGAGGATGGAGCTAAAAGTTCCAATCCTCTAATCACATGGTTGGTTCCCCTGGCAACCAGCCCCCATCCTGAGGCTATCTAGGAGCCCACCAAGAGTTGCCTCATTAGAACAAAAGATGCCCCTGTCACTCAGGAAATTCCAAGGGATTTAGAAGCTTTTTCTCAGGAACCAGGGCAGAGACCAAATATACATTCCTATTCTATCACAATGTCACAGGCTTCTTTTCCTTTACAATATAGTGACATATGGCTATTGAGTACTTGCAATGTGGCTATTTTAAGTTGAGATATACATTGGATTTGCAGACAGTGCAAAAACATGTAAAGAATGGAAATATCTTAATTTTTAAAATATTGATCACATGTTGAAATAATATTCTGTATATTTTCGGTTCATGCAACATATTATTAAAGTTATTTTTTAAACCTCTTTTACTTTTTAAATGTGGCTACAGAAAATTTAAAATTATATACGTAATTCCTATTTGTGGCTTGCACTCTATTTCAGTTGGATCATGTGGGTCTAAGGTGACCCTGTTAGAAACACATACAAGGAAGCTGACGGCCGGGGCTTCTGGAAAGCCTTTTTTAAAAAAAAGAACAGATTCAACTGGCATGTGTCTTTGGCTGTTTTGCTTCATCTCACTTTTTGCCACAGATGTGTAGTGGCATGGCACCCATCATTGGGCCATAAGATGACAAACAAGAGAATGAAGGCCTGCACTCTAAGGATGTCAGAGGAGTAGAAGAGCCTGGGTTCTTCTCCAGTGCACACACATGCATGCTGGAAAAGTTAATACAGCAACCTAACATGTTCCTTTCATGTAACAGCTGCTGAGTGACATATTACATATATTGGGATCTGAGCAGTGAAAAGGCAGGAAAAAGACACATGTAATTGGAAAACATGAGTAATCATTAGTAGAAACATAGTGTCTAAACCTTCTGAAATTTCCCTCTGCTGGTTTCTACAGGCAAGAATTACACTGGCGGATATAACTCCTGGGTTAAATAAAGTAGTCATTACTCTGCAACTGGTTGTGAATTTTCTGCATGATCATCTTAAGCTTTGAAAAATACTGTGCTTTCTTGCATTTACCTTTTATCCCCTATCTGTCCAGCATTCTTGCTTGAATTGAGCTATTTCATCTTTAAATGATACTATTTTGGGCTGAGTGAGGTGGCTCACTCCTGTAATCCCAGCACTCTAGGAGGCCAAGGTGGGTGGATTGCTTGAGCACAGGAGTTTGAGACCAGCCTGGGCAATATGGTGAAACCTCATCTTTACAAAAAAAAAAAAAAAAAATTAGCCAGGCCTGATGGGGCATGCCTGTAGTCTTAGCTACTTGGGAGGCTGAGGTGGGAGGATCACTTGAGCCCAGGAGGCGGAGGTTGCACTGAGCTGAGGTCGCATCCCTGCACTCCAGCCTAGGTGACAGAGTGAGACCCTGTCTCCAAAAAAAAAAAGCTACTTTGATCCAGTAATAGTTATAGTGAGACACTAAGATGTCTCATCAGTTAAAAGACCAAGGGGAATTATATACATCCATAGGTCTCCAGAAATAATGTAAGTGTGTAGTTATTTTTCAAGTATAGAGTTTTTAAAAATGAATGTTAAGGTCTAATATATAGTAGGTCAGGGCACACAGAATCAAAACAGTACTATGATTATCCTTACTACTATTATTACTAATCTACTACTAGTAGTTTATACTTGACATCCTCAATTTGACCTAATAAGAGTTAATGAGCTATTCTAAAGGAGGAAATATAAATGAAGATATTACGACAGGAACAAGATTTTTGTGCATTTTAACAGTAACTGTTAGAAATGATTTTTAGCTCCCAACAACAGAAAACCCAATTAGAGTTGATTTATACAAATATGGGCTTTTTCACAAAAATGTGAGGGTAGGATTTAAGGCTAAACATGGCTCAATCACTTTCTGGATAATCCTTGAGAGAAGGAAAGAATCTCTTCTAAATGCAGGGTCTCTCCAGTAAATGAAGATAAAACCTGACAATTTTTGACTAGAACTATGGCTGAGCAAGAAATATAACTCCAAGCAGAGTATAAGTTATCCATAAATTAGACACCCCAATTATAGATAATCAGGGAATGATAGAAGGAAGGTTGTTTGGATTCCTATGGGGTGGGAGTGGAAGGCATGGAGGGGATGTTTGAAAATTATCTGGACAAATGCCTCAGTTCTTCAAATTTTTTCTTTTTGCTTTTGTTTTATTTTGTTCATTTACTTATTTACATCGAAGGAAAAAGCACACTTTGGGAGTGTGGAATACTTGAATTCTAGGGCTAGCTCTCACACTGTCTTAATAAGAGGCTGGATGTCTTTTTCTCCGGTTAGGTGGACACAATTAAACTTTCCCTATGTATCTCAAAGGGCATTGAAAAGAGGAATGAGACACAAAATATGCAAGAGTTTTGTGAATATTAAAAGGATACAGATGCAAAGTATTCTCATGCAGGCTGTCTGCCTGGCATATAGATGATGTTTGATAAATAATAATTACCATTCATTGAGTACTTACTATTTGCTAAGCGTTGCTCTAAGGCACCTAGTGTATTTTATTTATTTTTACTTTTTTTTTTCTGAGACAGGGTCTTGCTCTATTGCCCAGGCTGGAGTGCAGTGGTATGATCTTGGCTCACTGCAACCTCTGCCTCCCAGGTTCAAGCAATTCTTCTGCCTCATCCTCCTGAGTAGCTGGGATTACAGGTGTGTGACACCACACCTAGCTAATTATTGTAATTTTAGTAGAGACAGGGTTTTGCCATGTTGGCCAGGCTGGTCTTGAACTCCTGACCTCAGGTGATCCACCCTTGGCCTCCCAAAGTGCTAGGATTGCAGGCATGAGCCACTGTACCCCGCCCACCTCATGTATATATTAAAATTATTTAATTATCCTAACAACGCTATCAAGTAGGTATAATTATTTCTGTTTCTTTCTTTATTTTATTTTAGAGATGGGGTTGGGGTCTTGCCATGTTGCCCAGGCTGGTCTTGAACTCCTGAACTCAACGAATCCTCCCATCTTGGCCTCCCAACGTATTGGGATTACTGGCATGAGCCACCGTGCCACTCCTGTTTTTGTCGTTGTTGTTGTTCAAGATAGGGTATTGCTCTGTCACCCACGCTGGAGTGCAGTGCCAATTGTAGCTCATTGCAGCCTTGATCTCCCAGGGTCAAGCAATCCTCCTGCCTCAGCCTCCCAAGTAGCTGGGACTACTGGCATGTACCACCACAACCAGCTAATGTTTTTTATTTTTAGTAGAGACAAGGTCTTGCTATGTTGTTCAGGCTGCTCCTGAACTCTTGATCTCAAGCTATTCTCCCACCTTGACCTCCCAGAGTGCTGAGATTACAGGCATGAGCCACTGTGCCCAGCTGGTAGGTATAATTATTATCCCCATTTTACATATGGGAAAACTGAGGACTTAGAGGTTGATTCATCCAAGGGTACCACTAATAAGTGGAAAGAGGATACAAACTACACTGTACAGACTGAATATTTTAAAATATGTTTATGTACAGTTCAGTGTCTTGGAAAGATTTGAAAGTAAGCTTGGAGCATTATGTCACCCCACTCCCCAACCTGGGAAAGACTTCCCCGCTGTAAGCTGTCAATTAAAAACTGCTTCGTAATTCAAGGACAAATTCTAATCTCAGCTCTTCAGTGAACACTGGTGTAATAGTATGTAAACGCACACTGGAATCACCAGGGAGCTTTAAACAAATTGATGCCTACCTTATACCAATAAAACAAGAATGTTCCGATATGGGTCTCCAACACCCATGTTTCTTAATAGTTCTCATGTATTTCTGTTTTGTATACTTTTATACAACATATTAGAAACTCCATGAGAGTAGAGATTTATAAAAAGTATTTCTTCCTGTATTCCTAAGTCCTCACATATGATTGATACTTGATTAAAGGATAAAACTGTTTTATTGTGCAAATCACTCAGTGTTGACATCTAACGCGGGAGTTCTCACAGTGTGGTCCCAGGCCATCATCATCATCATCATTGAACTTGTTAGAAATGCAAATTCTCAGGCCCCACCCCACAGCCACTGAATCAGAAACTCCAGAGTTGGGGCCCAAGTGTCTTCGTTATAACAAGCTCTCCAAGTGATCTGGACACACACTCAAGCTTAAGAACCACTGTTTGATGTTGTACATTCATCAAGCATTCCTCAGGGCATAATTCATTTTCCTGTATTAAATTTCCTGCTGAGAAAAGGTAATTGGGAAATAGAAATGAAAAAGACCCAACATTTACTTCATCATCAGGGAGTCTATATTACAATATGGAAACAAAGTATTTACTCATGTAAGTATTTAAACAGGCAGTAAGTTATTAAATATTTACAGGTGAAGTGATACAATCATTATATTTCTAATGAGATTGTTGAGGTTGGATGAGGTTTTGTTGTTGTTGTTGTTTGCTTTTGTTTTTTGGTTTTTTTGAGACGGAGTTTCACTCTTGTCACTGAGGCTGGAGTGCAGCGGCGCAATCTTGGTTCACTGTAACCACTGCCTCCCAGGTTCAAGCAATTCTCCTGCCTCAGCCTCCCGAGTAGCTGGGATTACAGGTGGGCACCACCACACCAGCTAATTTTTGTATTTTTAGTAGAGACGGGGTTTCACCATGTTGCCCAGGCTGGTCTTGAACTCCTGATCTCAGGTGATCCGCCCACGTTGGCCTCCCAAGTGTTGGGATTACAGGCGTGAGCCACGGCACCTGGCTCCAGATGAGGTCTTTATGGGGTTCATTATACTACATTTTCTACTTTTGGGTTTAACCAAGCATTTCATTATAAAAGTTTTTTTTTTTTTTTTAATCACCATGTGAAGAATAAGCTCAAAGTGCTATAGTAGTTCAAAAGAAGTAGTCACTTCTTAAATTTGGATTACCTCAGAAAGCTTTGTGAAGACCATGGACATCAGAATGAGCCTTGCCTCAAGCAGAAAAGTCCCTTAAATAATATATTATCAGCTTGGTGCGGTGGCTCACACCTGTAATCCCAGGACTTTGGCAGGCCCAGCGGGGTGGATCACTTGAGGTCAGGAGTTCGAGACCAGCCTGGCCAATATGGTGACACCCCTTCTCTACTAAAAATACAAAAATTAGCTGGGCATGGTGGTGCATGCCTATAATCCCAGCTACTCAGGTGGCTGAGGCAGGAGAATCTCTTGAACCCGGGAAGCGGAGGTTGCAATGAGCCAAGATCATGCCACTGTACTTCAGCCTGGGTGACAGAGCAAAACACCATTTCAAAGTAAATAAATAAATACATAAATACAAATATTATCTACTACAGATCCACAAACTATTATCTATAATTCCAAAATCCAAAAAGTTTTTTTTTAAATTTTGTCATTTTGGTAGTTCCAGAATTTATTTGGTGACAAATAAGAATTTGTCACAAGACTGTCTATAGTCTGTATTTCCCCAACATAGTGTAAATATTTATTTATTTATTTATCTTCAAAAATGTGAATGTGTTAATAGGCACTGCTCTGGATCCCACAGTGGGTATTATGTAACATACAGTGTATGCTCCAAAAGTGTCTAAATTCTGAAGCCCAGCTGGCTCAAAGGGCATCATTCATTTGTGTGATCAAAAAGTGAAGCTCTTCTTGTGGTAAAAGAAATTAGGGAAAGGCTTTGTGTAGTTCTCAATTTCAATTTTCCAATTTCTTAATTAAATACTGCTTATTATAATGCCTGAAACCTAAGCTTATTGTGAATGAGAAACAATTATGACATTTTATTTGCTGTTGTGCACACAGAAATGACTCATTTGAGTTTTAAGAACTTAAACTTGGCTGGGCACAGTGACTCACACCTGTAATCCCAGCACTTTGGAGGACGAGGCGGGCAGACTACTTAAGCTCAGGAATTCAAGACAAGCCTGGGCAACATGGCAAAACCCTGTCTCTACTAAAAATAGAAAAATTAGCCAGGCGGAGTGGCACGCGCCTGTAGTCCCAACTACTCGGGAGGCTAAGGTGGGAGGATCGTTGGAGCCTGGGATGCAGAGGTTGCAGTGAGCTGAGATCACAGCATGCCACTGCATTCCAGCCTGGGCCATAGAGCGAGACCCTGACTTAAAAAAAAAAAAGAACTTAGTCTTTAAGGAAATATTTGTGATGACAGAAGTCACTAAAGTGGTTACCGTTAAGATAGGTTGGCTGGAAAGAGACATAAAGGAAATTTCTGGAGGCTGAAAACATTTTATCTTTCAGTCTGGGCAATGGCTACATAGATGTGTACATATATAAAAATTCATCATGTTTGAAATTTATGTACTTTATATACCTCACTGCATAAATTTTATATCCACCTCAATAAATATATAAAATAAGCCATTTGCATTGTGCATTGCTGTTTCTTTGGGAGTAAAGATTCACTGCAACTCTGTTGTGAATTCAATATCTTCCTAATGGGCTTCCTCCTTGGTGTCTGATATTAAACTCTCTGAGAAAAAGGCAAGAGCCATCCTTGGCACATTCTTGATTGCCCAGAATAAAGCTCACCAGGCCTTGTCAGTGTGGTCAAATGGCCTTGCAGACAATACAAACAATGCTGGGCCCAGAAAGAAGACACAAGCTCTTCTTGGAAGAAAGATGGATTATGACACAGAGGATCAGGTAAAACAACGTGTCAAGGCCCAAATGAACATGAAACCAGAGGAGGAAATAGGTGTTCGGTTTGATTACGGAACAAACAGAGGAAGGCAGAGATGTGGATTAGTTGTGTGAATTCTCTACTGGTGGAAATTGAGGCTGCTATTTTGGGCTTTGTTTTCAGTTCAGCCTATTCACCTGTGAATGGGGAGGAGCCTTAAAGTGGCAGTCTGCGGGCACACACCTGGCCATGTGACTTCCCTGTAAAACCCTTCCATTGGCTAAGTGTAAAGCTGTATATGTGCCAGTTATCTCAAGATGGGCATATATTCATCAGCTTTTCTTAAAATTAAAGGAAGATGCCTGGAAAAACTTTTGTATCAGGTATCAGTTGCCATGAGAATGGAGCAGCCTTATCTCATCCCAGCACCATGATTCATTTTTATAAATTTATTATTATTATTATTATTATTATTGCAGGGGGGTCTTGTTCTGTTACCCAGGATGGAGTGCAGTGTCCCAATCATGGCTCACTGGAGCCTCGAACCCCTGGGCTGAAGCGATCCTCCCATCTCAGCCTCCTGAGTAGCCAGGACTCAGGTGCACACCACCATGCCTGGCTAATTTTTTTTTTTTTTTTTTTGTAGAGATGGGGTTTTGCCATGTTGCCCAGGCTGGTCTCTTACTCCTGAGCTCAAGGAATCTGCCCTCCTCGGCCTCCCAAAGTGCTGGGATTACAGGCATGAGTCACCCTCCCTGGCCAAAATCCATATTATTGAGATTTCAGAGACTTACAGAAGGTTATTATCTTTGTAATGAGAGTAGTATATGAGTAAGATTGTCGGTTTTATGTTGACACACTACCTACTGCAAAAGCAGATAGATTGTGCTACTCATATCTTTAGATTTGTATAACTCCATCTGCTTTAGAAGATATTAATAATGAATACTGACGGCAGCACTGAGAATTATTCTCTAATAAATTAGGATCATTAAAAATGCAAACTCTAAAAATACAAGAGTAAATAAACAGTAAAGGCATTTTTTTTTTTTTTTTTGCTAGACATACTGCAAAAACAAACCTCTTGTCAGCCTGGTCTGAAAGTGAGGCATAAAAGCATTTGGTGTAGGTAAGTATGATCATTAAGAAAAAATCATGTTTTCCCCAAATACAGTGAAGTGCTAACGGTGGTAATTACCTCCAGAAAAGTACTAACAATTCTTTATATAATTAAAATAAATACAACTTTCGAGTTGTCTAAAGAGTAAACTAGTGCCATAATAAGCAGTGTCTTCATTATCAAAATATTTTAAGATAAGTTCTAGAAAGTTTTGTGAAGAGTAAAGAAGTTAAAATGACAGGCTTATTAACAATAGAAGAACCTTTATTCCTTAAGGAATAATAGCATGTTAATATTTATGGATAATATTGCACTACATTTGATTTTCTCTTCGGGCTTTAGGTAACCTGGAGGGAGTAAAGCAAAAATTGACTAGCATCATGGCATGGTGGAAATACCCTCTTCTTTTATGAAAAGTAATTCAGTCTTGCTGAAGCCCCACCCCTAAAATCTTCCTGAGTTGTAGGCTGCTTATTATTACCTATTCTAAATCCTTCTAAATCCAGGAGTAGTCCTGGCTCCATCACTACCTAGAAGTCCTTATCTGAGGACTCCAGAAACAGCAATTCTGGCATCACTAGGCAGCTTGTCAGAAAAAGCCACTCCAGGGCTGGGCGCGGTGGCTCACGCCTGTAATTCCAGTACTTTGGAAGGCCGAGACGGGCGGATCACGAGGTCAGGAGATCGAGACCATCCTGGCTAACACGGTGAAACCCTGTCTCTACTAAAAAAAAATAAAAAATAAAAAATAAAAACATTTCTGGGCATGGCGGCGGAGGCCTGCAGTCCCAGCTACTCGGGAGGCTGAGGCAGGAGAATCGCTTGAATTCGGGAGGCGGAAGTTGCGGTGAGCCGAGATTGCGCCACTGCACTCCAGCCTGGGCGGCAGAGCCAGACTCCGTCTCAAAAAAAAAAAAAAAGAAAAGAAAAAAGAAAAAGCCACTCCAGGCTCACTGCATCAGGATTTGCACTGCAACAGCATGCCCAGGGCACAGTCATGTTTGAGAAATACGGAGGACCCTCTGAAGTGCTTGATTCTGTGAACTCACACTGCTGTAAGCAGACTTGTTTCTAGATAGGGGATAATGAGAAGCCCATGGTATGCTCTTTAAACTTCCAAAAGGTCCTGTGCCAAGACAAATGCACAGTTGTTCTTTTTCTTCCTACACTGAGAATATGCTATGCTTAAACCATGAGCATTACAATTTTACTGTTCCTTCCCTAGATGTGTAATAATGAACTAAGCACCAAATAGGATAGATACAGTTTTTGGTTGATGTCTGGGGAAAAAAAATCCCAAGAATATTTACCTTGATCACCCAAATAGTATTCCTGGTATCTTGAAGTTAATTCTACATAAATGTCTTTAATAGGCCCTGCAGGCTTCAAAGCTCTTAGACTATGTGGGTTTGAAAAGCTACCTCTGAGATTCTATCTCTTGGGGGCAGTACAGGGACATTTTTCTGTAAAGTGTTCATAATTTCTCTGGCCAAGAGAGCAGTTACAACAGGTACAGTCATTTAAGGACACCAAAATGGATAAATTGTGTTTGATTATCCAGTATCTTTTCCTGCTAAGCAACAAATGGTAAGTTATTTTGTGCATGGGATATCAGAATCCTAAAAACAGCTTTGACATTGTACATTGAATCTTTCAAATATTTTACATGAACAAGATGTGGTCGAAACACAAAAGAAACCTCCTAGGTGTGCCTTTCCTGCCAATAGGTTTTTCTTTTTGAGACAAGGTTTCACTCAGTCACCCAAGCTGGAGTGCAGCGGCGCAATCTTGGCTCACTGCAACCTCCAGCTCCTGGGTTCAAGAATTCTTCTGCCTCATCCTCCCGAGTTGCTGGGATTACAGGCATGTGCCACCATGCCCAGCTAATTTTTTGTATTTTTATTAAAGATGGTGTCTCACCATGTTGCCCAGGCTGGCCTGGAACTCCTGGGCTCAAATGATCCGCCCACTTCAGCCTCCCAATGTGTTGGGATTACAGGTGTGAGCCACCATGCCTGGCCCCAGTAGTTTTTTACTTTAAACTTACTAGGCTTCTGATGTGCTTTCTGAATTGAATTGCCTCCCACAGCAAGCTGTGCTCCTGCGCTGAAGATCCTTCCAAATGTTCTTCTCATGGCCGTTAGTTACCTTAGGAATGTCTATGGGACTCCAAGACCTCTTTAGAGGTTTGACTCAATTCCAGTGTTTCACCTTGGGACTTGGCCATTTTGGGGTCTGCACCAGCCCCAGAAATTAACTGGGAGCGTTCCTGATTAACAGGCATCCAAAGGAAAGTAGTATGTCTTTCCTTCCTTGCACTTGAACCACATGTTCTGCTTAAAGCATGAGCAGTATAATTGTATTGCACTATTCACTAGATGTGTAGCAATGAACAAGGCAAGAGGTAGAAGGTTTCACTAAATAGGATAGAGGCAAAATCTCTGGCTGATATCTGGAAAAAAAATCCCAGAACAGGAATTGTACTTAGATTGTAAAACCAAAATTGTAAATAAGATTGTACAGGATATAGACTAAATGATTATTCCTAAATAACACTACTTTGCAAAAAGGATAATCTAGATTCCAACTTACTAAGGCCACCAAATGGTGCAAATAGAATTTCTTGTTCATATCTTTGTGCCTGCAACTAAAAGATGATAGCCTAAAAACTTTATTCATAAAGTACTAGATCAAGGTTTCCTAAACTTTTTGGTGTGCTGGACACATCAGCGGTCTGATGAAGCCTACAGACTCCTCAGAATGTTTTATTAAATGCATAAAACAAAATACATAGAATAACCACAGAATCCAATTATACTGAAATAAAGTTACCAGAATAATTTTTTAACCTCCAAATTTCTGGTATAATAATATATATGCTACTTTTTAATGCATTAAATAACAGTGGCTCTAATAACTAGTAATAATGATATTTCAAAGTATTAGGTTGGTGCAAAAATAATTGTGATTTTTGCTATTACTTTCAATGGCAAAAACCTCAATAACATTTGCACCAACCTAATATCTGCAACTACTGTAAAGTGACATAAAAAAATCTGTAATTTCTGCTGGGCACGGTGGCTCACGCTTGTAATCCAAGTACTTCGGGAGGCCGAGGTGGATAGATCACCTGAGGTCGGGGGTTCGAGACCAGTCTGACCAACATGGAGAAACCACGTCTCTACTAAAAAAATACAAAATTAGCCGGGTGTGGTGCCACATGCCTGTAATCCCAGCTACTCGGGAGGCTGAGGCAGGAGAATCGCTTGAACCCGGGAGGCAGAGGTTGTGGTGAGCCGAGATCACGCCATTGCACTCCAGCCTGGGCAACAAGAGCGAAACTCCGTCTCAAAAAAAAAAAGAAAAAAAAAATCTGTAGTTTTTGTTAATTCTAGCAGTTTGTTCCCTACATTGATAATTGAAGAAAATGTTAAATTCCAGTTAGAAATTAGTGTAAATAAATACAGATGCTCGTCAACCTCTGATGGGGCTATAACCTGATAAACCCATCATAAAAATATTGTTAAGTTGATAATACATTTAATTCACCTAACCTACTGAACATTATAGCTTAACTTCACTTACCTTCAGTTTGCTCAGAACACTTACATTAGCCTATATTTGGGCAAAATCACCTAGCACAAAATCTTTTTTATTTTATTTTATTTTATTTTATTTTTGAGACAAAGTCTGGCTCTGTCACCCAGGCTGGAGTACAATGGCGTGATCTCAGCTCACTGCAATCTCCACCTCCCGGGTTCAAGCAATTCTCCCGCCTCAGTGTCCCGAGTAGCTGGGATTACAGGTGTGTACCACTATGCCCGGCTACTTTTTGTATTTTTAGTGGAGACCGGGTTTCACCATGTTGGCCAGGCTGGTCTCAAACTCCTGACCTCAAGTGATCAACCTGCCTAGGCCTCCCAAAGTGCTGGGATTACAGACGTGAGCCACTGTGCCTGTCCACAAAGCCTATTTTATAATAATGTGTTGACTTTCTCATGCAATTTATTGAATACTGTACTGAAGTGAAAAATAGAATGGTTGTATGGATACTTGAAGAATGTTTTCTGCTGAATATGTATAACTATCCCACTATCATAAAGTTAAAAAATCTAAAGTCTCGGACTGTTTGTATATTTTTCCCAGTCCAAGTTCACATACCACCTATGCTTAAGAACTCTTGTACCAGGCTATCAGTTTTTATCTAAGTTCAACTAGGAACCCTGTTTTATCTGTCAGCAATTTATGAGTTCAACTTGTGATCATGGAAAACAATTTCCTGTAGCAATTTCTTTTGTCAGATCCCCAATTTCAAGGTGAAGTGGGGACATTCTCCGTCAACAGGTGTTTTGTGACTTTCAGTAAACTCCACTCTTTCCATTTATTGAGCTTTGCCAGGGACAATGTTACATTCCCTGGGCTTTCCAGTTACTGGGTGAATCCACACTATGACACAAACGCAGGTTTAACTGATTAACATTGCAGAGGTTGCTTTCAAGTTGAAAACTGGCCAAATTTCCCAGCCTCCAAGGTTTACAATTTAGGGAACTTGTCTTAGCTATCTTCTGTTCCACGTGAAGAGGAATTTGTTTATGTCTCTCCTTGTGCCAGGGGCACATATTGTTAGGTCAAGAAAGTAATTTATTTCTGACATACTGACTTTCAGAATAATTGCTGTAGAATATGTTTTTGGAAGCCTCCCACAGAGAATTTTTTAAAAAGCAGTTTACAACTTTATTTTTGGTACAGAAATATATTTTAGCTTCTTTTGTGAAGAAAAATGACATATATGTGTGTATATATATACACATACACATATATATACATATATACACATATATATACATATGTATGCACATATATATACACATATATATACATATGTATGCATATATATATATATATATATATTTTTTTTTTTTTTTTGAGACAGAGTCTCACTCTCTCACCCAGGCTGGAGTGCAGTGGCATGATCTGGGTTCACTGCAACCTCCACCTCCCAGGTTCAAGCAATTCTCCTGCCTCAGCTTCCTGAGTAGCTGGGACTACAGGCATGCACCACCAAGCCCAGCTAATTTTTGTATTTTTAGTAGAGATGGGGTTTCACCATGTTGGTCAGGGTGGTCTGTGGTCTTGAACTCCTGACCTCAGGTGATCCGCCCGCCTTGGCCTCCCAAAGTGCTGGGATTACAGGCGTGAGCCACTGTGCCTGGCCCTTGTTTATATTTTATTTACATTCTCTGAATAGGCATTAGTGGGCAATAGTCATCTTCATGTAAGGTTGGGAAAGGAATAAGATTTCATTTTATGCCAGCTGTGAAAATATTTTTTTTTCTTTTTTTGAGACAGAGTCTCGCCCTGTCGCTCAGGCTGGAGTGAAGCGGCATGATCTTGGCTCAGTGTAACCTGTGCCGCCCAGGTTCAAGCAATTCTCATGCCTTAGCCTCCTGAGTAGCTGGGATTACAAGCACGAACCACCACGTTGGCTGATTTTTTTGTATTTTTAGTAGAGATGGGGTTTCACCATGTTGGCCAGGCTGGTCTGGGACTCCTGACCTCAGGTGATCTGTCAGCCTCGGCCTCCCAAAGTACTGGGATTATAGGCGTGAGGCACCGCACCTGGCCTCAGTTGTGAAAATAATATTCAAAAGGCATTATGCCAACAGTGAGGAAAGGGAAATGGAACTGTTGTCGGGTCACAAACCCTGTGACTCTCAGCCCATTTTGTACTTATTGGGGCAGAAAGGAGAAGAAAATAGGAGAAATAACATTCTGGGGCTCACTGTACTCCATCCAAATGGGGGAACTTAACTCACCTCCTTATGCCAAGCCATTTCCACAAGCAGCCTGCAGACTCCTGTGAAAGCAGTCGCATCTACAGCTCAGGGAAGCTGGTTTCTATCCCCACAACTTTTTCAAAACTGCAAAAGTTCCTCTTTTTTGGTGACATTCAAACCTTTTCTCAGTCCTCAACTTCCTGATTCTTTCAGCCAAATTTGCCCCAGCTGATCTTCCCTTCCTTCTGGAAACACTTTTTTTTTTTTTTTTTTTTTGAGGTGGGGTCTTGCTCTGTTGCCCAGGCTGGAGTGCAGTGGCTCCATCTTGGCTCACTGCAACCTCCACCCTCTCCGGGTTCAAGCGACTGTCCTGCCTCAGCCTCTCGAATAGCTGGGATTACAGGTGCCTGTCACCATGCCTAGCTAATTTTTGTATTTTTAGTAGAGATGGGGTTTCACCATGTTGGCCGGGCTGGTCTCGAACTCCTGAACTCAGGTGATCTGCCTGCTTCAGCCTCCCAAAGTGCTGGGATTACAGGCATGAGCCACTGCACCTGGCCTGGAAACACCTTTTTTGGTTCCCCTGGCCCGGGACTCTTCTGGATCTCTTGCCTCATCTTTGCCATTTCCTCTCCCTTGTTTTCATAATTAGGGGTGATCCCCAAGGTTCAATTCTAAACTTACCTCTACTGAGAGGACTCTCACATCTGGGTGCCCCACTGTGAGTTTTTACTTTTGATCCAGTCCTTTTCCCCCAGTTGGCACCATTCTGTCAGCAAACACCTTTGGAGTGCCTACTTGGTTTCAAACAAATATACGATTGTCCCTGACATGACAGAGCTCTCAGGAGGTGGCAGAGAGGTGAAGAGAGGTGGGAGACAGATACATCTACAGTTAATTATAATGTCAGTGCAATAAGAGAAGTGTTACAGGCTGGGCATGGTGGCTCAAGCCTGTAATCCCAACACTTTGGGAGACTGAGGTGGGTGGATCACCTGAGGTCAGGAGTTCAAGACCAGACTGACCAACATAATGAAATCCTGCCTCTACTAAAAATACAAAATTAGCTGGGCATGATGGCACATGCCCGTAATCCAGCTACTCAGGGGGCTGAGGCAGGAGAATTGCTTGAACCTGAGAAGCAGAGGTTGCAGTGAGCCGAGACTGCACCATTGCACTACAGCCTGGGCAGCATGAGTGAAACACTTGTCTCAAAAGAAAAAAAAAAAAGTATTACAGTGTATAATGGGGGCACAAAGAAGAGACACCCACCTAACCCATTTGGGATGGGGGTGGAGAAATCCATTAATTTTTTTTTTTTTTTTGAGACAGGGTCTTGTTCTGTCCCCCAGGCTGGAGTGCAGTGGTGCAACCAGGGCTCACTGCTGCCTCCACCTCCTGGGCTCAAGCGATCCTCCCACCTTAGCCTCCTGAACAGCTGGGACTACAAGTGCATGCCACCATGCCCAGCTAATTTTTGTATTTTTGGGAGAGACACTGTTTCACCATGTTGCTCAGGCTGGTCTTGAACTCCTGAGCTCAACCAATCCTCCTGCCTCGGCCTCCCAAAATGCTGGGTTTACAGGCATGAACCACCGTGCCCAGACATAATTGCAGAACCGAGGAGTGGAGGTGGGTTGAGCAGGAAAGATGACAAGTCCTGTTTGTAGCCTGTTTAATTTGAAGGCCATCAGGGAGGACATTCCCAGCAGGCAACTGGTGAAGAAATGTTTCTAAAGCTCAGAAGAAAGGTCTGCATTGGACAAATGGACTTGGATGTCACTGGCATATAGGTAGGGTTGGAAGCATGAGAGTTTACTCCTGGAAAACTGAGACCGCTCCTAGAAAGTGAATGTAGTGAGAAGAATGGTGAACCCAGGACAGAGACCCAGGCTCATCATCTGTGTATTGTCTCTTGGCTTCAAATCTGTCCTTCTGGACTCTGTTCTTTGAGGCTATGGTTGAGGTTTGCAAACTTTTCTTTCCAGTCTCCCCCTATTTCTGGATGTGTCTGTGAGGGTGTTTCAGGAAGACATTAGTATTTGAATCAGTAGGCTCAGTAAAGATTTGCTCTCACCAGTGTGAAAAGGCATCATCCAATCTGTTGAGGGCCCAAATAGAACATAAAGACAGAGGAAAGGAGACTTTACTCTCTGCTTGAGCTGGGACATCTAGCTTCTCCTGCCCTTGGATGTCCATCTT
Organism: Homo sapiens; assembly: GCF_000001405.40. Lineage (NCBI taxonomy): Eukaryota > Metazoa > Chordata > Mammalia > Primates > Hominidae > Homo > Homo sapiens. The sequence continues at coordinate 50,860,466 of NC_000018.10, read as the reverse complement.
CTGCTCTTGGATATCAGAGATCCTGAGTCTTGGGTCCTTGGACTCTGTGACTTACACCAACCCTGGCACTCCCCCTCACCCTTTCCCAGCCTCCCATTCACAGGCCTTTGGCCTCAGATGGAATTATACCATGGGGTTTCCTTGCTCTCCAGCTTGCAGATGACACATTGTGGGACTTCTCTGCCTCCACAATTGTGTGAGCCAACAAATTCTCTCTCTCTCTCTCCTATCTATTTATCTGTCTGTCTGCCTGTCTGCTTGCCTCTCTGCCTGCCTGCCTTTCTTTCTTTCCTTTCTTTCTCTCTCTTTCTTTCTTTTTTTCTATTTTTCTCTCTCTTTCTCCTCTTGGTTCTGTTTCTCTGGAAAACCCTGTCTCTAATTCTCTAATTCAAGGGTCAAAGCCCAGCTGTGCAGTAAGGGAGACAGGTCTCTGAGAGCCTCTAGAGGTGGGGGTAAACCTCACCTCTTTGTTTTTCAGCCCTAGGACTGGGGGTGGCTTCCTGCAGTTATTGATCTGGGCTATCTCAGCACTCCCCTGTGTATTCTTTCAGCTTTCCAATGGCTATTTCATCAATTTCCTGTATTGAACACCCTCTTTTTATAGGGAAACATCTGTTTTTCTGATTGGACTCTGATTCAGACCCCTAGGGCAGGCAGAGGGAAAACCTGCAGAGGAGGAGATGGAAGGGTAAGAAGGGTGCCAAGAGAACTGGAGGTAAGAATAAGGACTGTGTCTTATGGAGACAATGTAGCAGGGAGCTTCAGGAAGGAAGCAATGATGGCCTTTTTCAAAAATTATTATTATTATTATTATTATTATTATTATTTTTGAGACAGTCTTTCTCTGCCGCCCAGGCTGGAGTGCAATGGCGCAATCTTGGCTCACTGCAACCTCTGCCTCCTGGCTTCAAGCGATTCTCCTGCCTTAACCTCCCGAGTAGCTGGGATTACAGGCACACACCACTATACCCGCCTAATTTTTTTTTTGTATTTTTAGTAGAGACAGGGTTTCACTGGTTGGCCAGGCTGGTCTTGAACTCCTAACCTTGTGATCCGTCCGCCTCCGCTTCCCAAAGTGCTGGGATTACAGGCGTGAGCCACCATGCCTGGCCTAATGATGGCCTTTAAAACATGGAGCAGCCAGGTGCGGTGGCTCATGCCTATAATTCCAGCACTTTGGGAGGCTGAGGTGGGTGGATCACCTGAGTTTGGGAGTTCCAGACCAGCCTGATCAACATGGAGAAACCCCCATCTCTACTAAAAATACAAAATTAGTCAGGTGTGATGGTGCATGCCTGTAATCCCAGCCACTCAGGAGGCTGAGGCAGGAGGATCGCTTGAATCTGGGAGGTAGAGGTTGCAGTGATCTGAGATCGTGCCATTGCACTCCAGCCTGGGTGACAAGAGTGAAACTCCATCTCAAAAACAAAAAACAAAACAAAACAAAAAAACAAGGAGCAGATCATACGATCCAGCAATACCTCTTCTGGGTATATGTCCACAAGAATTGAAAGCCGGATCTAGAAGAAATATTTGTATGGCCATGTTCATAGCATTATTCACAGTAGCCAACAGGTGTATGCAACCCAAATGTCCATCAGTAGATGAATGAATGAACAAAATATTGTTCATCCATACAATGGCATATTATTCAGCCTTAAAAAGGAAGGACATTAGGCCAGGTGCAGTGGCTCATGCCTGTAATCCCAGCATTTTGGGAGGCCGAGGCAGGTGGATCACCTGAGGTTGGGGGTTCAAGACCAGCCTAACCAACATGGAGAAACTCCGTCTCTACTAAAAATACAAAATTAGCCCAGCGTGGTGGCGCATGCTTGTAATCCAGCTACTTGGGAGGCTGAGGCAGGAGAATCGCTTGAACCTGGAAGGTGGAGGTTGCAGTGAGCTGAGATCGCGCCATTGCACTCCAGCCTGGGCAACAAGAGTGAAACTCCATCTCAAAAAAAAAAAAAAAAAAAAAAGAAGGAAATTATAACACATCCCACGACGTGGGTGAACCTTGAAGACATTATGCTAAGTGAAATAAGCCAGACACAAACAGACAAACACTGTATGATTCTACTGGTATGAGGTATCTAGGATAGTCAAATCCATAGAGATAGAAAGTAGAATGGTGGTTGCCAGGGGCTGGAAGAGAGGGGAGAGTGGGTACTTGTTGTTTAATGGGTTTGCACAACAATGTGAATATATGTAACACTACTGAACTGTACACGTAAATATTGTTCAGACAGTAAATTTTATGTTATGTGTATTTGACCAGAATTTAAAATAAAAATTTTTAAAAAAGGAGCAGAGGGGCCCAGGAAGATAAAAAGAAGATGTGTCAATTAGGAGGGCATTTAAGATCTTAGGGGTATAGTTTCCAGAGCTAATGGAAGTGAGAGTCAGACTGCAGGTTGAGAAGCAGGTGTGAGGTGAGGAAGTCAAGGCTTTCTGTCCTTTGAGAAGTTTGGAGAAGCAGGGATGGAGAAGTTGCGAGGTGTAGGAGGAGAGGTTGGAGCATGTTAGAAGCTGACAGAAAGGAGGCAGCAGAGGAAGAGAGATGACACCCAGTGGTGTGAAGGAGCAGAATCCTGGGAGGCCCAGGAGGGCAGGTCCTGGCCTTGGGCAGAAGGGACAGTGGCTTCTCTGTTGAGGGGAGGGAAAGCAGTGGCAAGGCTGTGGACGTTGCTACATTTATAGGTAGGAGGATGATGGAGAGAGAAGGTGTGATGCGCTCAGGCTTTTTCTATGAAATAGGAGGCAATGAGGGAGAGACTCTGGGCAGGGAAAGAATTGAGGGGTGCTCAGGGCCCAGCTGAAGTTGGAGATTGTGAGTGTTCTCTGCAAGACTGAGAAAGTTTCCTCTGGCAACTGAGTAAAGGTGAAGACAGGTTGTAACATCCAGCCAGGATTGGGGTATTGTCTGAGAGATGTTACAGAGTTACATCTATACTTTTCCATTGGGGTACTGGGAAATCAAAGGCAAAAGCAGGCTTTGGATAATGAGCTAAGGCATCTGGGGTTATTTGGAGAGATGGAGACGTCTGGAGGAACTAATAAAAAAAAGACTGGGGCCAGGCATGGTGACTCACGCCTGTAATCCCAGCACTTTGGGAGGCCAAGGCGGGTGAATCACAAGGTCAGAAGTTTGAGACCAGTCTGGCCAACATGGTGAAACCCCATCCCATACAAAAAATTAGCTGGGCATAGTGGCAGACACCTGTAATCCCAGCTACTCGAGAGGCTGAGGCAGGAGAATTGCTTGAACTTGGGAGGCAGAGGTTACAGTGAGCCAAGATCGCCCCACTGCACTCCAGCCTGGGTGACAGAGTGAGACCCTGTCTCAAAAAAAAAAAAAAAAAAAAGACTGGGAGACCAGTACTCTTTGGGAGGCTAAGGCAGGAGGCTTGCTTGAGCCCAGGAGTTCAAATCCAGCCTGGGCAACACAGTGAGCCCCTATCTTTACAAAAAATGAATAAAAGTAAAATTAGCCAGGATTGGTGTTGTGCACCTGTAGTCCTAGCTACTCAGGAAGCTGAGGCAGGAAGATTGCTTGAGCCCAGGAACTTGAGGTTACGGTGAGCTGTGATCATACCACTGTACTCCGGTCTGGGTGACAGAGTGAGAGCCTGTCTCAAAAACAAAAACAAAACAAAACAAAAAAGACTGGGAGAAAATAAAAATATCAAGGGATTGATGTTTCTAAAAAGTCAAAGGCATTTCGGTGTTTGCAATAGGAATGAGAGAGCTGGAGGCCTGGAAAGTTGGAGAGTTGTAGACAGAAAGCGAGGTTTTAAGTGGAACAGTTGCCTGAGATGGCTGAGATACAATGTGATCCAGAGGGAGTCAAGCAGTGGAGGTCACTGGTTTTTATGTGAGTCAGGATGGAAAGCAAGACGTGAGCCAGGTCACTATGGAACATCTGCAATTAGATATCCTACCACAGCTCAGATCCAAATCAAAGCCAGTGTATTTCCCCTCTACGGGCCACTCCTCCCAGCAGTGCCATTTCTTTAAATGCCACTTCTCTAGATCCATAATGTCATGAAGAGAATACGGGACTTGGAATCAGGATGCCTGGATTCAAATTCTGCTCTACCACTTACTAGCTATGGACCACAGCAACTCTCTCAACATCTCTTACAAAACTTATTTATCTCTGTAGGATCGTTCTGAAGACCAAATTTAAAGAGCACATGAAAGCACTTAAGAGTATAACTAGGAATAGAATAAGAGGCCGCGTGCGGTGGCTCATGCTTGTAATCCTAGCACCTTGGGAGGCTGAGACCGGCGGATCACCTGAGGTCAGAAGTTCAAGACCAGCCTGGCCAGCATGGTGAAACCCCACCTCTACTAATAATACAAAAATGAGCTGGGCATGGTGGCACATGCCTGTAATCTGCTACTCAGGAGGCTGAGGCAGGATAATCGCTCGGACATGGGAAGCAGAGGTTGCAGTGAGCCAAGCCTGCACCACTGCACTTCAGCCTGCGCAACAGAGCGAGACTCCATCTCAAAAAAAAAATAAGGAAAAAAGAAATAGAATAAGTGTTCAATAGATGTCAGTGGAATCTGAAAAGGATTTTTCCTTTTTCCCCTATAATGCATTTGTCACCTGCTTCCTATCTTTGCATTGCCTTCTCCAGCCCTTATTAATTGTCATACCTCCTAACTGGCCACATTTCTGTCTTCCTCATCTTCCAATGCTTGCCCCATTACGAATGGTTGCTTAACTTACCTTTCTTTCTTTTTTTTTTTTTTTCCACTCTGTTGCCCGTGCTGGAGAGCAGCGGTGTGATCTTGGCTCACTGCAACTGAAGGACAACATTGCCTTCTCCAGCCCTTATTAATTGTCATACCTCGTAACTGGCCATATTTCTGTCTTCCTCCTCTTCCAATGCTTGCCCACCTTACAAATGGTTGCTTAAATTTTCTTTCTTTCTTTCTTTCTTTTTCTTTCTTTTTTTTTTTTCTGCTCTGTTGCCCACGCTGGAGTGCAGTGGTGTGATCTCAGCTCACTGCAACCTCTGCCTCCTGGGTTCAAGCAATCCTCCTGCCTCAGCCTCCTGAGTAGCTGGGACTACAGGCACGTGCCACCATGCCCTGCCAATTTTTTGTATTTTTATTAGAGATGGGTTTTCACCATGATGGCCAGGATGGTCTCCATCTCTTGACCTCGTGATCCACCCACCTCAGCCTCCCAAAGTGCTGGGATTACAGGCGTGAGCCACCACGCCTGGCCAAAATTTTGTATTTTTTTTTTTGGTAGAGACGGGCGTTTCATCATGTTGGCCAGGCTGGTCTTGAATTCCTGACCTCAGGTGATCCGCCCGCCTCAGCCTCCCAAAGTGCTGGGATTACAGGCGTGAGCCACCACACCCAGCTAATTTAGCTTTCAAAAACAGCACTTTGACCATATCATGCCCCCAGGTCAAGGCAGTACAAAGAGGCACGGCACCTTAAATCAGAAGTCTGAGTAAACATTTGACTTCTCCCATTTCAGGTTCTTCCCCTTTCTTAAGTGTGGGGAAGTGCCATACAAAGCCAGTACTGGTGTAATGCCAGCTTAAGTTCCTGGAGCTGGATAGCCCAGATGTGGACCTGGAATTAATCCCCCATCAAGGTATTCAGTTGAGGCATTATTGTTGGGGGGCCTGAAATAATTTGATTCACATGTGGATCGAACCTGTTGGCTGCCCCTGTATCTTGCATAATTCTTAGTATACTTTGAGGCTCAGATGACATGAGGGATGTTTTATTCAAAGTCTGAAGTCCATTGTTTCCCCTCTTTATTACCTACCAGCCTCCCCCTCTGCTCCCTCTTCTAAGTCAAGGTCAGATTTCACAGCCTGCCTCTCCAGACTCTCCAGACTCTCCAGGAGTTGGTCCTGTTTTATTCCTACCCAGTTCTATTCCCCACTGAACTGTTAATTTCTTTTCAGGTGTTAGTTTTGCCCTGGCCATTGCCCTTAGGCTCTTTTGTACTTCCCAGGGATGTAAAAAGCCACTTGCTCAGAACATTCACTACTAAGTGAATGAATTCCTCTACCACAGCTTGAAAGCTAGAAAGGGACTATTGGTTACCTAAGTAAGTTCAGCATTTTTCTTTCTTGGAAGGTGAAGTGAGACTTGGACAGGTAAGTAAATGAGTCCCCTTAAGACTCACTGCAGGCAAGGGCCACACTGCCGGCCAGAACTCCCCCATTTCACCCACCACACTGGCAGGGCAGTCATCCGTCTACAAAATGCCTTTCTTCAGTGTCCTGTGTGAGATGCCGCTCAGATCTCGTAGTTCGTTACTCAGCGCCTTCGCAGTTGACTCACTGACTGCTCTGAGACTCAGCACTCTGGGAATTTCAACATAACCTTTGCCTCAACCTTACAAAGCCCTAACTCTAATCTCTGACCTCATTTGCTGGGGAACTTGAATATGTTCCTTTATCCTTCTGGTTTCCTCTCCTCCCCTGACTCATAGGGAATACAAAAGAATTGATTCTTATGAAAAGTGCCAAGTAGGCACTACTACACAGTTATCTGAAATGTAACTCACTTGGATGTATAATGAAAGCTTCTTTCTGCATAGATTAACCTCTGGACTGAGGATATGGTTGTATGATAAATGATTAACATCATTTCTGGACAAAACGTGCAAATTTAAAAAGTTTAAAGTTGAAGTTACTTAACTATAAAAAAAAGTTGTTGACAACATTCACCCCTAGTGTATTAATGAATTTTTCTTTCTTTTTTATTTATTTATTTGAAACAGAGTCTTACTGTGTTGCCCAGGCTTGAGTGCCATAGTGCAATCTTGGCTCATTGCAACCTCCACTTCCTGCGTTCAAGTGATTCTTGTGCCTCGGCCTCCTGAGTAGCTGGGACTATAGGTGCATAATTTTTGTATTTTTAGTAGAGACAGGGTTTTGTATTTTTAGTAGAGACAGGGTTTCACTATGTTGGCCAGGCTGGTCTCTAACTCCTGGCTTCAAGTGATCTGCTTACCTCAACCTCCCAAAGTGCTGGGATTCCAGGCATGAGCCACTGCACCCAGCTGGATTAATGGATTTAATAAATACTTCATTAAGTAACTTTATGAAAGGGAGTGTACTAGGGATTGAAAAGAATATAAAATTCAATAACACTGTCCTTGGCCTTGTGGAGTTTGCAATTTGGGATAAGAACTGGGCTGTGTGCACAAGTTACTGTAATACAAAGTAAAAGGTAACAAATGCTTATAAGGGGGAGTTTCGTGGAAGTGCCAGGAATAGGGGGAAAACATTTCAGGTAGGGAATATCAAGGAAGGCTTGTGTAGTAGATGTCATTTGTCATTTTATCTGAGTCTTGAAGGATAGCCATAGTTCTGATAGGTCAAAATGAATTCCAGACAGAGAAGTAGATGTGAAATCTTAGAGCTTGTTCTGTTAGCAGGAATTTGGAACAGAAGAATGTAAGCAAGACTAGATTGGCAGGTTGGGGCTCAAATGTGGAAGCCTTCAATACCATGCAAAATAATTTGGTCTTTGTTCTGCAAGCAATGGAGAGTTAGTAAGAGTTTTTGGAGGTTGCAGGGGAATGGGGTGACAGTAGTGACATGATCAAAATGTGGTTTAGAAGTATCATTCTGGAGTGATATCAGGAACCAGGTGACCATGTAGGAGGGTAGAACAATACCCTAGACTAGACCAGGGGAATGGGAATGGAAAGGAAGAGATGGAACACAGAGCTCTGCAAGTTTGACAGAGAGAGGGAGGCATTTTTCTAAAGTTTTAAGAGTAATTGGTTTTTCAAAGAGATGTGAGAAAATGGGAAGTGATCATTCTTTGGTCAGGCAGAGTAACAGAATCAGGGAGGCCCAGCACTTTGAGAGGCTAAGGCAGGCAGATCACCTGAGGCCTGGAGTTCGAGACCAGCTTGGTCAACATGGTGAGACCCTGTCTCTACTAAAAATGCAAAAATTAGCCAGCCGCGGTGGCGCACACCTGTAGTCCCAGCTACTTGGGAGGCTGAGGCAGGAGAATCACCTGAACCTGGGAGGCAGAGGTTTCAGTGAGCTGAGATTGTGCCACTGCACTCCAGCCTGGTGACGGAGTGAGATTCCGTCTGAAAAAACAAAAACAACAACAACAACAACAACAACAAAAAAAAAAAACCCAAAAAATAGAATCAGGGAGAGTCTTAGAAACACAAACAGACTGCTTGATAAAGAGCAGCCCGCGTGTTCTGCAAGCTTGCATTGTCCTGGGTTGAAAGTCAGGTCAGAAGGAAGCAGGTGATGAGGCATTGGTGAGCTTCCCTTTGGAAACAGAAGCAAACTATGAGTTTATCTATAGTTTACCACTGGTTTCTGTGCCATGGGAGAGGTGATAAAAAAATCTCCCTAGGAAAAGGGATTGGACATTCTTTCCTTTGACTTAACTTTGACTTTGGCGATAATCCTTGGATGAGGAGCGGAACCCTGGCTTCACCCCAGGAGGTTGCAGCAAAGATGGGAGGAGACTCCAGCAGCTGAGTAGGCCCAGGTAGGAAACAAGCTTTGGGGTTGAGTAGTGGAAAGGTCTGTAAGGCCTCCCAACCTGGGAAATAGATACACTTGTTAAGGATTGAAAAACCAGCGTGTGGAAAGGTGAAGGGTTCTATTTTGGACAAATTGAATTGGAGGTGCTGGCTGTACGAAGACAGACTAGTCGTGGGTAGCCAAGCCTGGACTGATGCGGCTCATTGGTTTGAAGCCCCGTTTGCATCAAATGAAAATAAGATCTAGGCTGGTCGCGGTGGCTCATGCCTGTAATCCCAGCATTTTGGGAGGCCGAGGCGGGCGGATCACGAGGTCAAGAGATGAAGACCATCCTGGCCAACATGGTGAAACCCCGTCTCTAATAAAAATACAAAAAATTAGCCAGGCGTTGTGGCGGGCGCCTGTAGTCCCAGCTACTCAGGAGGTTGAGGCAGGAGAATGGCGTGAACCTGGGAGGTGGAGCTTGCAGTGAGCCGAGATCGTGCCACTGCACTCCAGCCTGGGGACAGAGTGAGACTCTGTCACAAAACAACAACAACAACAAACAAACAAACAAACAAAAAAACAAGAAAGAAAGAAAAAGAAAATAAGATCTAAATTGGGTTGGGCATTGTGGTTTGAGCCTGTAATCCCAGCTACTCGGGAAGGTGGAGGGATCGCTTGAGCCCACGAGTTTGAGACCAGCCTGGCAACAGAGCAAGACCCCATCTCAAAAAAAAAAAAATCTAAATTAGGAAGGGTGGTCTTGATAGGCAATATATGAGTGCAGTGACCTCTAGTCCTATCAGAGACAGAGGGTCCTGCCCCAAGGCCCTTGCAGACTCAGATCACATTTCCGTGTCAACGCAGAGTCCTATGTCAGGGATGGATAGTCTGTCATCGTAAGCACTGGCATAGGTTTTCTTGAAGGAGAAATGATTTCACTGAACAAGATGTTCCAGATTTCTGTTGCAGGAAGGATTCTGCTCATGTGCAGTAGGGAGAGGTTTCTACTGAGCCAGCTGATTGCTCTCCTGCTCTCATACAGACCATACTGATTTTCTAGGGAAGGAGTTAACATGGCTTCTTGGAGCTTAAGTCTGCCTGTGGTAGTTGCACATGCCTAGCTCAGACTTCTTCCTCTTCTTCTTCTTTTTTTTTTTTTTTTTTTTTTTTTTTGAGACCGGGTCTTGCTCTGTTGTCCCAGCCTGGAGTGCTGTGGCCGATCTCAGCTCACTGCAGCCTTGACCTCCCAGGCTCAAATGATCCTCCCACCTCAGCCTCCAGAGTAACTGGGGCAACAGGTGTGTACCACCACACTTGACTAATTTTTTTTCAAATGCCCAGGCTGGCCTCTAACTCCTGAGCTCAAGCCATCTGCCCTCCCCGGCCTCCCAAAGTGCTGGGATTGCTGGGATTACAGGCATGAGCCGCCGTGCCTGACCAAGCTCTGGCTTCTTTAAGGGTATCAAGTGAACCCATTCAGTAAGAGGACTTGAAAAGCAACAGGTGAGAGAAGAAGTGGAAGCACAGGCTATGGGGCCAAGTATCACCCACCTAGATAATAGGCTCTTGGCCATCCTCTCACTCCTCTCTGCTCCTTGTTAGGTTTGACACAATCTCTTTCCTTAATCAGTTGGCTTTTAACCCAACTCACTTTTGCCTTCTGCTTCCTCACTTTCTTTCTTTTTTTAAGACAGAGTCTTGCTCTTGTCACCCAGGTTGGAGTGCAATGGCATGATTTCAGCTCACTGCAACCTCTGCCTCCTGGGTTCAAGCGATTCTCCTGCCTCAGCCTCCCTCAGCTGGGATTACTGCCACCACGTTCGGCTAATTTTTGTATATTTAGTAGACGGGGTTTCGCCATGTTGGCAAAGCTGGTCTCGAACTCCTGACCTCAGGTGATCCGCCCGCCTCAGCCTCCCAAAGTGCTGGGATTACAGGCGTGAGCCACTGTGCCTGGCCTTCTCCCTCACTTTCTCTTGAATATTCCCTTTAAAGAGATTTTTCCAAGCAGGGGGGCCTCTCCTTTATGCAACAGAGTTTTTCTTCTTCACTTGCTTCATCTCTTCCTTGATTTACTGAGAACCCATTTCCTAGAGGATACATGGCTAACTGTGTCTGGCTAGACATGATGTCCAAAGATGTAATTCCTGTCACCAAGGACTTTACAATCTAGTAGAGGAAATAAGATTTCCACATATTTCACCATAACACGAAAGTGGAGGAAATTGGAAAGTGTCATATGATAGGGTGAAATAATACTCTGGAAGTTCAAAAGAGGGCAGATTCCTTTTGGCTGGAGAGGTGGGGAAGGCTTCCTGGAGGAGGAGACACTTACACTGAACATTGAAAAATGGAGACAATCTAGACATTTCAGAGACAGAACATTTCAACTGTATTACATCAGAGGTATGCACTTAGCCATGTCCATGTTTCTCAGCCTCATTTCAGAGTGCATAAATCACTGATATGGGATTTGTAAAAGGGAAGCTGGTAAAATGCGTATGTTAAAATATAGCCGGCTATTATTATTCCATCCTTCACCTTCAGAACCAGACAGCTCTCTGGCTATCAGCTGTCAGTGTGATAACTGTCTGGTGGAGGTATGGTAGAAAGAATGCAAATATCTTTCTGATGGATTTATATTTAATAAACCTTCCAATGCTGATATTTTAGATTTTATAATATATAGATGATAAAATGGTGAATTTCCTCATATCTCTATGTAGCAAAGGGGAAGCTGGATTTAATCCTGGGTCACACAGAGAAAAAAAGTGTTGAATCAGGATGACAACAGAATCAGCCTGTGACAAAGATTTCACTAGTCTATGGTGAAATGCGAAAAATAAGGTGGCTTCAATGAGTTTTTCATAAACTTAAAATGTATTAAACACAATAATTATCTTTTATCCAGAGATTAAATTTCTGGTCTTAACATGGTTTATTAAAATGACATGATGGTGATGATTTGTAGGATGGTGGGACTAGGAATAAAAAACTCCTTCTTTTGTCAAAATAAAAGACTTCTGGCCAGGTACGGTGGCTCACGCCTGTAATCCTAGCAGTTTGGGAGGCCAAGGTGGGCGGATCACCTGAGGTCAGGAGTTAAGACTAGCCTGGCCAACATGGTGAAACCTCATTTCTACTAAAAATACAAAAATTAACTAGGCGTGGTGGCAGGTGCCTGTAATCCCAGCTACTCGGGAGACTGAGGCAGGAGAATCGCTTGAACCTGGGAGGTGGAGGTTGCGGTGAGGCGAGATTGTGCCATTGCTCTCCAGCCTGGGTGACAAGAGCGAAACTCTGTCTCAAAAAAATAAAAATAAAAATAACAACAACAACAAAAATAAAAGACTTCTAACCCTGTGGAAACAACAACAACAAAAATAAAAGACTTCTAACCCTCTGAAAATCCTGTGGAAAAAAACTGGGGGCGAGGGAATTTTACTGGCCTATGAAATCTTAAAACTGAATGCTCAGACTAATAAACTTGCTGATTTAAGGAGCAGAGGGGTAGTTTTTTGCATACAGAGCCAAATGATGTCAGAACTGAAGGAAACACAGAGATCATCTGGTTAGTGCCACCTCCTCATTTTAAGATGAGGAATTTGCAGGGCGTGGTGGCATGTGCCTGTAGTCCCGGCTACTTGGAAGGCTGAGGCAGGAGGATTGCTTGAGCCTAGGAGTTTGAGGCTGCAGTGAGCTGTGCACTTCACACCACCACACTTCAGCCGGGTTTGTAAAGCGATCCTGTCTCTCTTGAAAAAAAGAAAAAAAAAAAAAAAAGGAATGTGCGGCCCAGAAATGTTAAGTGGCTTGCCCAAAATCATTTGTCCTTTATTTTTGTTTTCAAGTGGTCCTATTTATAGTGACCGTGATTTGTGTGTAAGTCTAACTGACAAAAAAAGGTCGATGAGCTCGTATCAGGATATTTATCATAAAATCAAATTATGTATCATAAACTTTTAAAAAAGTCTCACATCACTTTCTCTAAGTCTGTGCTATTACTGCTAAGTACTCATGAAATAGTTGTGTTTTCTTGTCCCGCATCTAAGAAGGATCTCACAACTTACAAGATCATGCAGAGCGCTGACCTGTCAAAATGCTCTTTCTGTGCTTTCTCACCTGTACAAAAGCAAAACATCTGTACCACTCATTACATTACATCAGTAATTATAATGCAATGGGAGATGTCACCTACTCCATGGGCTTCAATGTTTCTCCATGCATTTGGCTGTAATTTACTCACTACCTACTCCGTGTTACCTACTGTGCAGGCTTACAACACAGGGTCAGCAAGACCAGCTTTGCCATCCAGAAGGAGAAAGTCTCCTGGAGGAAGCTCAATTATGAAGAAACTTGAAAAGCTGATAGTGAACTATAGACTGATATTGTAGAGGTCCCACGGAGCCACCATTCTAGGTGTTTGAGCTAAGGAATGACTCAATGGGGATGGTGTTCTAGGGATATTTGGCAAGGATGTGATGGGCAGCTGGAATGCAGAGGAGCCTAGAGTAAGCGACGTTATAATCAGTGTGTGGTTACTAAGGACTGCACTGGCAAAGAACGGAAGAAGAGAAAACATCACACTTTTCAAAGAAATGATGCCCAGAAGTTGATGACTCATGGGATAAGAGAGATAAAAAAGAAGAGTGAGTCAAAAATGACACCAAGTTTTAGAATTTTAAGCTTGGCTGATTGAGACATTGGTGATGGTATTAGATCAAGACAGGAGAATTGGGAAGGAAGCCCCAACCCTAAGTTGAGCTGAAGAAACTGGGTCCTTGTTGATATGAATGTGTCCTGTACTTTCAGGATTCTGCTTTTTTTTTTTTTTTTTTTTTTTTTTTGAGATGGAGTCTCACTCTGTCGTTGCCCAGGCCGGAGTGCAGTGGTGCAATCCCGGCTCGCTGCAACCTCTGCCTCCCGGGTTCAAGTGATTCTCCTGCCTCAGTCTTCTGAGTAGCTGGGATTACAGGTGCATGCCACCACCCCCAGCTAGTTTTTGTATTTTTAGTAGAGACAGGGTTTCACCATGTTGGTCAGGCTGGTCTTGAACTCCTGACCTCGTGATCTGCCTGCTTCAGCTTCCCAAAGTTCTGGGATTACAGGCATGAGCAACTATGCTCGGCCAGGATTCTACATTTTAATGAGTTCATCTGAAAACCAATTTATGTCCTTAATGGTAGTATGATGGCTAGTTGTATGGGTTAACATCACAGGGCCATGGGATATCTAGATAGTTGATTAAACATTATTTCTGAGTGTGTCTGTGAAGCTGTTTCTGGACGAGATTAGTATCTGAGTTGGTGAAATGATTAAAGCAGTTGTTCCTCCCCAATGTGGGTGGACATCATTCTCCTTGAGGGCCTGAGTAGAACAAAAAGTCAGAGGAAGGCTGAATTCACTCTCTGCCTGACCCTTGAGCTGGGAAATTGATCTTCTATCTTCAGTGCTCCTGGTTCTTAGGCCTTCAGATGCAGACTGGAATCTACACAATTGACTTGCTGAGGTTGTTAAACCACACCACTGGTTTTCCTGGGTCTCTAGCTTACAAATGGCATATTGTGGGATTTCTCAGCTTCCATAATTACATGAACCAACACCTTGTAAGACAGAAAGAGAAAGAGAGACAGTGAGAGAGGAAGGAACGATGGATGGCAAAAAGGAAGGAAAGAGAAAAAGAAAAAGAAGGAAGGAAGGAAGGAAGCGCTGGGTGCAGTGGCTCATGCCTGTAGTCCCAGCACTTTGGGAGGCTGAGGTGGGCAGATCACTTGAAGTCAGGAGTTCGAGACCAGCCTGGCCAACATGGCAAAACCCTGTCTCAACTAAAAATACAAAAATTAGCCGGGTGTGATGCTGCACACCTGTAATCCCAGCTACTCAGGTGGCTGAGGCATGAGAATTGCTCGAACCTGGGAGGCAGAGGTTGCAAGAAAGAGTCTCTTTATCTATCTATCTATCAGTTGTTCTACCAACAGAACAGTTGGTTCTGTTTCCCTGGAGAACTCTAATACAGGTAGCTTTTTAATTTTATTATTAATTGATAATTACATCGTAGATAAGCAAAAAACAATCTGTAATTGGCTTAGTCTATTCTTCGTAGCTGCCTATGTGAGGAAGTGACAAGGTTTGTGTTTCTGTTTTGGGAGGTGAGTGTAGCAAATAGGCAGATGCATATACCTGTGTAGCATCCACGTTTTTGTCTAGAATGTCAATGGTTCACATCTCTGGTTCTATTCTTTTTTTGAGATAGAGGCTCGCTCTGTTGCCCAGGTGGGAGTGCAGTGGCATGATCTTGGCTCGCTGCAACCTCTGCCTCCCGGGTTCAAGTGATTCTCGTGCCTCGGTCTCCCGAATACCTGAGATTACAGGCGCATGCCACCACGCCCGGCTAATTTTTGTATTTTTAGTAGAGACAGGGTTTCGCCATGTTGCTCATGGTGGTCTTGAACTCCTGACCTCAGGTGATCCACCCACCTCGACCTCCTAAACTGCTGGGATTACAGGCATGAACCACCGTGCCCGGCCATCTGGTTCTATTCTTGAAACTGAAGAGCTGGAAATTTGGGTGTAGACTGGCTTATCAAGCTGGAAGGGGAATAAATTGGAATGCGACAAGAGCAACAACTTTGAGCAGGCTGTGACTTTTGCCCCAAGAAGTAGTGGCCTGTCCCCAGATTTTAGGCCTGGAATATCCTTGCACCAGAAAGTAAAGCCAGAGCGTGGCCCTAAACTGATATCACTGGTAGATATTTGACCTGGGTAATTGGGCTCTCTATTCAGCTTCCAAACCACAGGCTATTCTGGGTTTGCTATGTAATTCTGCAATCCTTTGATGTTAGGGTTGTTCTGATATAATTACAGAGAGGACAAACATACACAGTTGTGTTTATAACAATGCAGAATATAGTGTTGCTAACTTTTGAGGCCCTTAAATGCAATAAACTAGATTCCACCAAAAATACATTCGTCTAGCCTGCTTTTTCTTACCAGCAGCTACCCTGTCATACAAAATTGTGAATAGCATTTTCAATCCTTTGTAATCTTTGTGTCCTACAATGCTTTCTTTGGGAAACCCCGCCCAAGAACAACTTTATTTATTTGTCCTATTAAAACGGTAGTATACCGAGGTGGGCATCTTCAAAACGTACAGTGATATTGCTTGAAAACTCTGGGGCTAGAGGTTTGCGAGTGACTGCCAAATGCTGTCCTTGAAGTCATTTTAGTAAATAAGTAACAAAAAGTCAGAGTAACCAGTAAGGATGCACATAACTAGGAAGGAAATTCTCCCCTTCTGTTTTGTTGTTGTTGTTGTTGCTGTTTTTTAATTAAAAAATTACATAACCCATTGCATAATTTACCTTGACATTTCGCTTTGTCCTTTTTAAATAATGCAAATACAACTAACTGGTTTGTCTCTTCCAAGTGAGGATAATGTTGGAGCATTTCCAAACAATTAATATTGTGGTTCTTTCCTGATATTCGTGTTAGGAGCTAACTTTCTGTGTATGGGTGAAAAGCTAATGCTTTAATTTGGATAGCTCTCCACTAGTTGAGAAGGGTGATTTGTACATATAACCAAGGGGTAATAAATAGGACACTGAAGGATATGACTGTAACATGCTGATGAACCAGAGAGAAGAAGCAAATATCTAGCAGCACAAATCATACAGTTGGTATATCTATGGGATATGCCATGGCAGAATTATACAAGTGTAATTTATATTACATAACTGGAAAAATTCTTGAGGATATTAATTCTAATTTTGACACTTGAAAAAACAGTACAAGCCAAACACAGTGGCTCACACCTGTAATCCTAGCACTCTGAGAGGCTGAGGTGGGCAGATCACTTCAGCCCAGGAGTTCAAGACCAGCCTGGCCAACATGACAAAACCCCATCTCTACTAAAAATACAAAAAGTTAGCCAGGTGTGCGTGTGCATGCCTGTAGTCCCAGTTACTGAGGAAGCTGAGGTGGGAGGATCACCAGAGCTTGAGAAGTCGAGGCTGCAGTGAGCTGAGATCACACCACTGTACTGCAGCCTGGGTGATAGGAGTGAGACCCTGTCTCTAAAACAAAAAAAAAAAAAAAAAAAAAAAGTACAACTGAGCAAGTGACTGAATATCTCAAATTCCCCCCTGAAGGAAGCCATGTGGTTTTCCTTTGCTGGACTCTAGCTGTGTAGCCGTGGACTAATCTCCAGGCCTCAGTTTCCTCAATTATAAATAGGGCTGTGATCCTCCTTCTTCAGTGTTAAAAACATTGAATTGTACCTTAAGTGTTACGGGCTGACACAGGTTCCCCAAATTCATACGTTGAAGTCCTAACACCCAGTACTTCAAAATGTGACCATATTTGAAGATAGAGTCTTTAAAGAATTAATTAAGTTAAATGAGGTCATTAGGCCCTAATCTAACATGATACGTTTCTTTACAAGAAGAGAAGAAGATTAGGAAACAGACAGAGGGAAGACCATTTGAAGACACAGGGAAAAGACTCAAGCCAAAGAGAGAGGCTTCAGAAGAAACCAACCATATGAACACCTTGATCTCAGGTATCTAGCCTCCAGAATTGTGGAAAATAAAGTTCTGTTGTTTAAACCACCCCGTCTGTAGTACTTTGTTATGGGAGTCTGTGATAATCAATTTTATGTGTCAACTTAGCTGGGCCACAGTATTTAGATATTTAGTTAAACCTTATTCTGGATGTTTCTGTGAAGGTGTTTGTTAAATGAGATTAACATTTAATCAACGGACTTTGAGTAAAGCAGATGACCCTCCAAAATGTGGTTGAATCTCATCCAATCTGTTGAAGTCCTTAAGAAAATAAGAACTGACCTCCCCTGAGTAAGAAGAAATTCTGCAGACTGCCTTTGAACTTGAACTGCAACTCTTCCCTGGGTCTCCAGCCTGTCAGCAGATTTTGAACTTGCATATACAAAATTGTGTGAGTCAATTCCTTAAAATATATATTTCTTCCTCTCTCTCTCTCAATACACATCTTCTTGGTTCTGTTTCTCTGGATAACCCTGACTAACATATGGACCTAGCCAACTAATACAGTGTGTGAATTATATCTCAAGTCTGTGTTAAAAGAAAACTTAGAAGGATGCATCCAAAATGTTAACAGTAATTATTTGATGGCAGAATTTGTTTTAGGTTTATTTTTTGTTTAGTTTATCTGTACTTGTGACTTTTTGTGACCATGTGTTGTTTGTGTAATGATAATGTAAGAAAAGATTTCCATTCAGAGGAATGTTTAAAAGCAAGATTAGCTAATACAGAGCTAGAGGACATGGGGTAAGATGAGATGTAACACCACTTATTATGAAGATTTGAATGGCACCCAAATCAAATTACAAGTACTACAGCAAAAAAAAAAAAAAAAAAAAAAAAAATCTCAACATGGAACACAGCTATGATATATCTGCTAACACTCTTCCCTAGAATATATGTAATAAAGGAATTTTATTTTTCCTACGAAATCTATTTTTTCTGCCATTTTCAGTTTTTTTTTTACTTAATAAGCTAGCAAGCTTTTACTGAACATATGCTGTGTCCAAGGGCTGTACTAGATGCCGGAGATTGAAAACAAACAGACAATTAAGAAGTGTACACTTGACCGGGCGAGGTGGCTCATGCCTGTAATCCCAGCACTTTGGGAGGCTGAAGGGGGTGGATCACTTGAGGTCAGACCAGGCTGGCCAACATGGTGAAACTCTATCTCTACTAAAAATACCAAAATTAGCTTGGCATGGTGGTGCATGCCTCTAGTCTCAGCTCCTTGGGAGGCTGAGGCAGGAGGATCGCTTGAACCTGGGAGGCAGAGGTTGCAGTGAGCTAAGATAGTGTCACTGCACTCCAGCCTGGGTGACAGAGCAAGACTCCATCTCAAAAAAAAAGACGTGTACACTCTAGGGGAGAGAACAATGTGGTCCAATGTGATAAGGGCTCCCATGGAGAAAGCCAAGAGAGCTATTTGTGCGCATGAGAGAGGCTGCCAGCCCACAGGGGATGGAAACAGGAGGAGAGGCTTTTTTAATCCTTAGGACAACCCTGCAAGCTATAATTGTAATTCCCATTTTATGATGAGTAAACTAAGTTTCAGAGAGCTTAAAAAATTTGTCCAAACCTCTCGAGAAGTAGAAGAAAGGGATTTAAGCACAATTCTGACGCTAGAGTCCATATTCTTTCCACTATACCATATTCTGTGTGTCCAATGCATTGTCAAGTGGACAAGCAAACAAGTAGAATACACTGAAATAGAATCAATTTCATTTTTACTTTGAAGTAAGGATGTAGCTTTGTAGATACTATATGGTTTGTCTTAGTCTTAATTACCTTATTCTGCTCTTTTCACTAATTCTCATAATTGCCAATAATAATAGTAACAATAGGCCGGGCACGGTGGCTCACACCTGTAATCCCGGCACTTTGGGAGGCCGAGGCGGGCGGATCAAGAGGTCAGGAGATCGAGACCATCCTGGCTAACACGGTGAAACCCCATCTCTACTAAAAATAAATAAATAAATAAAATAGCCAGTGTGGTGGCAGGCGCCTGTAGTCCCAGCTACTGGGGAGGCTAAGGCAGGAGAATGGCATGAACCCGGGAGGTGGAGCTTGCAGTGAGCCGAGATCGCACCACTGCACTCCAGCCTGGGTGACAGAACGAGACTCCATCTCAAAAAAAAGAAAAAAGTAATAGTAACAACAGTTAACATTTATTGAATGTTTACTGTGTGCCAGATACTATACTCGGAGCTTAACAAAGGTTCTCTTAATCAATCCTCATAACAGCCTGATAAGGTAGGCTGTGGTGTTGTCCCTATTTTATAATCAGGGAGACTGAGGTTTCAAGAGTTATGTGGTAAGTGGCAAAGCTGGGATTTGATCCCAGATCTCATTCTAAGAGCAAGTTTTTAATCATTTTGCTGCAGTACCCCAAACCAGACAACTGGCAGCCTCAAAACTCATTGCTGCTTGCTGGATTTTTTTAATTAGAAGAAAATCCTGGAAAGTAACTGATATTCCACATCACAAGAGATGACCAAGAACTTCTCTTCTGTCTCTGGATCTCCTTGAGTTTCAGTGACTGGGCTCTGGAACTCTAGATCGTTCTGAGAGATGGACACTGGTGGGTGGGCTGTTTGGATTTGGGACCAAGGGTACCAAAATGGAGCCCTTTGCAGATTCTGCCTGGGTAGCAGCTCTTGTGTCCCATCCCACTGAAGCTACTCATGCCCTCCCCTCTCTAACACTCCCCACAGGAATCTGGTGGCCCCTTGAAGGGCTGGACTCTGTAAACAAACCAAACAGCATCCATAATGCTAAACCACTAGGGAGGGTTTGGAAGGGGGGGAAGAAAGATCCAGTTGTGCTTCCTTAGCCTTTGCTGCCCATTGACTGTGGTGCTCTTTTCCTGAATCTGCAATAGGAATGAGCTCACACAAGGGGCAGGCAACCAGAGCCTGTCCTGTAGCTCTGGTCCCTGGGGCTCCAGGTCCTGGGGAATTTTAGGCAGACAGAAGGAAGGGGAACAAGCCCATGGCAAAGGCTTTGGTTGAGAGCAAGAGAGAGAAACACCCACAGATCCACTAAACTTCAGTGTCAGGTAGATCCAGTCTAGGACAGAGGAAAAGATGACTTTCAGGATGTTGTTTGCTTCCTGTGGAAGTAAGTGCTCACCCTTTATCTAACTGACCCAGGCTGGACTTCCACAAGCGTAGCCCAGAGGCTATGGAGCTTAGATTACAGGACAATGTCTGACTTTCAGGAGGCAGGCACAGGGACGTGATAAGCCCCTGCTTCAGAAAACACTTGAACACTGTGGCAGAGGTCATGAACATCGCAGAGCCCCAGTTCACTGTTGATGGGAACAGGTGTATCCTCTGTTTTGGTGTAGGGAGGGTGAGTGGAGAAGAAACTTGCCCCACCTCTGATGTATCTGTGGAGCATCACAGTACCAGGCTGTGAGCAGGTCAGAGGCGAGTGTTAGGCATTGGTGCATTCTTCACCTGATGCCCCTGACCGAACGTGGTCCCCTGCCCAAGGCAGGTAGAGAACTCTGGAATCCATAGGAGGCTCTATTTCATGCAGACAAAAGAGACGAAAGAGCATTTGGTGCAGCGTCTGTGGGCTTGGCCTGGATCTGGCAAGTGGTAGTCTTCTGGGCATGGTGTGAGACCCTCAGGGCACATCTTGGGCACTGAGAACTGTGATGACTTTGGACAGTGAGGAGCTGTGCCCACCGAGGGGTGGTGAGAGTGTGGCCTCCAGGGAAGGCAAAACCTCCAGTGGCAGCCCTGCTGGCTTGGGAGGGGGCTCACTGTAGTCAGAACAGGTAAGTGCTCAGTACCCAAGGCCTGAAAAAGGAACACAGGGGGCCAGGACCTGTGACATCATCCATGCTGGGACACAGGACACTGTGCCAGCCTGCCCTGATTATGAGAGGAGTTTGAACTAGGACATGACTTGTGTTCCTGAGACTAATAAGGATCAGAAAGCTTTGTTTGCTGATAATCCATTGCACCTGATGCTTTTATAGCTTTCTTTTTCCTGGATACCTGTTTAGATATCTCAAAATCTATTTAATACTGCAGGCGGGGGTTAAGCTGGATTAAAAATTATGAAACAGTCCTGGTAAATGGGATGATTTGTTCCTAGAAAACATTTACTGAGTCTGACTAACTGACAGCCTGTTGGTGTCCTACATTTTCACAAAATTTAAATGAAGGATTGTAATGATCAATGTTGTGTACACAGTCTTTGTAAGTATTTGTTGAGTAGATATATAAGCACACATGCAAATCAGTTTAATTCAACAAATATTTGCTAGATGGCTAATAAGTGCCTTCATGGGAATTAGTGTCTGATTTTGTGGTTTAATTTTTTGACAGTGACACAGTAAGAAATATCTTTTATGTTGTGACTCAATACACACATACATGCACACTGCAACAAAAATTTCATGAGCTAACTTTTACCTTACTAGGTGAAATGCGTTCTGATATTTTCCTGTTCTATTCTTTTTTCTATTTTTTTTTTTAAGCTGATTAAGGCTGTTGTGGTGGCTCACACCTGTAATCCCAGCACTTTGGGAGGCCGAGGTAGGCAGATCACAAGGTCAAGAGATCAGGACCATCCTGGCCAACATGGTGAAACCCCATTTCTACGAAAATACAAAAGTTAGCTGGGCATGGTGGTGCACACCTGTAGTCCTAGCTACTTGGGAGGCTGAGGCAGGAGAATCGCTTGAACCCAAAAGACGGAGGTTGCAGTGAGCCGCGATCGCACCACTGCACTCCAACCTAGTGACAGAGCGAGACTCCATCTCAAAAAAAAAAAAAAAAAAAAGACTGATGAAGACCCGCTGATTGGATTTTATGACCCACCAGTGAGTCAGAGTCTGCAGTTTGGAAGACATTGGTGATACATGAAGTTACTGAATTTCTAATCTCATCTTTACCTGGCTAAAAGTTGAGGAAATGAATACAGAAGCTTGGTGATTGTGGTAGATGTTCACTCACTTCCCAGTATCATGTACAAATGTGTCTGTCAGTGGAGCTAAGTGACCAAGAAGGAAAAAAAAAGAGTGACGTCTCATTGAGCCCAAAGGAAAGTAGGGAATCAATATTTTTTCTTTTGGCTATCTTCCCACAAACTTGAGATCAGCACGGTAGGTGATGATGAATGTCTGTGTCATCACTGAAAACAAAGAAATGCTACCCCCATGATTTACGAATCCTTAAAGAGTTTAGAACACATGTGATTGTTAACCAAGAGAAAACACATCTGAACAAACCCCCTGAAAATACGATTTCAACTCCTAACTAAACATCTCATTTGCAATATTAAGCAAAACCAGATCCTTTTTTTTTTTGAGACGGAGTCTCGCTCTATTGGCAGGCTGGAGTGCAGTGGCGCGATCTCGGCTCACTGCAACCTCCACCTCCTGGATTCAAGCAATTCTCCTGCCTCAAGCTCCCGAGTAGCTGAGACTGCAGGTGCGCGCCACCACACCCAGCTAATTTTTGTATTTTTAGTAGAGACGGGGTTTCACCATGTTGGCCAGGCTGGTCTCGATCTCTTGACCTCGTGATCTGCCCGCCTCAGCCTCCCAATGTGCTGGGATTACAGGCGTGAGCCACTGCACCTGACCAGATCCTTTTTATACTTAGAGCTGACACTGTTGGAGCAATCCAGAAGATGCTAGTTCTGGAGAAAGTCTCTGATGTTAAATCAGATTTTTAGAATTCTGACTCCACCCATCAAGGACTGACCACTCCTGCCTTGTTTTTTCTCCCTTCACCTTTATATATATTTTAAAAATGATTACACCTGTGACATCCTATTGCTTATACATTACCGGCTCACAAATTTTTCTCCCTCCTAGTTTATAAACTTGCAGATAAGAAATTGTTTCTTCTGCATCTTTATATTCCCAGTGCTAGACACAAAGTAAGTGCTTTGTGAATGTTTGTAGAATAATTGAATGATAATTGGTTCAAATTGGTTGGAACGGTATTAATAATGAAAAGTACAGATTAGTTTACTTATGAAGGAAAATTGAGCTGCAAAAAAGAGAAAGAGAGCTTTCTGAAATAGAACTTGGGATTCTAACACATCATAAGTTGAATAAGGTTCAGATAAAGGCATAGTAATTGTGATTTTACACTTACATAAGAAGTACACACAGGACCCTCGCCATTCTTTTTTTTTTTTTTTTCTTCGAGACAGGGCCTCCCTCCGTTGTCCAGGCTGGAGTGCAGTGGTGCAATCTTGGTTAACTGCAACCTCCGCCTCCCAGGTTCAAGTGATTCTCCTGCCTCAGCCTCCCGACCCTTGCCATTCTTATGTTGAATTTTGCATCATAGGTCTTCAACCTGTGAGAAATCTCAATAAATCACCTAATCCAGCTTCCTGCTTCTACAGAGAGGAGTTTTTTTTTTTTTTTTTGGTTGATAAAGCAAACATACCAAAAAATTGGAGATTTATATAAGTTTAATCTCAATTGTGGAAGTGTATCTGAGATATCTGTACCTGATGAAAGCTGAGGGTAGCAGACCCAGGACCAAGAATGCTTTGAATTTTTCAGATGACAGATTCATTGAGCAGAAAAAATTCTTGATTTTGTTCCAGGTGGTTTAGTTGATGACTCATTTATTATTAGCTTAAGCAAATTATGGCAATCCATCTTCCTTTTGCCAAATATCTGATTTCCTTGCCTCTCTTTGCAATTGGAAGGAAGTGCCCATATGGCTAGTTGTGGCTAAAAATATGTAAGAGGAAGTGTGCTGAAGGACTTCTCATAAACACTTGGCTTTTCTGATTAAAAAATGTGGTTAGTGTTGCCCTTTCCCACTCATCCAACCTTGAATGTAGAATGATACCTGCAGACGTGGTAAGTATCGCAGACAAGCATAATGATGACAGCAGAGTAAGTAAAAAGATGGAAAGAATGGAGATCCTTGATGTCACCCCTGAGCAGCCGACCAATGCTAATGACCCTCATGTTTGGGTTTCTGTGTTGTGTTAAAAAACTGAAAATATATAAAAACAAAAACAAGATTCTTCCATGAGTTAGATATCCTGATACTTGATTGCAGTTAAAACCTTCCTAATTGATACGGCCAGTAGGAATACATCAATGACCAGATCTCAGTCTTATCAAAAGAACTTACTAGGGACTGGGCACAGTGGTTCACACCTGTAATCCCAGCAGTTTGGGAGACTGAGGCAGGTGGATCACCTGAGGTCAGGAGTACGAGACCAGCCTGGCCAACATGGTGAAACCCCATCTCTATTAAAAGTACAAAAATTAGCTGGGCATAGTGGTAGGCTCCTGTAATCCCAGCTACTCCGGAGGCTGAGGCAGGAGAATCACTTGAACCCAGGAGGCGGAGGTTGCAGTGAGCCGAGATTGTGCCACTGCACTCCAGCCTGGGCAACAAGAGCGAAACTCCATCTCAAAAAAAAAAAAAAAAAAAAAGAAAAGAACTTACTAGGATGGAAAACAATTGGATTTATCTAAATAAAATACCAATATGGGGATTTTGGTTTTAAAAAAGTAATTAATTCATTATTTTTCATTCAATTAAAAATGGAGTACTAAAAGATCAATCTAAACATATGCGCAGAACTTCCTTTGAGAATCACTGAAAAAGTAGGTAAGGAAAAAGAAACTGATGTTCATTTAGTGCCTACCACTGGCTGGGCTCAGTACCAGATATCTTCACACTCAGTTTTCACAAATCTCACAAGAGCTTTTCCCCATCTCACAGATAAGATCACTGAGCCTTAGACATGTTACTATAACTTGCTCAAAGTCACACAGTAAATCTTAGAGCCAGAAATTGGGTCTAGAGAATTTTAATGACTTTCAAATGAATAATGTGAGCCTAAGGAAAAAAAAAACTGAGGCAAAATTAATAGAGAGAGTTTATCTGGGCCAAGGTTGAGGACCACTGCCCTGGACACACTTGCCTTGGGGAGTGCTCCAGTAACCTTTGTCACAAGCAGGTTTTCAAAGGCCAAAAAAAAGGGGAGTTGGGGGACAAAGAGTGGACTGATACAAAGTTGTTTGTCAGGAATTTTCACTGGTTAAAAGAAATAACATGGATTAGATTGGCTACATATTGTTGAACTATAGGGTATGGGTATGGCGTCCTGTGTGTGGCATTGCTAGGTTAATTTATAGCTACTTGTGAAAATAGCAAGCAGTTTCAAGAAATGATTACAGGCCAGGTGCAGTGGCTTACACCTGTAATCCCAGCACTTTGCGGGGCTGAAGCGGGCGGATCACTTGAGGCCAGGAGTTCGACCTTTCCCTGGCCAATATGGCGAAACCCCATCTCTACTAAAAATACAAAAATTAGCTGGTCGCAGAGGTGTGCGCCTGTAATCCCAGCTACTTGGGAGGCTGAGGCACAAGAATCCCTTGAACCTGGGAGGTAGAAGTTGCAGTGAGCCGAGATTGCACCACCGCACTCCAACCTGGGCGACAGAGGGAGACCCTGTCTCAAAAAAAAAAAAAAAAAAGAGACAATTACATAGCTCAAGTCGGGGTGGGAAGAAGTAGGACATAACTGCTGTCTCATATTAATGCCTCTCTGGGCCTGATAATTTAAAAGGGGTCACATTACTTAAATAAGAAGTATTTATATATATTCTTTTCTTTCTCAATGTCTTTTTCACTTGCACTAAATTGAGAGCAACCTGACGAAAAAGTTAAATTATTTAATATGTAAAGGAATAGCATTTTGATTACTTTGAAGTATTGACAGTATCTCAATTAAGTTAATAAAATCTTTGTAGATTACTTATGTGAATCTTACTTTCATAAACAGATAAGCTTTGTTTCTATGATCTACATGGATTTTACTGTGGTAAATAGAAAAGCTTTGTTTCTATTGGTATACCAGAAAGGATATTCCTCAAATACTTGAAGGTGCTAAAAATTTAGATCTTTTAAGATATTTAAACCTTTCCCACATCAAGTTTGTTTGTATACCAATTACTGCCATTTGTCAGTTGCAAAAGTCAAACTTCAAATTAATCCTTGTCTGAATTACCATATATTCAAAATTATGAGAGTCAATTAACTTTTACTACATATAAAAGATTGTTATTTGGATGAGGATGAGCATATCTAAAGTGAAGAGATGGAAGCTAATTGGCTCAGACCACGACAGGAGATCTTTGAAATTGTCTTTCATTTTCCAAAACCATTGCTTACATAAAGCCGTCCTGACCTGTACCGTTGTGGTGATGGTTTATGAACAATAACAGGCAGGTTGAGCTAAGCAGATGGTATTGGAGAGAGAGGGAGACCCTGCCTTGGGGGCTGGGGAGTGGAACGTGTGCAGATGACAGGGCTAGGAGAAATAAGGCTAGAAAAATAAAGTGGGGCAGAGCTTGGAAAGCTTTGAGGATCTGTATGAGGAGCCTGAACTTAAAAAGTTCTTGAGGATTCTAGGAAGATCCGCAAGATGTGAAATGATGTGAAGTGCACAGAGAATAAAATCAGGGCAATTTGTTTTGATTCCTTAATTAATTTATAAACTTCTTTTATTTTTCATCTATTTGATCTCCTTGGCCATATTGTGCCCAAGATGTGCATTCAGAAAATATTCTAAAGGCCGGGTGTGGTGGCTCATGCCTGTAATCCCAGCCACTTTGTGGGTCCGAGGCGGGTGGATCAGTTGAGCTCAGGAATTTGAGACTAGCCTGGCCAACATGGCAAAACCCCGTCTCTGCTAAAAATACAAAAACTGACCAGGTGCGTTGGCACATGCCTGTAATCCCAGCTACTCAGGAGTCTGAGGCAGGAGAACTGCTAGAACCCAAAAGGCAGAGCTTGCGGTGAGCCGAGATCTCACCACTGCACTCCAGCCTGGGTGACAAAGCAAGACTCCACCTCAAAAAAAAAGTGTGTGTGTATATATATATATATATATATACACACACACACACATATTTACATATACATATATTTATACATATATATATGTGTATGTGTATCTATATATAAAATTGTTTATTGAACCCAAACCAATGAAGTGACAGGATTACCAAGAAACATATGCTCGAGGTTGAAGCCATGAGACTCTGGAATTTTTGCAAATCTTCTAGGGTCTCTCTCTGTCACCCAGGCTGGAGTGCAATGGCACGATCTCAGCTCACTGCAACATCCACCTCCTGGGCTCAAGCAATTCTCTTGCCTCAGCCTCCCTAGTAGTTGGGACTGTAGGCATGCATAGCTACACCCAGCTAATTTTAAAATGTTTTATAGAGATGGTGTTTTGCCGTGTTGCCCAGACTGGTCTTGAACTCCTGGACTCAAGTGATCTGCCTGCATTTGCCTCCCAAAGCACTAGGATTACAGGTGTGAACCACTGCACCTGGCCTGCAAATCTTGTTGCTAATTGATATTAAAGATAACTTGGAAGACAGAGGGCAGGTGGTTCTTCCTTCCGCCATTACCAGTTCAAATGAATAATGTGGCCCCAAAGCACATGATGCTGAGTAACATCGGTATAGGTTCCCCTTCATTACTTTCTCTTTTGTTCAGATCTGCAGGTTGTGGAACCCCAGCCTCAAAGAACTGGCTGGCTACTTTTAGAAAGCCCTAAATTCAAAACTTGAAAGCAGAAAAAAATAGAAAATGATTTTTCATTTGTATTTCCTGTAAAACAACCAACTCTTATTACCTAACTTTAAAATCTCATTGATTTTACAGTTTCCGTCTTTATGTCACCTTTCCAGAAGCTTATTGATTAAACAGTGTGTGTTGTCTTTATTTACCCCCTGCCCACAACCTAGCCTCACTCCACAGCACATCTCCTGGGTGTGCCCTGGAGCTTCCAGCGTTGGAAGCTTTCTGGTTGATAATGCCTATTTTGATTGCAGCAGTAAAGTCACCAAGGACTAGAAATCCCCTGCTTCCCACTTTAGCAACTGAAGCTCATTTTGTTTGTAATTGCTAGATATTTTAGGCGGAAGAGGAATGATGGCTGGATGTGGGGAGAGGAGGGAGGAAAAACATCATGAAGGACTCTAGCTAAGAGCTTTCCAGAAAGACAACGGCTTTCCATTCAGTATTTGGAGTTTACTTGTCTAAAATATTTTAGCAAAATTGCTATAGCTCTAAGCTGCATTGTCAAGTCACACCATGAAGACAAACATCTCGTGTAGCAGGTCCTTGCAAGGAAACAGCAAAGGGAAGGGGGAAGGGTTACTCCCTACTGCCAATGACTGGTCATAGCCAAGCTTTGGCTATTAAATTAATTGCCCATCAACATCACAAATGCCCAGGGTAGGGGGGCCACTAAAATAATTATGGTAGATCAGTCCCTTTCATGACCATTAGTGCAATTCTGCAAAGGCTCCCAGGCCACTAACTCTTTCAGCACATCATCTCAAGAAGTATCCTAACTGTACTCTTAGATGACCATTTGGGGTACATGTTTGGGAGGGGAGTTGTAAATAATTTCCTACACTGATGATGTGGTGTGCCTTAGTGATGGGTAAGGCCACATTCTTATCATCAGTAAAGAGATCATGCTATCATTAGGAGCTGCCCAACTGGAAG
Organism: Homo sapiens; assembly: GCF_000001405.40. NCBI lineage: Eukaryota > Metazoa > Chordata > Mammalia > Primates > Hominidae > Homo > Homo sapiens. The sequence goes on along the minus strand of NC_000018.10, from coordinate 50,831,877 downwards.
AGTGTCACCACCATAATTCTTTATTAATTATAACTCATTGAATAGTGGTGTTACCCCAAGAAGTTGCTGTGGAGACCTTCACCCAATGAGTGACCATCTTGTGCACAACAGAGAAAGTCTATTGTCATAAACAAGTTAACACCCTACCACACACAAATTACAGTAGTACTAAACAAAATGTCTATTTACTTAAGCTACTATTACATTTAATTAGTTGCTGGGAAATAAGAAATGCATCTTCTAACAAGCTAACTCATTATAATTCCTGTCTTGCTTCTGTAGAATCACATTCAAGTGTTACGAATGCCTCAAACAATTGTTTGCTTCCGTGAAAGTGAAAAGAAACACTAAAAATGTGATAAGGATTTTAAAGACTCAGATAAATGAAAGAATAATTTGCTAAAAGCCCATCATGTGCCAAGTACTGTGCTGGGGGCCATGGGTTTGGAGTCAGGTCCTCCGAAAGCTGAAACACAGGCCTTGCTTTCCACAGGCTCACAGACCAGGGGCAGGAGATTCCCATGTGATAATTTGAATATAAATTGGTTAGTGCTACAGGCCTTCTCAGAATTGCAGAGGGCATGGAGAGAGATTGGTCAGGCTGTAAGATCTAGGGAGGATTTTCCTTGTGGGGTTTAAACAAGGCCTGGAAAAAATGCTTAATTGGGGTGAGGTGGGGGAGCAATAGAGAGGGTTGCATAGTCCTAGACATGAAAATAGACAAGAGGCCGGGCGCGGTGGCTCATGCCTGTAATCCCAGCACTTTGGGAGGCTGAGGTGGGTGGATCCTGAGGTCAGGAGTTCGAGATCAGCTTGGCCAAGATGGGGAAACCCCGTCTCTACTAAAAATACAAAAATTAGCCGTGTGTGGTGGCGGGTGCCTGTAATCCCAGCTACTGGGGAGGCTGAGGCAGGAGAATTGCTGGAGGCCAGGAGGCAGTGGTTGCAGTGAGCCGAGATAGTGCCACTGCACTCCAGCCTGGGTGAAAGAGCAAGACTCTGTCTCAAAAAAAAAAGAAAAAAAGAAAATAGACACAAAATGTAGACATTTTCGAGGAAGTGAAAGGAGCTGACTGTAATGAAAGTGTGAGTCTGTGATGTCTCTGAGCTGGGAGGACAGCAGAAGGGAAGCAGATATGATGTGGGGCAGCCATGTGGCTGGGTTAGGACACTGGCAGGCCTGTGCAACCCCGAGAGTGAACACCTCCTAAAATTCTCCTAGGACATGTGTCTTTCTGGTCTCGCCTTAGTCCTGCCCCCGATTCTATAGAACAAACATCTTGATAAACACTGGACAGAAGAGCCCAGCTTGCAACTTCTTTAAGGGCAGGAATCATATCGTTTTTTCAATTTTTTTTTTTTTGAGGCAGAGTCTCGCTCCGCGCCCAGGCTGGAGTGCAGTGGCGTGATCTTGGCTCACTGAAGGTTCTGCCCCACTGGGTTCATGCCATTCTCCTGTCTCAGCCTCCCGAGTAGCTGGGACTACAGGCGCCCGCCACCACGCCCAGCTAATTTTTTTGTACTTTTAGTAGAGATGGGGTTTCACCGTGTTAGCCAGGATGGTCTTCATCTCCTGACCTCGTGATCTGCCCGCCTCGGCCTCCCAAAGTGCTGGGATTACAGGTGTGAGCCACCATACCCAGATTTTGTTTTGTTTTGTTTTGTTTTTGAGACAGAGTCTCCCTTTGTTGTCCAGGCTGGGGTGCAGTGGTGGGATCTCGGTTCACTGCAACCTCTGCCTTTCAAGTGATTCTCCTGCTTCAGCCTCCCGAGTAGCTGGGATTAAGGGCACGTGCCACCACACTTGGATAATTTTTCTATTTTTAGTAGAGATAGGGTTTCCCCACGTTGGCCACGCTGGTCTCGAACTCCCTACCTCAGGTGATCCACCTGCCTCAGCCTCCCAAAGTGATGGGATTACAGGCTTGAGCCACCGTGCCCAGCGTTTTTCAATTTTACATTTATCTGTCTATTCCCTGTGCTCTAGTGCTGGACAGAGAGACTGGGACCTAGAAGATTCTCAAAAATGTTTATCAAATGAATAAATATTTGTTTAATGACACAGGGTAACCAAGGCAAATCTGGTAAGCAAATGAATAGTGGAGTTTTAAATAATCAGTCTCCAAATAGAAATTCAGCAATAAAAGAGTATTTGTTGTGTTAATGTGTCAAGAGAAGACCTTGGCCTGGAATGAGTTCAGTATTTAAAACCCATTTTCCAAGGGGTAGAAGAATGGAATGTGTATAACTTTGGATCAAAATGTGTATAAGTTGTAATCAAACTCAAGGTCTGATGCCTTGACATTGGGAAAAATACATGATTCAAAAGGCAAAACTGCAAAGCAGAAAAATGTTTTGTAAAATCTGTAACAGTTAAAATGCTCTCCTCTGACAATCTTTACTGAAGGGAATTTTTTAAAAGTCATTTAATACAAATACGTCATCTTAAAAATAAACATATAAATGTCACTCTTTTCTTAGGTTTGAGGTTGCTATGTTACTTACTTACATTAAATGTAACTTCTGTTAATCGAAAGAAAATCTTTTTTTTTGCCCTCTTTTTGTGGAATAATGTATGTGTAGTCTAAGTAAATATTCATTTGAGGCCGGGCGCAGTGGCTCACACCTGTAATCCTAGCAGTTTGGGAGGCTGAGGCTGGAAGATCACTTGAGCCCTGGAGTTCAAGACCAGCCTGGGCAACGTGGTAAGACCCTATCTCTTCAAAAAAATAAAAAAATAGCTGGGCATGGTGGTGCATGCCTGTAGTCCCAGTTACTAGGGAGGTTGAGGTAGGAGGATCGCTTGAATCTGGAAGGTCAAGTCTGCAGTGAGCCATGATTGCACCACTGCACTCCAGCCTGAGTGATAGAGTGAGACCTGGTCTCAAGAAAGAAAAAAAAAGTCATTTGAGAGAATATATTCTTAGCATAAAATTTATTATAATGAATTCAGCTTTATTTTATCATAACGGTGGTTTACATTTCAGAAACAAACAGAAAGCTAGAATTCTTCTTTATCTGGGGACTGAAATCAAAATGAGAAAGGCAGCAAATGTCATTCTTCTACACCCATTTAGTATGGTAGAATCAAGGAAGGACAGTAGGTTTCTAACAGCCCCTGGGTTTTTAGGTGATGGGCAGCTCTGCTTGCACTGTATTTATCCTCCACTAGGACCGAATTAATAAAAGAAAGTGAGCTTAATGATATTCTTTTTCTATGATTAAATATATTCACTGTCCAATAGATACATGAATGTAGCATCTGTTTGTTTTCAGAAGCAAGAATTGTGAGGTAGAAATGCCCCTAGAGAACAGCGGTGCATAGAGGGTGTGTCTCCTGGGTCAGCACCCAGCCTTCACCACCTGCCTCCTGCCTCCCTCCCTTCCTTGGCCCCATTGCTATATCAAAAACCCCTGCAGTCTATTTTTTCATGTATTCTGTTGGGGGGCATGTACACAGAAATTAAACAACACCTCTTAGACTTGTTTTTTGTTTTGTTTTGAGACGCTGTAATCCCAGCACTTTGGGAGGCCGAGGCGGGTGGATCACCCAAGATCAGGGGTATGAGACAAGCCTGGCTGACACGATGGAACCCCGTCTCTACTAATAACAGAAAAATTAGCTGGGCGTGGTGGCACATGCCTGTAATCCCAGTTACTCTGGAGGCTGAGGCAGGAGAATTGCTTGAACCCAGGAGGCAGAGGTTGCAGTGAGCTGAGATCACACCATTGCACTCCAGCCTGGGTAACAAGAGTGAAACTCCAACTCAAAAAAAAAAAAAAAAAAGAAAGTAATAAATGCTTTCAGTGAGAAAATTCAAATAATATAGAAAGGTAAACATTTGAACTGAAAGCTTCCTTCTTCACCCAATTACTCTCTTTCTAGAAGGCTCCTGTTAATAATTTCTCAAGTGTCTTTTCAGAAAAAAGGGCTATGTACCAGCATATATTTCTTTTTGAAATGTACATAATTGAATTATAATATATTTTATTTTATACCTTGGTCTTTTCACTTAATAAACTTTGAACATGTTTTCATTATCAGTGTCTACAGTATAGATCTTCCCATATTCTTTTTATAATGCTTCCTAGTATTCTATTGTATAAAGGTATTCTAATCTATTTATATACAGTGTGCCCTGCTGGTGGACATTTGTGATAATTTATTTTGCTGTTACAATGAATACCCTTTTACATATAACTCGATATCTTCTTTCATATGAATTCATGAGGTCACTGGGCCGTTGCATGTAGTTAGATAAGTTGTACACTGCATAAAGTGCCTTTTCTATGAGGGCACCATTCAGTTTGTAGACACCATAAATTTAAATAGTTATTATGATACTCTTCTGGAAGATAGACATAAAATCTCCTGATGAGGGGATACTTTATTCTAATTTGAACAAAGTCACCATGGCCCTGGGTAAATCAATATTAACAGAACAACTGAGTCAAAGGGCATATGCGGCCAGGCGTGGTGGCTCATGCCTGTACATTGGGAGGCCAAGGCGTGTGGATCATCTGAGGTCAGGAGTCTGAGATGAAACTCAAACTCAGGAGTTTGGCAAAAGCCTGTCTCTAGTAAAAATATAAAAATTAGCCAGGCATGGTGGCGCATGCCTGTAATCCCAGCTGCTCAGGAGCTACCTAAAAAAAAAAAAAAAAAAAGAAGGCATATGCACATGGACTTTTGATAAACTATTGTCAACTTTCCCTGCAAAATGTTTGTACCAAGAGAGATTGATTTTTGACAGACAATAGGGCTTGATTTCTAAGATCTAAAACATACTGTGTTGTTTTAAGTCATGGTCAACTTTTATTTACCTGAGGTTGTAAGAAAGAATGAGAATAGGAATAGCCAAAAGCTACCTCCCCAAAAATTCTCAATGAGAAAATCAGGTAATTTGCATGTTACCTGTTTTCCTTTCCTTTCTAGGGATGATCTAATGCACAATCCCTTGAAGGATTGGATGCCGGCAGGAGACAAAATAATCTGCTCTAGTTGCAGGGCACCTGAAACCTGCATAGTTGGTTCCTGAACATATATATGTTGATAAAAATGTTTGCTTTTGTTCTTTTTTTTTTTTTTTTTTTTCTGAGACAGAGTGTCACTCTGTTCTCCAGGCTGGAGTGCAGTGGCATGATCTTGGCTCACTGCAACCTCCACCTACTGGGTTCAAGTGATTCTCCCACCTCAGCCTCACCAGTAGCTGGGACTACAGGTGCCTGCCACCACGCCTTGCTAATTTTTGTATTTTTAGTAGAGATGAGGTTTGGCCATGTTGGCCAGGCTGGTCTCGAATTCCTGACCTCAAGTGATCTGCCCACCTTGGCCGCCCAAATTGTTGGGATTACAGGTGAGCCACTGCGCCTGGCTGTTCTTTTGTTATTTACTGGGGAAATTAAATGAACAATAATGGGAAAGGTGCAGTAATGCTGTGATGGAGTTGTGGTGGGAAGCTGGTATTATGGGATCAAAGACAGACTGTTGTAATGTATCTATTGTGGGGTATATAAAAAAAAGGTTCTACTCTTAGAGTCTTCTCCAATCTCTCAAGGAAGAGTCAACAGTTCCAATAATGGACTGGATCTTTATCACGGCAGCAGGCCTGGTAAAGCACTTTTGGGCATGGGTTTATTGTTTTATTGGTCACATTGTGCCTGACATTACACTCATTGTCATAAAACGCCTACAGGTTTGTCGCTTTGTGGGATTCGACTGGATTCTACTCTAAGTATAAAATTGAGGGACAAGCCGTGGAATGTTAAGACTATGAGAGGAAGGAATATGTTAAGCAATGCTCAAAACAAACTTAAAATAGAAACAAGGCAGGTGGGGGTGGGGGAGGGGGCAGAGAAGAAAACAAGTTGAGAAAAGATTTTTAAAAAGTGGGAGGAAGGAAGGCCATGGGAATAAGAACTCTGCCTTTAGAGGTGAAAGGCAGAATCCATAGAATGACTGGCTGGACAAAGCACAAGAGGAAGCCAAACATTTAGATCCCAATCCCATCAACTAGCTTTGGGACTTTGGGGAAGTTCCCCACTCACTCTTCTCCACTCCCCCAAATTTCCCTATATGTCAAAGAAGCACAAGAATGACCTTTCCAAGGTTGAGAGGAGAAAATGACAAATAGCCTAAGAACACTTTGAGGTGTTAAGAGCAGAAATCATAGGCAGTGTTGTCTGCAGGATTGGTTTGATGTCTCGTGGTGCCGTTTACTGATTTTGTTCTCTTCCACAATAAAACATGTGTAGCTTTCTCACTGGGCCCTCGCACAAATAGGAAATGTAATGTGAGAATCTTAGAAGTTTGCAAAACTGCATCATTTAGAATGTATCACTAGCAATTATCAGGGGCAGATAGCAGAGGCCTTATTACGTATTTCTCTCTTGTGATAAAACTCTAATCTGGCCTATGTTTCATCCTTAAGGACAAAATGTGGCTTATTGTTCACTGCAAGCTTGTTTAAAGGACAGAGATGTTTCTAGATTGATTCATATTCACCCTTCATGAGGATGAGCACAGAGCAAGAAGCTAGCCACGCTGGGCTCCTCATTGCCTAGCTCAGGTAAGACAGCACAGAACAGTTTCAGGACTCAACTGATTCTGTTAGACACTGTAGTTCAACACAGTTGATAGACTGCTATAGACTTAACCAGTTCAACTGAAAAATGTTTACAGAAGTTCATAATTACCTTTTGGAAGTAGGGGTGTTGGTGATGGTGTGGGAGTAATTAATATCTCAGGTAGGAAAGGCATTTAAACTTGAACTTACTTTTTTTTTTTAATTTTTTTTTTTTTTAAGATGGAATCTTGCTCTTGTGGCCCAGGCTGGAGTGGAGTGCAGTGGTGCGATCTCGGCTCACTGCGACCTCTGCCTCCCAGGTGGTTCTCCTGCCTCAGCCTCCGAAGTAGCTGGGATCACAGGCATGCACCACCACACCTGGCTAATTTTTGTATTTTTAGTGGAGACAGGGTTTCACCACATTGGCCAGGCTGGTCTTGAACTCCTGACCTCAGGTGATCCTCCCGTCTCGGCCTCCCAAAGTGTGGGGATTATAGGCGTGAGCCACTGTGCCGGCCTTTTTTTTTTTTTGAACTTTTTTTTAAAAGACAGTGTCTTGGCTGAATGTGGTGGCTCATGCCTGTAATCCCAACACTTTGGGAGGCCGAGGTGGGCGGATCACAAGGTCAGGAGATCGAGACCAGCCTGACCAACATGGTGAAACCCTGTTTCTACTAAAAATACAAAAAATTAGTCAGGCATGGTGGCACGCACCTGTAGTCCCAGCTACTAAGGAGGCTGAGGCAGGAAAATTGCTTGAACCCGGGAGGCAGAGGTTGCAGTGAGCCGAGATCGCAATATTGCACTCCAGTCTATGCAACAGAATGAGACTCTGTCTCAAAAAAAAAAAAAGAAAGAAAAAAAAAAAGAAAAGACAGTGTCTTGCTCTATCACCCAGGCTGGAGTGCAGTGGCATGATCATGGCTTACTTTAGCCTTGACCTCCTGAGCTCAAGCAATCCTCCTGCCTTAGCCTCCTAAGTAGCTAGGACCACAGGTACATGCCACCTTGCCTGGGTAATTAAATTTTTTGTTTAACTATAGAGATGGGGGTCTCCCTATGTTGCCTAGGCTGGTCTCAAACTCCTAGGCTCAAGTGATCTTCCTGCCTCAGCCTCCCAAAGTGTTTGGATTACAGGTGTGAGCCACCATGCCTGGCTAAACTATTATTTGCATTTATCTTATACTGAATGTATTCCTAGGCCATGTTGTTTCTTCAGTTTCTTGTGGGATACCTTTTTCTTGTGTGTAAATATCTCTTCTGGTTTAGAAACAATTTGTTCCTTTTCAGCGAGGATCATCTCCATGTAGCAGGGGGATCTCTCATATGGGTTAATCTGACCATGAGCTCTGTAAATATGGTGTATATCTTGGCTTTGCTCAACTGAATGTGCTCAATGATCCAAGAATCTACCTCTAAACCCTGAAGTTCAGCATTGTTCTCTGCATTTTTAAGCACATGCAGCAAAAATTCAACACATTTTTGGGCCACCAATCCTGTGTCCAGCCCCATTGTTTGGCCTGGGCACACATGTCAGCTCCACCTTTGTAATGACGGAAAGGCACACAGTGCCTCTGAAAAGTGACATCTTTCAGGTACTTGGTGGTTTTTTGGGTATGCATACCTTGATGGCCTGCACAGTTACATGGGTGTTCTTAAAGCGAACATAAAGATTTGAGTCCCTTGGTTTGCATGATTTTGTGGAGTTTTCTGGGTCAAGGGATAGGCAAACCATTTTCAGAGATTACCCCTGGCCAAGAGGCTACAGAAAGAGCTTGAATTTTTTCTTGCATTCTGGTACCAACAATAACTATCAAGTAACAAAATAGAGAAAATGGAAGGCATAACAGCCAGATGGAGGGTTGGATGAGACAGCTTACTGTTTATAGAGTTTGGAGAACTGCATCTGGGCGTGAGGAGACCTAGGCCACGGGGCGCTCCTGCCTCCATGTGCTGGAGGGATAAACCCCAGTGCTTCTTCCTGCAGCATCTATTGCATTCAAAGATTAGCAGCCAAAAGACCTTTGTTTTTAGATTAAAACACATAGGTAGAGAAGTGGGAGGAAGCAAATGTGGCATGAAGTTTGGGAAGAGCCTCCCAAGGCTGTCTGCCTTGGAGGCGAGTGGACTGTGGAGGAGTCAGGTTAGGTGGCTCATGGGGTGGCTAGCTGGCGGGCTTTCATGGCCTCGTGTTCTCGCTGGGCCTGCCTCCTGGGAGGCATTTCTCATATGCCTCTCTGTCTAACAGGTTTCACTAAGCGCAGGAGTAGATGCTCCATCCTCTACAAAGGGTTTTCCCGAGTGACTGCCCTTTGACTCATTATCACCTCCTCTCCTTGGCTCTTATCAATTCCTGCCTTGCGCTGTGGGCACGTAAGCCCCAGTCCCAAGTCCTCTACTGGTTGATTCTCCTTGAGAGCGCAGTCCGAGTGTTGGTCCCACCTGCCGAGCACTCTGCCTCCATGGAAGCAGGATCTCAGTAAACACTGGAAGAAAGAAGGAAAGAATGAGAAGCTGCTAAACCCAACCTGTGGCTAAGGAGGTGGCTGATTTTACTTCTTTTTAGAAGTGAAAATCAAGACAGAGTTTAGCTTAGCTGGGGGGCGGGGGGCGGGGGGCGGGGGATGTATTTCCTGAAAGAAGATGAGAGGGAGGAAACTTAAATCTCTCTCTTTAAGATAAATTTCCTGGCAGGGCCCAGTGGCTCATGCCTGTAATCCCAGAGGCAGGCAGATCACCTGAGGTCAGGAGTTGGAGACCAGCCTGGCCAACATGGTGAAACCCCGTCTTTATCAAAAATACAAAAATTAGCCGGGTGTGGTGGCAGGCGCCTGTAGTCCCGCTACTCGGTAGGCTGAGGCGTAAGATTCGCTTGAACCTGGGAGGCGGAGGTTGCAGTGAGCCAAGTTCCCCCCACTGCACTCCAGCCTGGCTGACAGAGTGAGACCCTGTCTCAAAAATAAAATAAAATAAACTAAAAAAGATAAATTTCCTGATTACACATTGTAATACACATGTAATTCACATACAAGGTGAATTGTGGATTGCTTTAGCTTTGCCTGTTGCCCTTTTCATCAGTAATGCAGGCTAAATAATTACCCTCTTTGCTTTTTCCAGTTGTGCCAGCCCCAGTGTACTTCTGGCAATAAGGAAATGTTAATTGAGAATGAAAATAGAGTCATTAAATCCTTACATTAAATAATTATGGTGTGTTCTTTTAAGGACATCATGTTATAGATATGCAAATATGTTGCAATCAAATTATCAAACTTGCCCTCTAATTTCCAAAGAACTGTACTGTGACCCAGGGCCACATAAGGAGAATCTTAGACTCTTGTGGGCATCATGCGTTGATTTTGATGCTTCCCAAGTTTGTGCTGTGTCTGGGATTCTCTAGGGGCAGTTAGCTGCATCCAGGCCGTTTATGAGAAGTGTTTAGTAGAGCTGAGGTCAGCACAGTGCAAGTATCAGAAAGGCTCCTGGATATCAATTCCAGTTCTGGCCCTGATGTTCTTTGTAGTTTTAAGTCAAACAGGAAAATTTATCTGCATATTAGTTCTCCTATTTAACAGTAGAGAAGATACTATTTCTCTGTCAAATATCTTAAAACATGAATACAAAGAAACTTTAGACACAAGGGGTTATTAATAGTTTGTTGTGTTTCTGTTCATGGGGAGGAGGGGATGTAAATTTCAGTTCTGATTCACAAAGGAGATTTTGCAGAGAATCTTTACAATCATACTTTGGGCTTCCTTTCTCCAGTCTCCTCTGTTCTTCGGATAATCTTATTACCTTTTTGGTCATTCTAAGCACTACATGGATTAGTTCAGTATATAGATTATGGCCGTATAAACCTCATTCTCGCTCTTGGCAGATAACCTAACTCTGGTTTTACTGAAAAGATTAAAGCTAATTTGGAAGAATTGAACTCGCCCATTCCTCTCAGTTTTGTGTTGATGTATCTTCATCTCTGTGGCTGCCTCCCAGTTGCAGGCAGAGGCAGCCATCTTTCTTCCTCCTCCAGAGCTAACCCTTTCCCTCGTGCCCTTGATGCCCCCTCCACCTCTTCCTATTACCACTACTTGGCACCAGCCACATATTAGGGCTCCCTTGCAACCACTTTCAAACAAGGCCAGGCTTTATTCCATTTCAAAAAGCACACAAGAAAACCAAAATGCTTTTGCCTGACCTTGCTGTCTCTTCTAGTCTATTTATTGCTTTCCTTTTGCAGCAAGACATCTCAATTTCCTCTTTCCTCATAGCCCCTTAGTTTTGCAGTCTAGCTTCCTTTCTCTGTCACTCTATTGAAATTGTGTCCTCAAATGTCACAGTGGTTCCCTTGTAACTTAATCTGAAGAGGGTGGTGTTTTAGCCTCATTCTTCTTATTTTCTCAGCAGCATCGATTTTCTTTCTGCCTTTTTCTTTCATCTTCCACTCTGACATAGTTCTCTGGTTTATATTTTTCTGTTTATCTCCTGGGTTTTCTAGACCAGTCCAGTGCATAGCATCATGGCTGAGTCCAAGCTCTTACATTAGCCTGCCTGTAGCTGAATTTTAACTGCCACAAATTAACTGCATGACCTTTGTCAAGGTAATCTCCCTGTGCCTCAGTTTCTCCAGCCTTAAAATGGAGACTATAGTAGGAGTATTAACCTTTGGTTTGATGTAACAATTGAATGAGATAGTCTATGTAATATTTATCACAACATTTGGCACACAGAAGTTTTAATTGAATGTTATCTATTAGCATAACAATAAGTGCCTCTGTCTTTGAAAATATAACTGTTCTTTTTTCCTTTCAGGACATATTTTCTCCCTTTATGACCCAATGCAGAGCGAGACGATAACTAATTATTGTTAAATAGATTTATGCACGTGTTTGGAGAGTCAGGGAAGGAGGGCTGATGAGAGAGAGAGGCTCCTAAATTCTGCAGGTGCTGTAATTCCCCGGTTTTAATTTTGCTTTGCTTTTTACCAATAAATCATTTTGAGAGCTTAAATCGCTCCTTTCGGGACATACGGTGTTTCTTGAGCAGGAAGGGACGTCAACGGTTAAAGCTCTTGTTGTTGGTGCAACAATCAGCCACGATGAGGCTGCTTGGCATGGAACACAGTGTCCCATCCTTAGATTAAATGCGCTCTAACAGGATTATGTAAGGAAGGAGGCAGCCACGGCGGCGGCTTTGTGCAGGGGTCGCCTGGAACCCGTCCATTGAGTCATGCCGCCATCTCGCGGCCGCATGGGGAACGGGCCTTGGCAGGGAGGTTTTGTTTGGTGCAGAGGAAAGGTCCCCAGAATTGCCATCTGCAGAATTTCTGCAGAAAGTGTCGACCAGGCTGGCATGAGGGAAGAAGGAGGGGAAATCACAGCAAGGAGAAGGAAAAACACCTCAGCATGGCGTGGGGAAGCAAAGGTAGCAAGTCATGCTTGTGCCACCCTACAATATTCTTGTCGGTTTCATTCCAGAACAATTCCCTCCCCTGCCCAAATACTCTATAAACTTTGACTTTCCCCTCTTATTTGATTCTCACTTTCCAACACTCTGTGCCGACCCGTTATCCTGGACAGACCCTGCGTCACCTCCTAATTTCCCTTCTTGTATGTTAGGAATTCAGGGCTGGGAAAATTTAGCCGAGTCATCACATTTGGCTACTACCCGGGAAAGCAGCCCTCCCGAGTCAGGAACGGGCTCCGGTTCATCACGTGGCAGCCGCCTGCAGGAGCCGCAGGTAAGGGACACTGTTGGCCGGGGCAGCCAGATGCAGCGGGAGGCGTCCTGGCTGCACTTGGGTTCCCAAAACCTTTCTGGAATGTCACTCTGGTCACCAGTATGGGAGCTCGACCTCTAGGGGGTAGGATTTGGTAATGTTCTCTTTGTAAAACTGAAGTGGGCAATGTTGACCAGGAAGCTGATTTTGTTTGCTTTTCACAAACTATGTTAATCGATCAATAGTTGGGTTATAGATCATTCTATTGTCAGCAATATAATAGAATGGCAGGGACTCAGGGAAGATATTGACACTTTAAACTGAAATGTCTATGCGGTCTGTCTTCCCTCGTTCAGCTCACAGGACATTGCCTGGGAGCTGAACCTAGGCTTATAGCACAGTGACTGAAAGGATATCTTTCAGAGTCCTAAAATCTGCTCTGCCAGTATTTGACTTTGAGTTAATTGTTCAACATTACTTTAAGCCCAGTTTCTTCTTTTCTAAAATGAAGACGATTTTTTTAATATTAATTTTTTTTTTCATTTTTTTGAGACAGGGTCTTGTTGTGTTGCCCAAGCTGGGGTGCGGTGGCCCGATCTCGGCTCACTGCAACCTCTGTCTCCTGGGTTCAAGTGATTCTTCTGCCTCAGCCTCCTGAGTAGCTGGGACTACAGGTGTGCACCACCATGTCTGGCTAATTTTTGTATTTTTAGTAGAGGCGGGGTTTCACCATGTTGCTCAGGCTGGTCTTGATCTCCTGACCTCAAGCAATCTGCCTGCCTCAGCCTCCCAAAATGCTGGGATTTATAGGCATGAGCCACCACACGCAGCCTACTATTGTCATTTATAAGTTCAGTGTTGGAAGGATTTTTAAGCAATCTAACAGTTTCTTCTGCTCATTTTACAGATGAGATAAAATCAAAGTGTTTTATAATTTTGGCCTTCATAATATACCTTTTGGCTTCAATAAATAAAAGGATTATTGACCAAAAATCTAATATTTTGAGTCAGAATCATTCAAGTTTGCAAAAGCAGATGGGAGTCAGTGTAAAGCATAAAACAGTCTTCTAAGTTACCCCAAATCCATGTATCTTCAGTAAGATCAGGTAGAGCACAACCTGGCAATGAACACAAGCCCCAGCCGGGGTCTTGGGGTTCGTGAAAACCAAGGGGTCTGCACATAGCTCACTCAGGGGTATGTTCCAGAGGAAGAAGAATTCGTTGAAGAACGTGTGCAGAGATGAGTAAAACTATAAGCAGAGCTGTGTCTTTGGCTTCCAAATGGCCAGGTGACCTCCTGGTCTTGGTCATACAAGGCTAGGCATATGTGGTGACCATAGAAACCCACCAGAAAATGTAATTCTCCTAGGAAAGAATGCCTGTCTTACGGGTGAGAGGGCTTGGAGAAGGAGTTAGAACATCCTAAGAAATCTTGGAATCTGTATACTACGTTCATTCACAGTGTGTTTAAAACGATCCTCTCTGAGATCCTGTGTTGCAACAGATGAGAATGATCCTTTTGTTTTTGTTGGATTGGGTGTAAAGGACTTCATGTTTTAGAAAGGAGGGAGGCACTGCAGGCAGGAAGGAGGGCATGGGGCGGGGGGTGGGAGTTCTTTAAGAAGCTGCAAGTACAAGAAACACAAGGCTCCAGCGAGGGGCCTTGTGACCTTGATTTAACTCCTAATTTGTTTTATTTTTTAATGAAACTTTTAACTGAAGAATAGCATCCTAGAAAAGTTGCATAAATCATAGACAAACAGCTGCTGTGATTTTAATTTTATTTTTAAAGTGAAATTCAAAGTGCTTCACAAACATATGGTATCAATCTCTTGTTCTCTGCAAAGACACTGACCTCTTTCTCTTTCTCATCCCTCGGCCCCAGCTCCCTCCCTGACTTCCATGGTTTCTGCTACTGCATGGGCTCGGATTAGCTTTATTTAATTTCCAGGATAGAGGTTCTTCTATACCAACAGGCGTGTAGCATCACCAGGCACCACATACAAAAAGTGCAATGCTCAGGCCCGACACTCCCTGAGATTCAGATCCAATAATTCTGGGGCAGGCCTGGAGTTTATTGTTATTATTATTATTTATTTTTATTTTTTAGAGACAGGATCTTGCTCTGTCAACCCAGCTGGAGTGCAGTGGCGCAATCATGGCTTACGGCAGCCTCAGACTCCTGGGCTCAAGGGATGCTCAGCCTCCCAAAGTGCTGGGATTACAGGTGTGAGCCACTGCACCCACCTCTGGCTTGGAGTTTGTAACACGTACCCCGGGGAATTCTGATATAGAAGGTGCAACCAACACTGAGAAATGCTCTACTTTTCCTGCACCCAAGATTGAGATGATCCCTGACAACCTGTAAGATTAAACCACATCACAGTTTTTCTCTTGTGATGGGGAGGTAGGGTTTGCTAGAAGAGGTAGTGAGCTCAAGATGTAACTCTGTGAGTTTCTCTAATCACAGATCGAATCTTCCAGGTGGAGCCACTCAGTTCTCATTTACTTTGCCGTGCATGGGAGCATGACCTTGAGTTCTACTTACGCCTATGAAGGCGATGCTGGCTGCTTGGTTTCTGAAGCCTGGGGAAGTTGCCTTGGCTGGCTAAAGCCCTTAGCTGTTATGCTAATCTTGCAAGAGAAGTCAAGCAGAAAGAACAGGGTAGCAGGTTTGTTTTCTTTACCAATGGAAAGGAGCTTCAGGCATGATTTTCTTATGCCTTGGAACAGAGATACCAGCTGTTTTATAATGAGGCCCACACCCTCCTTGGTGAGTGGGCCCTCAGCTTGAGGGAGTTTTGCTTCTTTTATTTTGATTTTGAAATTTGAGATTTTTTCATTTGAAGGTAATCTTAATGCTATTAAATTCATAAATATGCTAATTTAAATACCCAATCCTATTTATTTAAAATAGACGTTGCAAGCGTACAAATATTCTCTCCACATGTCAGCACCCATTTAGATCATGGTTTGGAAATGGGGAGAATAGAATTCCCTTAAACTGCAAGTCAGCTGGTGTTTCTTTACAGCTAACGTTAGCAAAATTTATGCAAAGCAGTAATTCACAATGATCTTCTTTATTTGTTAACCCACAAGGAAACACCCTCAAAACTATTCTGTTAAAGTGTCTGTTCAGAAATGTGGAAAAACTGAACTATATAAATATTGAAAAGTTAAAAATTCCTTAATTTTTTATTCTTGGAACCACTACCACAATTTACAGGGCAATATACCTGATGTAATGAAAAGAAAAAGAAAAAGAAAAAGCTATAGCAGATAAAAGACCATAGGGATGTTCATCTAGCCAATGCTACATTGCATTATCAATAGCTGCACTTTTTGCAAACTGTGGCTATGACAGTCCTGAACAAGAAAGGTTTTCTGTTTAAGCTGCAGTAACTTTTCTAACTATGTATCATCGTTTCTTCCGTGGCAGATTTTTAGTTCCTAATGCATTTGGGACAACTGTTTCAAGGTAACTTGCTGCTTTCCCAAAACTTCTTGTTCTTTCTCCTGCTAAGAACTGTATCCCTTTTCTGCTGTTTTTATTTTTTTATTTTTTTTGGAGACAGAGTCTCACTCTACCCCCCATGCTGGAGTGCAGGGGCATGATCTTGGCTCATTGCAACCTCTGCCTCCCGGGTTCAAGCGATTCTCGTGCCTCAGCCTCCCAAGTAGCTGGGATTACAGGCACCCGCCACCATGCCCAGCTAATTTTTGTATTTTTAGTAGAGACGGGGTTTCACCATGTTGACCAGACTGGTCTCGAACTCCTGACCTCAGGTGATCTGCTCACCTCGGCTTCCCAAAGTGCTGGGATTACAGGTGTGAGCCACCGTGCCCAGCCTTCTTTTCTGCTGTTTTTAGAACCTTCTGTTACCATATCCACCATTTCCACTACCAGATCCATAACGGTCACCACAGGGACTGCCTGAACTTCTTCCACCAAAACTGCCCCCTTTCATGCATTCATAATTTGATCGCTGTTTCCAAGATCATTATAGTTTCCACCACCACCATAGTTACCACCACCAAAATTTCAATGTAACCATCATATCATCCACCACTGCCACCATATCCACTACCTTGGTTTCCATATCCTGGTCCACCACCACCACGGCCCCCTCTACTATTACGACCAGGATCACCACCCATAGTGGCTACCATCACCTCCAAATCCATTCTATCCACTGTCATCTCCTGCATAACTGTCTCTGCTACCATCACCTTCACCACCATAGCC
This sequence comes from Homo sapiens, assembly GCF_000001405.40. NCBI lineage: Eukaryota > Metazoa > Chordata > Mammalia > Primates > Hominidae > Homo > Homo sapiens. Next base: position 50,815,355 of record NC_000018.10, on the reverse strand, counting down.
TCCTTTCCACCAAAGTTCCCACCACGGCAAAAATTATCTCCACCACCTCCAAAGTTTCCTCCATGACCAGCCAAGTTGCCAGATCCACTTCCATGACCTCTTTATGACCTGGTAGACTCCATCTCATTTAGAAAGGACACTTTTTACTTCACAATTATGCCCATTAATGGCGTGGTATATCTGAATAACAATTTCATCATTTGTTTCATGATCATCAAAAGTTACAAGAGCAAATCCTCTCTGTTTTCCACTCTGCCTGGCTTCCATAACTTTTTTATTTTTTATTATTATTTTTTGAGACGAAGTCTTGCTCTATCACCCAGCTGGAGAACAGTGGCATGATCTCAGCTCACTGCAACCTCTGCCTCCTGGGTTCAAGCAATTCTCCTGCCTTAACCTCCCAAGTAGCTGGGATTACAGGCACGTGCCACCATGCCCAGCTAATTTTTGTATTTGTAGTAGAGACGGGGGTTTCACCATGTTGGTCAGGCTGGTCTCGAACTCCTGAGCTCAAGTCATCTGCCCACCTCAGCCTCCCAAAGTGCTGAAATTACACGCGTGAGCCACCGTGACTGGTTCATAACTTCTGTGGTTTCAATCTTGTCACTCTTTTCAAAGGAGTCTCTCAAATTATATTCTTCTGTCTCTTCCTTATTACTTCCCGACAAACATTTTCTTTACTGTTGGATGGGCACCAGGCTTTACAGAACCCTCTCTAGAGACAGCTGTCTTTGGTTCCGCTATATGCCCATCAACCTTATGTGGTTGAGCACACTTTGCTGCATGAGCGTAAGTCACAAAACCAAGGCCCCCGAGATGTTTTGTTTGGGAGTTTCTCCTTACCACACAGTCTGTGGGTGTGCCCCATTCCTCAAAATGGTCTCTTAAACGGGCCTCTGTAGTTTCAAAGCTCAGGCCACCAAGAACAGTTTTCTCAACTGCCCTGATTCCCGTGGGTCATGGCTCTCCTCCCCGCCCCCACCTTCACTGGCTGCAGGGGCAGATGGTGATGGCCCGAGTCGGGCTGGGGGCAATCGGATGACAGCTTTGCCTCCACTTTGAGTTTTTTTTTTTTTGAAGGTAATCTTAATGCTATTAAAATTCACAAGTATGCTAATATAAATAACCAATCCTATTTGTCTAAAGTAAGATTGTGTTCAACCCCTCGTTCAACATGGGACAGGAGTTTTACGTCTTTTAGTCTCCCTGTACCCATTGTCAGGCACCTGTCGGCTCTGATCTGGAGCATCTGACCTGAGAATCATTAGGTTCTATTGAAACATGAAGTTGTTAAAAGAAAAGCCCCAGAAAGAAACAACCAAGCATGTTTTTTGACTCTATGTGAATTTAAAATTTTTAAATTTTATTTTAGTTTCAGGGGTACATGTGTGGGTTTGTTATAAAGGCAAATTGTGTGTTGTGGGTGTTTGAAGTACAGATTGTTTTGTCACTCAGGTAATAAGCATGGTACCCAACAGGTAGTTTTTCCATCTTCACCCTCCTCCCACCCTCCAACCCTCAAGTAGGCCCTGGTGTCTGTGGCCTTCTTTGTGTCCACAAGTACTCAACATTTAGCTCCCACTTATAAGTGAGAACATGAGAACATGCAGTACTTGGTTTTCTGTTCCTGTGTTAGTTTGCTTAGGATAATGACCTCCAGCTCCATCCTTAATGTGAATTTTAAAATCCCTTTATTCTGGAGAGAAGCTACACTGTACTGCTGTGGTTTCTTTCTGTTAATGCAGTGGTTCTCCAAGTGTGGTCACCAAACCAGCCACATCCCAGTGTCCCCTGGGAGCTTGTTAGAAATAGAAATTATTAGGCCCTGCTGCCGATGCACAGAATCAGAAACTCTGGGGCCTAGGCCTGGGAATGTGTGTTTTAACAAGTCTTCCGGGTGATTCTGATGCACACTGAAGTGTGAGAACCACTGGTTTAATGAGGAAGCCTGTGGGAATACCTTCAATCAAACAGAGAGAATCTCAGTTCAGCCAGGTAACTGATGGAAAGAGAAACTCTTGCTAATTGGTGGGGGTGCAGTTTTCTGGGGTTTTATTTTGGTGCCCCATTGCAGTGGTGAGAAGATTCCTGTTGGCCAGATATGAAGGAGATATAGGTCCTGGAAGTTAGGCGGTGAGGGAGTGTTTTCATGGACCTCTCCAGAATGGAGCAAATCCACCTGGGGTTTCATGGACCAAATCCACCCAGGGAGCAAGGATGGCAGAGAAACCGAGTCCCCATGCACCTCCAGATCAAGTGAGTCAAATGTTCCAAAGTACAGCTGTTGAAAAGGGTCAGGTTGCATCAGAGAGGAGTGTGTCTTGGTTTGGCCAGGACTTTTCCAGCTTTAGCAATGAAAGTCCCATGTCCCTGGAAGCTCCCCAGCCCTGGGTAAACCAAGGCAGTTTGTCACTGGTCACTGTAGTTCAGTGACTGCCTGCTGGAATTACTTGGTGGGCTTTAAAAAATACTGATGCCTGGGTCTCCCTCCAGAGATAATGGCAGACTTAGTCTGGAGGTTTAGAAGTTCCTCAGGTGATCCTAATGTAGCCAGGGTTAAGAATGGCTGCAGCTGCTTGCCTGCCATCTCTCCTATTAAAAAAAATAAAACACAAAACACATACAAGTCAATGGTTCTAATGCAGTTGAACCCCTACCATGTATTATATACAAATATTAACTCAAAATGGATCAATGACCTAAATAGAAATGTGAAAACTATAAAACGCTTAAAAGAACATATAGGGGTAAATCTTCATGACCTTAGATGTGGCAATAGATTCATAGATTTAACACTAAAAGCATGAGTAAGAACAACAAAAATAGACAAATTGGACTTCATTAAAAATAAAAACTTTTCTGCACAACAGACGTTATCCAGAAAGTGAAAAGACAGCCCACAGAATGGGAGAAAATATTTGTAAATCATACGTCTGGTAATAGTCTAGTATTCAGAATATATAAAGAATTCTTACAACTCAGAAAAAGACAAACAACCCAACTGACAATGAGCAAAGGATTTGAATGGAAATTTCTCCAAAGAAGACATAGAAATCACCAACAAGCACACGAAAAGATGCTTAGCCTCATTAGTCATTAGGGGAATGCAAATAAAAACCACAAAGGATAGACCACTTCATACCTACTAACATGGATCTAGTAATAATAACAATAATAATGGAAAATAAATGTTGGTAAGGATGTGGAGAAATTGGAACCCTCATACGTTGCTGGTGGGTATGTAAAATGGTGTAACCACTGTGGAAAACAGTTTGGTGGTTCTTCAAAAAGTTAAACATAGAATTACCATATGATGGCCAGGCTAGGTGGCTAACGCCTGTAATCCTGACACTTGGGAGGCTGAGGTAGGCAGATCACTTGAGGTCAGGAATTCAAGACCAGCCTGGCCAACATGCTGAAACCCCGTGTCTACTAAAAATACAAAAATTATCCAGGCATGGTGGCGTACGCCTGTAATCCCAGCAACTCAGGAGGCTGAGGCAAGAGAATCCCTTGAACCCAGGGTCAGAAGTTGCAGTGAGCTACTGCATTCCAGCCTGGGAGACAGAGTAAGACTCTGTCTCAAAAAAAAAAAAAAAAAAAAAAAAAGAATTACCACATGACTCAGCAATTCTACTCCTAGGTATATGCCCCAAATAAATGAAAGCAGATACAAATAGTTGTGCACAGATATTCATAGTAGCATTATTCAAAATAGCCAAAACAGGGAAACAGCCCAAGTGCCTATCAACAGGTGAATGGATAAACAAATTGTGGTATAACCATACAATTGAATACTATTCAGCCATAAAAAAGAATGAAATACTGATACATGCTACAACATGGATGAACCTTGAAAACAATATACTAAGAAAAAGAAGCCAGTTATAAATGATCACAATAATGTATGATTCTATATATGTGAAATATTCAGAATAGGTAAATCCATAGAGACAGAAGGCAGATTAACATTGCCTGAGGCTGGGGGAGGATGGAATATGGAATGAATGCCTAATGGGTGCAGGGCTTTCTTTTGGGGTGATGAAAAAGTTTTGATATTAGAGGTGGTGGTTGCAGAACATTGTTTGAATGACTAATTGTATGTTACATGGATTTCACCTAAATTAAAAGAAAATCATCAGGTTACTCATATCTACAAAGTACAATTGAAATCAAGCTCTTTAGAAGTCAGAGTCCTCCACAGCTGGCCTTTAGCTAGCCTCTGTAGCCTATCTTCTACCTCTCTCCTACTATTTTAATTGTTACTGCTACCATCACCATGATACTGCATGGGATCCCGTTGACTCCCAATGTGTCATATACGCTCTGCCTCTGCTTCCAAGCTCACCAGTGTGCTTTGGGAAGTCTCCACCAGCTGTTCCAGCCCACGGTCCTCTCTCGACTTCAGTGGCTCTTAACTTTATGCCCCTCACATGTATACATATGCAACAAACCTGCACGTTGTGCGCATGTACCCTAGAACTTAAAGTATAATAATAATTAAAAAAACAAACTTTATGCCCTTGCCACTCAAAGCATAGTCCCTGTTTGGAATCCCCTGGGAGCTTGGAAGAAAGGCAGAATCTCGAGTTCCCGCTGCAGACACACTGAACAAGATCTTCAAATTATTTTAGTGCATATTAAAGTTTGAGAAGTGCTGGTTTGTACTAGTTGGACCCAAGTCAAGCTGTGATCAGAATCACTTGGTAAGCTACATTTATGTATATTATATTCTTTCAATAATACATGCGCATGGTAAAATTACAAGCTGTACATATACAAAAAAGGTGAAAAAAGTAAGTTTCCCTCCAATTTCAGTTCCTCGGATTTCCAGCCCAGAGGCCATCTCTCTTAATGTTTCTTGTGTATTTTTCCTTCTCCTATGCATATGCAAGCATATACGTACATATGTATTTCCTGCCCTCATTCTGATTTTACACGAGTAGTAACATACTGTACACATGGATTTGCACTTTTCACTCAACAGTATATCGTGGAGATTATTTTAGCACATGTTGATCTGCCCAATATTCTTCTTAGTGACTGCATAGCAGTCGTTGTAAAGTTGTATAGTTGTAATATATGTAATTTATTTATGTTCAAACCATTGGCTGGGGACAGTGGCTCAAGCCTATAATCCCAACACTTTGGGAGGCTGAGGCAGAAGGATTGCATGAGCCCAGGAGTTTGAGACAAGACTGGACAACGTAAAAAAAAATAAAAATTAATTGGGCGTGGTGGCATGCACCTGTGGCCCCAGCCACTCAGAGGCTGAGGCAGGGGGACTGCTTAAGCCTGGGAGGTAGAAGCTGCAATGAGCTGTGTTCCTGCCACTGCACTCCAGCCTGGGAGACAGAGCAAAACCCTGTCTCAAACCCCTGCCCCACTCTCCCTTCCCCTGCCCAAACCATTAAAGAACACAATATTGTTTATTACAGTGCTATGGTGGCTATCCTTTGTGTATATCTTTGAACATATGATGTGTTCATATCTATAGGATTAAAGAATTGCCTATTACGTGTGCTTTAAAGTGGTAAGAGATAGTGCCAAATCCTCTCTAAAAAGAGGTACTGATTTACATTCTCAGAGAACTTTTAAAAACACAAAATTTGAGGCTACTCTGTATTTCAATTCATGAGAACTCTGTGGGCAGAGCCTGGGAATCTGCGTTTTACTTCTTTGGTGACAGTGATAAAAGAAATCTGCAGAATGGAGTGGGGAACTAGAGGGCAGATCCCCCTTGACCCCCAAGCTGCTATTCCTCTTGGGCTGCCTTGGGTTGCTATTCATCTGTGTGACTGTTCTATCTCACCACAGTGGAAGGTTCCTAAAGACAGGCCTCAGGATTGCTGCCTCTTTATATTCTTACCCCAGCACAATGCATTGTACAACAATGTTTGTTGATGATGAGTGTCTGTGGCGCATGTGATTTTGTTTTGTTTTGTTTTTAGTTCCATGGACCAAAGACAGAGGAGAATCCTGGGCCAGCCCCTTTCCATCCCTACTTCCCAGCCCAAGCAGAAAAGGACATCAATGATATCTTTCTTTTCCAAGGTCTGACACAAAATATTATGAACAAATTTCTCCTCCCAGCAGCTGTTTTGTAAGATGTATGTTTGCTTGGTCTGTGGTTAGTTAGGCCTGCTCCACTGAAGTTCCTTCTGAAAAAACTTTGATGACAGTTTTTTTTTTTTTTTTTTTTTTTTTTTTTGAGACGGAGTCTCGCTCTGTCGCCCAGGCTGGACTGCGGACTGCAGTGGCGCAATCTGGGCTCACTGCAAGCTCCACTTCCCGGGTTCACGCCATTCTCCTGCCTCAGCCTCCCGAGTAGCTGGGACTACAGGCGCCCGCCACTACGCCCGGCTAATTTTTTTGTATTTTTAGTAGAGACGGGGTTTCACCTTGTTAGCCAGGATGGTCTCGATCTCCTGACCTCATGATCCACCCGCCTCGGCCTCCCAAAGTGCTGGGATTACAGGCGTGAGCCACCGCGCCCGGCCGACAGTTCTTTTAACATGGATAGGATGTTTACAGGATGACAGGAAGATAAGTTGAGAATAATTTAACTTGCTGCTAACTCAATAATACAAATATGGAATGAGGCCGGGTGTGGTGGCTCACCTCTGTAATCCCAGCACTTTGGGAGGCTGAGGCAGGCGGATCACTTGAGCTGAGGAGTTCTAGACCAGCCGGCAACGTGGCAAAACCCTGTCTCTACCAAAAACACAAAAATTAGCTGGGCATGGTGGCATGCACCTGTAGTCCCAGCTACTCAGGGCTGAGGTGGGAGGATCGCTTGAGCCCAGGAAGTAGGGGCTGCAGTGAGTTGAGATCATGCCACTGCACTGCAGCCTGGGCGACAGAGCGAGACGCTGTCTTAAATTAAAAAAAAAAAAAAGATAAGATAAAAAAGGAATGAACTGTAATGAAAATCCAGGAATACTAATGAAGCTTTGAAATCACCAAATCTCATCCATAGCACCACTGAGATAGCTGAATCTCAAGCCAGTCTGCCCCTCTAGGCCCCTTTCTAAGGATGGTAGGGAGGTGGCTTTTGTCTTCTTTGATCTTGTCTGGATATTTCGTCATCTTGATTCTGACTCTAGCACATGTTGCTGTCTTCTGGGTCCTGCTGCACACCAGGGTCTTCCTGCATGAGAGCTCATAGGCTTGCCACAAAGGCTCAGAGACTAGCCTATCTCTTGCCCCATCCCTGGCCCTGCAATTACTTAGAGTTTGGTGTTTGTGTTTGTTTGTTTGTTTGTTTTTGAGACAGAGTCTCGCTCTGTTGCCCAGGCTGGAGTGCAATGGCGTGATCTCAGCTCACTGCAACTTTCGCCTCCCAGATTCAAGCAATTCTCCCTGCCTCAGCCTCCCAAGTAGCTGGGATCACAGGCATTCGCCACCATGCCCAGCTAATTTTTTGTATTTTTATAGAGACGGGGTTTCAGGGTTTCGCCATGTTGGCCAGGCTAGTCTCGAACTCCTGACCTCAGGCGATCCGCCTGCCTCGGCCTCCCAAAGTGCTGGGATTACAGGCATGATAGAGTTTAGTTCTTAAAGTACAGGTGTCTGCATCAGACACACAGTGTTCCCCAATTTGCATTATTCATGCATTTCTCTTCCTGTTCTTAACTGCATGCTCAGATGCATGCATTCTGGAGTTGGGACATCCTTTAAGTGCCCTGAAATGTTTGTAGATGTGTACTACATCAGTGCTGAAATGTTTGTAGATGTGTACTAGATCAGTGCTGAAATGTTTGTAGATGTGTACTAGATTAATCCTGAAATGTTTGTAGATGTGTACTAGATTAATCCTGAAATGTTTGTAGATGTGTACTAGATCAGTGCTGAAATGTTTGTAGATGTGTACTAGATGTTTGCAGATATGCTTTGCTAATTGTGTCAAGTGCTATTGAGAGGTTGAGTAAGATGACTACTGAGAACTGACCCTTGGAATTAGTCATTTGGCAGGGTAGGGGTGAGGGGACATTAGCCTGATTGCAGAGGGTTCAAGAGGCAATGGGAGGAGACAAACGGGAGAAAACAAGTATAGATGTCTTTCAAGGCATTTGGCTACAAAGGAGAGCAGAAAAATGGGAAAGAGCTGGAGAAGAAGGGGTAAAGGGAGCTCTTTGAGGAGTAACGGCACACCTTTCCCTGTGAAACAGATCCCTATTCCCACATCACATCAACACTGATCAAGTCCTCTTTTTTTCAACTTCTATCACACCCATAGCTGCTCTAGAGCCTCTCCCCTTAATCTCCTAAACCTACCTCAACACCAGCCTGCACTATCTTTATTGCCCTCTTTCTCCATCAATTTCTTCGTTATGTAGACCAAATGAGTACATTTCCAACAAAACCCAGCCGTCTTTAGTAGGAGAAAGAAGGGGTAAAATTGAGCAGGCAATCACGGGATTTTCTTTAGAGGGAGAGATTGGGGTTGGGATTGGTATGACTCTGAACACTCCCAAATTAATACATTTTTGACCCATCACCCAGGTCTCTTGGAAACTGAGGTTCCAGAAGCGGGAGCCTCTGAAGAATGTGTTTTTCATCTTGGCAGAAAGAGCTCGGGACCCCAGTGCTAAAAAGCGTCACATGGCAATGAGAAACTTGGGAACCATGGCCTATGAAGCCCCTGACAAGGTAGGGAAGGAGAGTGGGGCTCAGCCAGCTCCCCAAGCCTCTCCAACCACCTTGGTGTGGAGACTCCCAGGGCTGGAGTATGGTGTCTGTTGTATTAGTTATCTATCACCCCGGAACAAACCACCGCACACTTAGCAGCTTACAGCAACACGTGTTGATTATCTCGGGTTTTCGCGGGTCAGGAGTCCAGGTGCAGCTCAGCTGGGTCATCTGCTTAGGATCTCACGAGGCTGCAATCAAGCGTCTGCCAGACTGCATTCCTTCCTGAAGCTCAGGGTTCGCTTACATCGTTGTTGGCAGAATTCAGTTACTTCCCATTGTGGGACAGAGGTTTCTGTTTTTTTGCCTGCTGTATGCCGGGGGCCACTTTCGATGCCTACAGGCCACTCTGTCACAGCAGGCAGCTCACTTCCTCCAGGCCAGCAGGAGGGTGTCGCCTCCTCCTGTCTGCTAAGATAGAGTCTTATGGGCTGGGCCGTAGTGGTTCACGCCTGCAGTTCCAGCACTTTGGGAGGCCAAGGCGGGTGGACCACTTGAAGTCAGGAGTTCAAGACTAGCCTGGCCAACATGGTGAAACCCCATTTCTTTTATATTTTTGTAAAAATACAAAAAATTGCCCAGGCATGGTGGCATGTGCCTGCAATCTCAGCTACTCGGGAGGCTGAGGCTTGAGCAGAGATCACACCAGGCACTCCAGCCTGAGCGACAGAGCGAGACTCCATTTCAAAAAAAAAAAAAAAGATAGAGTCTTATGCAATGTAAAGTCATGTCCGTAGGCTGGAAGCGAGTCACAGGTTCCTTCTGCACTCAAGGGGAGGAGACTCATTCAGGGTGTCACTCATTCAGGGTCATCTTAGGCTCATGACACCTCAGCAATATCAGCTGTGAGAGACAGAGCTGCAGGAAGGATAAACTCACAGCTGTTACCCTTCCTGGTGAATTTAAGTGATTTTTTTTTCTAGTAATTTAATGTTTGTTTCATAAAAGATGTTTTTCCCACCTCCTCCTTTACCATCCGCCAACTTCAGTGTCCATTTTGTCTCCTCCCCACTATAAAGGTACCTAGTTCTCCCCAGGCCCTGAGATCACCCAGGTCTGCTGCCCTATTTGAAGAGCCCCACTGAGCCTCACCCACCCACATGCCACACTCCAGATTGCTCTTTCTGTTTTCCTTCCTAGGCTGAGTTGGGCTCTTGGGTTGGGTTAATGGAAGCATTTGTATTTTAATGAGAGTTGTGCAGATCTTGAAAAAAGCCCTGGTGTGTTAGTTCAAGTCCTAGGTTATTAGTAGCTTAGATGTGGGGTTGCTTTTCAACCTATGGGGAGCAGTTCCTGTGCTATTACTGCTTTTCAAACCTTGGTGACAGGTGAGAAAGTATAAGAAAATTGTCCTCGACCTGCTGGTGTATGGACTGTATGACCCTGTGAATTTGGAAGTCATCCATGAGAGTATGAAGACTCTGACCGTCGTTCTGGGCAAGATCCAGGGGAAAGGTTTGGGTTCCTTCTTCATAGATATCACCCTTCAGACCAGGACTTTATTAGATGACGTAAGTAAATCAGAAAAATTCTGGGTTATTGAAATCAAAATGGGCTTAGAAATATGACTGTGGGGCCGGGTGCGGTGGCTCATGCCTGTAATCTCAGCACTTTGGGAGGCCGAGGCGGGTGGGATCACGAGGTCAGGAGATCGAGACCATCCTGGCCAACATGGTGAAACCCTATCTTTACTAAAATACAAAGAACTAGCTGGGCATGGTGGTGCACGCCTGTAGTCCCAGCTAGTCGGGAGGCTGAGGCAGGAGAATCGCTTGAACTTGGGAGGTGGAGGTTGCAGTGAGCCGAGATCACGCCACTGCACTCCAGCCTGGCAATAGAGCAAGACTCCCTCTCAAATAAAAAAAGAAAGAAAGAAATGTGAGCTGCGGGTGGTTTGTTGCTGTGGGAACAAGGTCTCTAGTATTCACTTATTTATTACCACATCTTGTTGAGAGACTAGTACTGTGCTAGGGGTTGGGAGGACATGTAAAGATGTATAGAATTTTATCTCTAACCCTCAAGGGTTTTTTTGTCTGTTTGAGACAGGGTCTCACTCTGTCACCCAGGCTGGAGTGCAATGGTGTGATCTCGGCTCACTGCAACCTCCACCTTCTGGGCTCAATTGATCCTCCCACCTCAGCCTCCCAAGTAGCTGGGACTATAGGCACATGCCACCGCAGCTGGCTAATTTTTGTATTTTTGGTAAAGATGGGTTTTCACTATATTGCCCAGGCTAGTCTCAAACTCCTGGGCTCAAATGACCCACCTGCCTTGGCCTCCCAAAGTGTTAGGATTACAGGTGTAAGCCACTGTGCCTGGTGAGTTTTCATCTTAACAGAGAAGTGGGTATATTTACACTGATGATGATGTACACTGATTGACTAACATGTAGTCAATGCTGTCTTATAAATGTGGCAATAGCAATGATTAGTGTCTAGTGAGCCCTCACTGTGTGCCAGGCACAGTGCTAGGCAATTTACATGAATCATCTCATATAATCTTCCCAATAACCCTGTGAGATGGGCACTGTAATTATCTTCACTTTGTAGACAAGGAAACCAAAGCACAGAAAGGTTAGAACTTGCCCAAATTCACAGAGCCAGGAAGTGGACATGCCACCAGCTCCTCTGACTATAGGGCTACACTCAACTACCAGATGACAAATCAGGCTAAGCAAAAAGTGCACCGGCACATCGTTCAGCCCGAAACTGAGAAGAGTCAGAGACCCTGACTGCAAGCTAACAAGTTAGCCTGCCAGTTATTCTGTCCCTGAAAGACAAGACCTACAGAACAGCGAACAGACCGTTTATTTACTCCCAGAGAGATTTGCATCTCCCCACGCCCTAATTCTCTCCGGAGCCACGTGGCGAGAGCCAGATGTGTCAGCAGGACAGAAGGGGAGAAGAGGCCTTGACCTTATGTAACTTGGAGCTCATATGGGAGCTGGGCACATGTGTCTCACCTGCTCCAGAGACACAGAGGGATTTTTGCTCTTGAATGTAAGCCAGTCCTCTCTGGGGAGGGAGCGGGCGAAGGTCCCTACTTACCACCCTGAAGTGTAAGCAGATGTCTCCGGGGAGATGGCTCTAAATCTCTTGGAGGAGCCATCTGAACTTCGAGGACTTGTTTGTCATTCAACCACTTTTTTTTTTTTTTTTGAGACAGGGTCTCGCTGTATTGCCCAGGCTGGAGTACAGTGGCAGGAACACAGCTCACTGCAGCCTCAACCTCCCAGGCTCAACTGATCCTCCCACCTCAGCCTCCTGAGTGGCTGGGACCACAAGTGCATGCCACTGTGCCTGGCTAATTTTCGTAGTTTTTGTAGAGATAGGGTCTTGTTATGTTGCCCAGGCTGGTCTCTGACCGGGCTCAAGCGATTCTCCTGTCTCGGCCTCCCAAAGGGCTGGGATTTCAGGCATGAGACATGTGTCTGGCCTTCAACCATTTTTTTAAACCCTGGTTGCCTGGAATTTTTGAGCAGAAATCCCCGGCCATGTAGAAACACAGAAATTCTTATGCAGAGCTGTTTGCTGATAGTTTACATCTCCATTACAGATAGCACTCTTCACTATCTGAGGCCATGAAGCTCACCCGTGCGTGTGTTCCCAGTTAGATGGTTGTCAGACTCCTAGCGGGGCGAGCATCTGTCTTACGTGTCTGTACATCTTAAAGCATTAGGGTATGGCTTTGAATGGGGTACATTCTCCATTAAAATTTGTTAAACACACACACACACACACACACACACTACACACACACATACACAAACACTCACTAATAGAGCCATGAAGATAATACAACCCTAAGCCAGGCATGGTGGTGTGTGCCTGTAATCCCAGCTACTTAGGAGGCTGAGGCATGAGGGTCATTTGAGCACAGGAGTTGGAGGCCAGCCTGGGCAATGTAGCAAGATGTTGTCTCTAAAACAAAAACAAAAACAAAAACAAAAAAAAACAAAAACCCTAAGACAATTTCTGTATGCATCATGTGCTAAATTTTTTAAAGATACTTCACAATATGATTAGTGTTCCTCAGTCTTGCTGGGTCTCTGTGACCCTCAGTTCTTTGTGCTTCTTCCCCGCTGTGAAGGCCCACCCCAGCCCTCCTCCCTCTGGTTTACCTGGAGGAGGACTTAGACTACAAAACACTGATATAAAAACCCGTGCACCATGAGTCAGGTGTTTAGGTTACTATACTGGCTCTGTTACCCGACAGTGTGATTTTGGGCAAGTTCCTTAAGTGCCTTGGGCCTTGGTCTCCTCACCTGGAAATGTAATACTTGGACCAAACAGCTCACCTTGGAAAGAAAGAGAGGGCGGAGTCCACTGAAATGCACTCAGGGACAAACCAACCAATCAGACTGGAAGCAGGGAGAGGTGGGAGGGTGTTGGGGGAAGAAACATGATTATTATATCCACTGCAGATAGGAGAAACTCAAACCAAAAGCAAAGAGAAGAGACTTGGCAAAAATGCTGGAGTAATAAACAGGGAACTGGTTGAATGAATTTTGGTGCAGAAAAGAAAAAGAGAAAAAAGAAAAGAAAAAGAAAAATGAAAACTCTTTTATGTATTGATGTAGAAAGAGCTCTCAGACTGATGAAAACTCAAGGTGCACAACAACAGTGGCATGTGCTTCCATTATGTAAAAAAGAGGGAAAGGATTATGTGATATACATCTTTCTTCTTTATTTTTTGGAGAGATACACACAAAACATAACTTTATTAGCTTGTGGGGAGGAAAATTTGGTGGCTGATGGAGAGGAGTAGGAAGTAGACCTACTTTTCCTGTAAAGCTTTTTGGTTATTTTGAATTTTGGGAAGTTTATAAATGTATTCTATCTCCAAAACATGAAATAACGAACAAAAAATCTGGGAAGGTGGGAGTAGCACTAGTGATTTCCCAGGCTAGTCCTCTCGTCTGCTGGAGAAGAGGTTCATTGAAGCCTTTGGGCCCTCTTCAAGCCACCCCCACCCACCCAGCTAAGTGCTTTAGACCAGATCTCACCACCCACCCTGTAATGTACAGTCAAGATCGATGGCTGTGATGTGTTCTGATTGACGGCTGTGATGTGTTCTGACCGATGGCTGTGATGTGTTCAGATGCAGTTGCCTTTTGGTAATGATCTGGCTTTCTTATTGTTTTGTTGATGGGGACCGCAGGAGAACGACAGTCTGAGATACTCGGCCTTTGTTTTGTTTGGGCAATTGGCTGCCTTTGCCGGGAGGAAATGGAAAAAATTTTTCACCAGTCAGGTTAAGCAGACACGAGATTCCCTCCTGATCCATTTACAGGACAGAAATCCCCAGGTTGCCAAGGTAAGACCTTGACTCTGCAACCAACAGAGTGACATCTCCATGCTATTCATAAAGGGAGTTGCGAGTTGAGACGCCAGACCCTAGGGTTCCTGCCAGCACTGCTGTAGATACTTAGCAGCGTTTCTGTGTGCATCCTTGACAAGGTGCCTCTTTGGTGTGTAATCTCTCTTTGAGCAAGAGTGTTGGTTTCCATCTGCCCCACCTGCCCAAGCCCAGCACCTGTCAATGCAAGATAAGCTCAGGGTAATGGGGTTGAGGGCAGAGAGGCACAGGTTTAATCAATGGTGCAGCAGCCCACATAATGAGGATATTTATTCATGCCCACTTAGCTTTTGTCATTGTGCCTGGTATAGATTTCCACCCATGGCTTCTTTTCTTTTCTGTTCTTTTCTCTTTTCTTTCCTTCCTTCCTTCTTTCCTTCCTTCCTTTCTTCCTTCGTTCTTTCTTTCTTTTTTTTTTTTTTGAGACAGTTTTGCTCTTGTTGCCCAGGCTGGAGTGCAGTGGTGTGATCTCGGCTCACTACAACTTCCGCCTCTGGGGTTCAAGCAATTCTCCTGCCTCAACCTCCTGAGTAGCTGGGATTACAGGTGCCCACCACCACGCCCTGCTAATTTTTTGTATTTTAAGTAGAGATGGGATTTCACCATGCTGGCCAGGCTGGTCTCGAACTCCTGACCTCAGGTGATCCACCCACCTCAGCCTCCCAAGGTGTTGGGATTATAGGCGTGAGCCATCTTGCTGGGCTCCACCCATGACTTATTAATTTCTTCTGGTAGTTTTGTTTTATTCTTGGAGAAAATTGTATCCCAACAAGGTTGGATCAACTTCAGGCCTGCTTTGGAGTGGGACTTGGTGAACGTTTCAAAACAATTGGGAGCAAAGCTTTCTACCAAACCACTTGCCTTCTTTAAGTTACTGAGAGAGAGATTAAATTTAGGAATCCAGTACTACTTTTGATGGGATAATAACAAAGGCTGTGCTAAACTGTAAAGCTACGCCCTTCCCACCAGTCCCCAAATTATAGACATGGCCATTTTATAAGCATACATCCTTTAAGATTCAAATTTTGAAACTACCTGGAAGTTACTTTCACACTTTCAGTGGGCCCCTGACCACAGATTGGGTGCAATCCTCTAGGATACTTTTCCTTGCTTGGGATTATGGAACTCTCTAATAAATAAAATAGTAATATTATTTTTCTCAGGCTTGCAAAACAACATTTCAAGCCTGTTCTCCATATCTGAAACTAAAGGAGGAATACAGCTTCCAGAGTGAAGAAGATCAAAGGAACACTAAGCTCTACCAGCAGCTGGTGAGTGAGCCAGGGTAGGAGAGAATTCTTTTCCGGTCCCTGCCCTCCTGGTGGTTAACACGGAAGGTGGCCAAGCACAAGAAAGAGTTACCCCCTTAAAATGACTCAGGCCAACTATGTTTATTTTTTTATTTTTTCTTTTTTTCTGAGAAGAGCAAGTGCAGTGGCACCATCTTGGCTCACTGCAGCCTTCACCTCCCAAGTTCAAGTGATTCTCGTGCCTCAGCTTCTTGAGTAGCTGAGATTACAGGCGTGCACCACCACACCCGGCTAATTTTTGTATTTTTAGTAGAGATGGGGTTTCACCACGTTGCCCAGGCTGGTCTTGAACTCCTGATCTCAAGTGATCTGCCTGCCTCAGCCTCCCAAAGTACTGGGATTACAGGCATGAGTCAGCATGCCCGGCCAAGCCAACTGTGTTTTGATTGTAATTGACCCATCATACAATGTAAATGGCAAAACGCCTAGAGGATCAAGCACGAGATATATCGGCAGTTCCAATTCAGGTCACTAGCTGGATACAGATGATGCCTCCACCTCTCCTGCTTATCCACATGCCCTGCACTGATCACTGCCTACTAGTTACATTGTCAAGGAAGTTTGTTGAATCCTGCCCTCACGCGTACCTTTGCTAATTTCTTTCAGAGCCACTATCATCCAGAGATCCTGCAGTTCTTCTACGCAAATAAAATTCTGTAAGCGCAGAGCAGCAGGGAAATGGTTCTGTATGAGTGCATTGCTGAGCCATCATGTTCCCCTGTTTTATCTCACTGGATGCCTCTTCTCACTGCTTGCCTCTTGGGATTGTAATGGGAAAGAGGGTGCTGGGAGAGCAATCAAAGGCAAAAATAATACATGGAATTGTATGATTTTATCTAAAGTAAAATTCTAGACTGCTTTCACTTATTTCATTTCCTCCCCATACAAATTTGATGAGCAGGTACACACTTTCTTTAAAACATTCCAAGTGTATATAGATTCAGTGCTTATTTCTCAGCTTTTTCTTTCTTAAGTTCATCTCTGTCACCTAGCTTTTATTTTTAATACTCAATTTCTGAGGCTTAGGAGAATACTTGTTACCTTAAGCGTTTTTTTGTTTTTTTGTTGTTGTTGTTTTGTTTTTTTTTAGTGTATTTGCTATTGATACTTTGCTATTGATACCTTTACTTGCCAAGATTTATTTAAAGTTGGCCAAGATACCAAGAAGGTGGCTTGCAGGGGCATCTTTGGCTTCTCATAATTTTAAACAGTCATTGCTTTCAAGATCATGCTAAACAAGAATTAATAGAGAGAAAAAAATCTATAAAGCATGTGTTGAAAATCCTCAGGCTCATGATAACTTACGGGATAACAATAGTAGGTAACACCGAGTGCTTACAATTCAGTGGGCACGGTCAAAGTGCTTTTTGTAAGTTCTATTTAATACTTGCGACAACCCTGAGATAGTAAGTATTATTATTGTTCTCATTTTATAGATGAGAAAGCTAACACATAGGGAAATTAGGTAACTTTCCCCAGATAACTCAGTAAACAGTGGAGCTGGAATTCAAACATGTACGGTCTGACTTCTTGAGCCCATACTCAATAATCATGCCATCCTGCCTTTCCATGGAATAACTGATGGATGGTTAGAAATGTTAAAAACAAAGCAAATGCAAACATCTCTGCTTCTGCTCCTCTACTAAGCCCAGTTAACTTTTGATTTTATATGTACTAAGTATACATTTTTATTAATTTATGTGAGCTGAGTGTTTTTATTAATTACTTTTTGGCTATTAATGTCAATTATTTTGGTGATCAATCCTAGTTATCCAAGGAGTCACATCACTCGTAAAAATTACAAGAAAAATCTCTAAGTCCCTCTCACCCTCCCTCTAACCAGATTGCATCCCAAGCTTCTATAGAAACTCTGGTACCACCCCTGAATTCAGTATCCAGGCCACACCCGGAGCGTTTTGTTCAAGACAATTTAAAACACGGGGGATTATAAAAGCTATAGCTGGATCTTAAGTGGCATTCTGAGAATGAGGAACTCAATTTTCTGCTGTAGCTCCCAGGGACAGGGTGGTGTGACACAGATGCGGGGATGAGGAGAGACCTAGGCGAGATGAGGATGTGGGAGATGGCAGACAGAGTGGCAAGTGCCAGGCAGGAATGGATTTTCTTCCTTCCTGTTCTGAATCTGAAGAACATGACAGCAAGAGATTTTAGGAGGGACACAGGCTCACGAGCAAATGGGTGGTTCTGAGCTGTAAGCCCCCTGCCCCTCCCTAGCACCCACTCCCCGGATGCTGGCCTCTTTGAAATTTTGTTGCAAGGTTGGTTTAAACTTGATGCAGTTCCATTAAGTGATCAGTGAGTGGTCTGAGAAATGGCTGCATGTGGCTGGCATTCAAAAAGGTGGGGATAGGGTGAGATGGGTGGGGTTACGTGCTCTGGAGTAGAAAAACCTATGCAGTTAATGTCCCTCTGTCGGTTAAAATTGTGGAAGATGCGGTTGGATTATTTGACTTTAAGATTCAATGGTAGGCTTTTATTTTGGTGGCCCCCAATGAGTCATGCCTCCTGATACTCATGTCTTTATTTAGTCCCTTCTGTTTGAATCTGGGCTGCCTTTGTGACTTGCTTTAATCAGGAGATTGTGATAAATGGCACTGTGCCGGGCATAGAAACCCTGGCAGTTTCCTCGTTTGAATTGTGGGGGAAGCCAGCTGCCACATAAGGAGTTGAACTACCAGGAACAAATGAGAGTGCCTGAGATCACCATGTGAAGGAGAACGGAGACACCCAACCCACAGCAGAGTCTGAGGCCCGGACACATGACACAAGTTGTCCCTTCCAGCCAGACCCGAGCTGTTGAAGCTACTCCAGCTGACACCATACGGAAAAGAGACGAGCGTCTCCATCAAGCCTGTGTCAGTTGCAGAAGCATGAACAAAGAATCAAATGATTGTTGTTTTAAGTCATTAACCTTTGGGATAATTTGTCACACTGCAATAAGTAACCAGAGAAGATTCCTTATTATTAACTGTTGTCTTGGCTAATTTTGTTTTGCTCTTCATAAGTCCTCTTTGAGTTTAAATTCTATTTCCAGAAATTTATGTTATCATGAAATTTGGTGGCAAGAGCAAGGGACTATGTTTTTTTGTTTGTTTGTTTCTGTTTCTCACCATACCTACCACAGAGCCTGGCCATGTGATTAAGGAACATTTGCTGAATGACTAAATGATTCCAAATTGTAGAGGGAATAAAGTCCAATGTCCAGTCTGCCATTTCAGGCTTTCAACCTTCGTTTTCTTCTGTTACTCTCTTTGCTTCAGACAAGTTTGGGTCCTTTCTCTTCTCTCAACATGTCTTGTTCTCCTATACCCCCTCACCTTTGCTCAGTCTGCTATTTCTGTGTTGAGTCCCCTCCCTGCTCACCTGTACACACCCACCTGGAATCACATGCACACACACACACACACATTTCACGTGTATCTCTTATCTGTACTCCAATGCCTAGGTCAAAGTCCTGATCCCCCCAATCAGGGGAGAGCTCAAGTCTCTGAATTCCCAGAACATTCTAGCAATATTATACCACTTATATCTTATCTGAAAAGTTTTTTTTTGTATATGGCTTTATGTTTTTTTTTTTATCCTGTTAGATTGAAACTACAGAAGGCAGGGCTGTATCTTGTACATCATTGTATCTCCCCGGTGACTGCAAAAGTACTCTGTAAATGAATGTTGATTAGGGGGAAAAATGTCAGAAAGTCATCTGAAGCTGTCATTCCTTACTGGGAGGAGCCCATTTTGACAAATGAGGGTCACCAATTTCATTCCTTATAACCAATGTACAGGTTACTTTTATGCTTGTGCATTTCAAGTTTCCCCTTCCCCACGTTTATCTGAATGCCAACCCAAAGGTAATGTTTTGACATTTCTTAATTTTGAACATTAATTTTGAACCTTATTGAGCAGTTGAATGAAAGAAAGAAAAAAGGAATGTTCAAGTGCCCCGACCCTCATGCTAAGTGCCCAGGGTAGAGCTTTGCTTGGTCCCTGTGTCTCTGGTGCTCATGAGATAGGTCTTTCTTTCTTTATTTTTATTTTTGAGATGGAGCCTCACTCTGTCACCCAGGCTGGAGTGCAATGACACGATCTCGGCTCACTGCAACCTCCACCTCCTGGGTTCAAGCGATTCTCCTGTCTCAGCCTCCTGAGTAGCTGGGATTACAGGTGCCTGCCACCATGGCTGGCTAATTTTTGTGTTTTTAGTAGAGACGGGGTTTCACCATGTTGGCCAGGCTGGTCTCAAACTCCTGACCTCAAGTGATCTGCTCACCTTGGTCTCCCAAAGTGCTGGGATTACAGGCGTGAGCCACCGCTCCTGGCTGAGATAGGTCTTTCTTAAAGGGGAGAGGGAAGTGGTGGAGAGAGAGGAGAGAAAATGACAAAGGAGGAGGCTGAGAATCTAACAGGTGTGACCAATTCTGCTACTGAATGAGAGCAGAAGCCTGTGAACTTCCAGTTAATAGACCACTTAATTGGGGGAACGCTTCACACGTTATAAAAAAGCACTAGAATGTTTTGAAAGCGAGAAACAACAGCTGTGTAGGGTAGCTAGCAGTTAGTGTTGTACAGAAGACAGATATTTGTGCATTTCTGCATTTTCTAAGTTTGCTGCAATGAGCATGTATTACTTTCATAGTTATAAAACACATGCAAAATGCCCTTTTAAAATGAAAAAAAAGTCCATGAGTGTAAGTGATATATATGCTTTGGAAAGCCTGGGACGGTCATTGTTTACTCTCAATAGTATGTGTTTGCCTTTGTCTTTTTGAGACATTTTGTTTTAATCTGTTGATGACAATAACCTGTTGATAATATAACTTGATAACAAATAAAATGACTTATGATTGATTATCATTTTATTTATGTGACTGAACTTACATTAATTTTGTCTGACCACAGTAGAGTAAATATTTTGTTCCTTTATTTACATGTTAAATGGTTTCAGGAAAACCCTGGGTTCTAGATAAAGCCAACACATCCTAATTTACTGAGGAGGGATGATTTGATATGCAAAGGCACCTATTATTTACCAAGTTAAGCACTTGGGAGTTAAGGCTCCCAAGCCAGACTTCTAAGATTCCTTATAATAAACACCAACCTAGAATTTCCCATGATGCTTCCTCGATTCCTACTGTCTGGAATACTTTCCAGTTCCTTGGTTCTATCAGCCATTCCCTGGACTGACTCCAAATGCCCTCTTCTTCAGAGGTAGAGCAGAGCTGCTGGAAGAATGCAGCCTGGCTCTGCCATTTAGCCAAGTGTGGGCAAGTCAGCGCACCAAGCCTCAGTGTGCTGATATGTGAAATGGAGACAATAACCCAATGTATAGAATTGCTGGGCTGCAAAGATTCAATTAAGTCACACTGAGCACTTGGCAGAGTGCTTGGTACATAGAAGGTGCTCAGGAAATGTTATTTTTGTTCCTCATTCCTAACAAACTCTCCAGACATTATTTCTTCTCTTCTTGAAGCTGCCCAGGTCTTCAGACAGGTCCATTGGTAATTTGAGCATTACCCTGATCCACCAGTCCTGGAGGTAGCCTCCGTATCCTTTATTAGTTCTCCAAGAATGTGGCTTTGAGCCTTGCCTGACATGGGTGTTCAGTAAAGATTGGTTGAATTCTTCGAGTTGCAAATGCTGGCATTTTGACCAAGTAGGAATCTGTCACCTGATAGGTTTTGGAATTTTAATACAGATAAGAATCATAGCAATGAGAATAGCAAGTGGTTCTTTCCCTCTCGGCCCTTTGGGGTGCTGTGATTGCTCAGAGCGGGAGCAGTGCATTTTTATGCTCTAGAGATGGTTTCAATAGGCCCTGTTCATTCCATCCTAATATTCCCAACAGCTCTGTTAAGAATTCTGTATTGTATCTTTTAAGCAAGCTCTTGTTAATAATTAACACCCCACCTTCTTTTTCCAAGGGTGATGCTATTAATCATGTTCCTTTCAAGCAGATGAATTTCCTACAGCAGTTTGCAAATGTTAACCAGGTAATGGCCCAAATGTCTCCCGCAAGAAGGAAATGTTTTTCAGAAATGCGGATCAGAGAGTTAAAAATGTCATTTCCTAAGCGACACTGCTAGAGGCACATGCCTCTGCCACAGCAAAAATGCAATCAGAAATCCAAAGCTTTTCAACCTGCCTGCCTGACTGCATCAGCAGATATAACCAGCCGCTGGAAGAGGAGAGAAGCTCAATTCTCAAATGTGACATCATGCGGGCTGAAAGGACACTACATTTGGTATCAGAAGACCCGGCTTCATAGTCTGACTCTATCATTTACTAGCTGGTTATCTTGAGCAAGTCACATAACCTCTCAGAGCCTTGGGGTCTTCATTTGTCAAGTGGAGGTAAAACCCACAGCACAAGTTACTCTGATGATCAGATGAGACAGTCCATGTAAACTGTGGACCATTACTCCCAAATGGAGTGTTCCTGTTTACATGGTAGCCACTCATGATTGGAGCCTATTTATACAAGGTGGAGGATGGAGGGAATGAAATAAGATGTTAACACAGATCTCAATTTATTTATTTATTTGAGATAGAGTCTCACTCTGCTGCCCAGGCTGGAGTTCAGTGGCGCTATCTCGGCTCACCGCAAACTCCGCCTCCGAGGTCCAAGCAATTCGCCTTCCTCAGCCTCCCAAGTGGCTGGGATTACAGGCACATGCCACCACGCCTGCTAATTTTTGTATTTTTAGTAGAGACGGGGTGTTGGCCAGGCTGGTCTTGAACTCCTGACCTCAAGCGATCCGCCCATCTTGGCCTCCCAAAGTACTAGGATTACAGGCGTGAGCCACTGTGCCCAGCGTACTTGTGGCCAGGTGCCACAGATTTTAATTTAAAATAAATAATAAAATAAATAAATAATAAACAATAAAATAACATAAATAAATAGTATAAATAAAAATAAATAAAAAATAAAAGCACCAAGTAATCACTATGCATAAATATCTTAAAAATATAAATGCAATAAGATTAGGTAGATACATTGTTTTACATAAGGCTGTTTGTTCCAGATACTAAGTACCCATTACATGTCAAATAGGATTCAGTTTACAAGTTTAATACCTATCTATTTTGTACAATTTAGTTATATCCAAATTTTTTGGTATGATAGAAAGAATAACATTCAGAAGTTGTGGAAAACCTGACTCTTTTCCTTTAAGTTACTCTAATAGTAAGATCAAGTTTAAGTAGCCTGGGCGTGGTGGCTTACACCTGTAATCCCAGCACTTTGGGAGGCCGAGGCGGGCAGATCACGAGGTCAAGAGATGGAGATCATCCTGGCCAACATGGGGAAACCCTGTCTCTACTAAAAATACAAAAATTAGCTGGGCGTGGTGGCACATGCCTGTAGTCCCAGCTACTTGGGAGGTTGAGCCAGGAGAATGGCGTGAACCTGGGAGGCGGAGCTTGCAGTGAGCTGAGATCGCACCACTGCACTCCAGTCTGGTGACAGAGTGAGACTCCGTCTCAAAAAAAAAAAAAAAAAAAAAAAGTTTAAGTCAAAAACTAATTAAACTCCATTAGGGAAAAATGAAAATTTTATATGTTTGGATTTAAATCTACTAGAGTGACAGTTGATTTACTAGCTTCCAACAAGCCTGAGAAGAGGAAGCCCAGGAATGTGAGATTTTCTGACGAGTAAGATCTACACACTGTGCAGAGTGGTGGATTAAATTAATTCAAAGCTAGTGAGCTCATTTTACAACTTAAAGGAACAAATTCAATTTCCTAAATAAAAATTTTATGACTTAAGGGAACAAACACAATTTCCTATAGTAAACATGGTTTGCTTATTTACGTGGTTAAACTATTTGTATTTATGTCTGGTGTCCTCCCATTAACTATCAATAAACAAAGAGAGGGTTTTATTATGAAGGTAATGGAATTTGCATAGTTAAATCTGTTTAATCTTAAAAGACCTTTGCCCTACCTGGATCTGTGATTATACCAGGACTTAACGATTAACCAGCTCACTCTTACCTTTCCCAAGAAAAGTAAGGGCTGGCCAACCATTTTGGATTTCCCAAGCCTTTTCATTAAATAAGATGGAGACTTAGATGTGAACAAATGAGGTCTGCCTAAGAAATTAAAACCTATAACTTCTGGTTTCCCCAGCATTGACGCAAGACTGTCTCCAACTGGCTGTGTGACTGCCCCCAACTGGCTATAGGATGGGGAGGAGTCTGAGCTGGTGGGGTTGGTTCATCCATCTCTAAGGGGTGTTCAAATCTTGCCCTCTCTGCTTCTGTGTGTTTCTGGAGCTGGAGCCTGTGGTGTGGCCAATGGCAGGCAGCCTGTGGCAGAAAGTTGAGCTTTAGAGCTTCTACTTTCAAAGTTCTTTAGATAAGAGAGCAGTTCATGATGATTTCTTAACTGAAGAAATACTGTCAGTATTTTTTCATGGATGGGCTTTAAACAATCATCAAAAATAAGCAACAAACAGACAGGCAAAGCCATTGCCTAGTCTCTAGTTCACTCCTCTGCTTTCCCCCTTCTGGTCCTGCCCTGGCTCCACTGGGTGAAGTAAATCCAGCCTGTGTGACATGTGGAGTCTTGCAGAAAGAGGCAGTGGGCAAGATATCTCAGCTGGTTTCTCCCAATGGAGGGTTTGGCTAGGATGGGATTTCCTGCAGGGCGTGTGTGGTGAGGAGGTGGAAATCATTTCTCATCTCAAAACGTAATCCCTCTTTCCCTACTGTGAATATAGCCACCCCCAGAGCCTATCAGGCACATCCCTTGCTCTTTTTAATAAAGCCCTTTCACTTGGGGTAAGCTCTGTTAGGTGGACATGTACTATTCAGCTTAGTCTTCATGCTCTGCTGCTGGGGTATTATCTGCCCATAGCCTGTTACAGCAGGTTTGAAGGCTGCCGGAAGAACTGCAAGTACCTCATGCTGTTGTGCCCTCTCTAGAACAATTTAACAGCATGAGTTGTATTATCATAGTCAATTAGGATTGCTGTACATCTCCCTCCTGCCATGAGACTCATTTATTACCAAATTTAAGCATATTTCTTTGACTGATTTATTCAACACTGTTAGGTGCCATTGATTCCAAAAATTTGGGGAGTACATATTTTTATGTGTGTGTGTGTGTGTGTGTGTGTGTGTGTGTGTGTAATACAGGGTTTAAGTAATGCTTTTGCAGAAAGAGAAACTCTTCCAAATACACACTACTTCTCAAGGAACCTGTATTTCAAGGAGTGCTAGAAAATCCAGCAAAGCAGCTGTTAAACCACTTCCATCCCACCATGACAAATAGTCCAATCTAGCTAGGATTCCTTTCTTTCTTCTCTCTCTCTCGGCACTTACAATTTGACAACTAACTTTTGGACTCTAGGGACTTATCTTCTTCCAATCCATAATTACATTCTTAAGAACTCAGTCCCTTGGAGACTCACCAGGACTTTGCATTCTTTTGATCTGCATGAGGAGGCGTTCTATATTAAGAACTGCTGATCTTTTCCTGGGACCCCCATTTGGAAGGACTGTCTGAAAGATTCCACTTGCATGGTTGGCCTGGCATGAGCTAACATCTCTCTTCAGCTGCTGTGGAATGTTCCTTGGGAGACAGGTGCTCTAGGTGCAATTATGGCTGACAGGGACGTCAGCCAGAGGAGGCCTCTGCTTCATGGGGATGGCGCATGCATGTGGCACTCCTTGTTTCTCTGTAGAACCCTGCGACTCCCCTTCTCACTTCCCCCTTCTGAAACTTCCTTTCACCAGGGGACCTCAGCCCCGCATGTACCCCTTGCAGCCCCTTAGCCTGCTGCCTTATACCACGGAGCAGGCGGAGAGCTCCCAGTGTGGGGGACCCTTGCCCAGAGTTGGGGGTGGCAGCAACCCTCCATGAACCTGCTCTTTTTGGCCTGGCCTTGGCTTTTCTCTGCTGTAATCAATAATCAATAATTCCACATCCTATTTTCTGAGGGCCCTGTTCACCCTGACCTCCAAGGAGACAGAGTTGTCAGATCATTATACGTGAGCAGTGAAGCTGGGTGTGGTGGCTCACACCTGTAATCTCAGCACTTTGGGAGGCTGAGGTGGGAGGATTTCTTGAGGCCAGGAGTTTAAGACCAGCCTGGGCAACACAGTGAGACCCCATGTCTAAATATATATATATATGTATGTATACATATATACACATATATATGTATGTATACATATATACACATATATATGTATATATACAAATTAACCAGGCCCAGTGGCACATGCCTATGGTCCCAACTACTTGGGAGGCTGAGGCAGGAGGATCACTTGAGCCCAGGAGGTCGAGGCTACAGTGAACCATAATAGCACCACTGCATTCCAGCCTGGAAGACAGAGAAGACTCTATCTCTAAAATGTGTGTGTGTGTGTGTGTGTGTGCAGTGATTGCGCAGGATCCTTCCAAAGGATATTTGCATTG
Organism: Homo sapiens; assembly: GCF_000001405.40. Lineage (NCBI taxonomy): Eukaryota > Metazoa > Chordata > Mammalia > Primates > Hominidae > Homo > Homo sapiens. The sequence goes on along the minus strand of NC_000018.10, from coordinate 50,789,557 downwards.
TTTCCTGGGCCTCTAGTGTATGCTGTCCAATATGGTAGTCTCCAGCCACAGGTGACTGCTGAGTAATTTAAAGATGGCTAGTCTAAATTAATAAGCACTGTAAGCATATGAAAAACACACTGGAAGCCTGGGTATGGTGGCTCACGCCTGTAATCCCAGCACTTTGGGAGACTGAAGCAGGTGGATCACCTGAGGTCAGGAGTTTGAGACCAGCCTGGACAATATGGTGAAATCCCATCTCTACTAAAAATATGGACAAAAAAAAATTAGCTGGGCATGGTGGCGGACGCCTGTAATCCCAACTACTTGGGAGGCTGAGACAGGAGAATCACTTGAACCTGGGAGGCCGAGGTAAAAGTGAGCTGAGATCAAGCCACTATACTCCGGCCTGGGCAACAAGAATGAGACTCCATCTAAAAAAAAAAAAAAAAAAAAGAAATACACATTGGATTTTGGACACCTACTATCAAAAAAAGAATGTAAAAATATCTTATTAATCATGTTTTATATTGATTATATTTTGAAATGACAGTATTTTACATATATCAGGTTAAATAAAATATATTCAAAGTTAATTTCATCTGTTTCTTTTTAGTGTTTCTTAATGTAGCATCTAGAAAATTTTAAATTATGTTTGTGGCTTGCATTATATTCCTTTTCACACAGTGCTGCCCTAGTGTATGTTTGAAAAGCCAGGCAAGCTACTCCAGAGGCTGAGGCACAAGAATCTTTCGAACCCGGGATGTGGAGGTTGCAGTGAGCAGACATCGTGCCACTGCACTCCAGCCTGGGTGACCGAGGGAGACTCCACCTCAAAATAAATAAATAAATAAATAAATAAATAAATAGCCAGGCAGCTGGGGAGAGATTTTGAGCAGGGATCCTGAGAAAGCACATTTTTTTTACGATGCTTACTGGCTCCCTCCAAGAATAAGGGTGGCTTTGATGGGGGGTTTGGTGGGCGTGAGCTACTGCAGTAGTCTCCTGTCCTGTAACGTGAGGTGTGGGGTGAGCAAGGAGGGAGGAGGTAAAAGAGAAAGCTAAGTCATTGGCAGAGGCCGAAATTCCTGCCCCTGGATGGGACAGTCACAGCCCTGACGCATGGTGGGCCTCATCAACTGGGGGCGGGGGCTGGTAGTGCAAGAAAATGCCTGAAAGCTCAACTAATCTGTCCCTCTGCCCCTGGGAAAATATCAGCTAAGTCATTTTGGCACCTGTGGGGATAGAACCAGGCTGGGGCACTGTGCCCCTGCCACCAGCTCTGTGACCTTGTGCAGGGTGCTCTTCTTCCCTGGGCTTCATTTTGCTGATCTTAAATTGAGGGAGATGAATCTGTTCAAAGACCCCACCCCTCCGACTGTGCATGCATCATTGTGTCACCTCTCACAAAGTTGAACACTTAACCTCCAGGCTGAGGGGACCCATCACCCTAGTTTGCCCAGGACTGAGGGTTTTCCTGGGTCACAGGACTTTCAGTAATAAACTGGGACAGTCCTGGGCAAACTGGGACAAGGCCAGTGGCAGAGCTGGGACTAGAAACCAAGGAGTTACCGAATGGTGTGTGTGGGAACGGGGCGGTGGGGGGACTGAACAGGAGGGGACTGGTGGGGGAGCTGAAGAACGGAACGCTCCTCTTTCTTCTTCCCGCAGCCGCCCGTGGAGCAGCAGCTGTTTCTAGAATGACTGATGGGTGCAGGAATGGGGAGAGAATATATAGGTGAGGGTTTTTGGCAATGCACTTACGTGCCTCTCCTAGCCCTCAGCTGCTGTATGGAGCCCACTAGGCCTATATGGTCGAGGGTAAGGTCCTTAATGGATCTGCTTCTGCCCACTCATTCAGTGTGAGGTTACCAGAAACAGGCTGTCCCTTCCTGTACCTCCCTCTCTAAGTAGAATCATTCTAGAACCAAGACTATCACAGGCGAGTGTGAAAATAGTCATTATTACTACTTTTATTTTTATTTTATTTTGTTTTTTTGAGATGAAATCTTGTTCTGTCACCCAGGCAGGAGTGCAGTGGCCTGATCTCGGCTCACTGCAACCTCCGCCTCCTGGGTTCAAGTGGATCTCCTGTCTCAGACTCCTGAGTAGCTGGGATTACAGGCGCCTGCCACCACGCCCAGCTAATTTTTGTATTTTTAGTAAAGACCAGGTTTCATAATGTTGGCCAGGCTGGTCTGGAGCTCCCGACCTTCAGTGATCCACTCATCTCGGCCTCCCAAAATGCTGGGATTATAGGCGTGAGGCACCGCATCGGGCCTATTACTATTTTTAAAATTAGGAACTTCTTCTCTTTTGATTAGCAATTATTTTTTATTCTGTTTCCTCAGTACTTGGTGGGGACAGCGCCCCATGTGCATCAATCACTGCAGCTGAGTAAAAGGCTGCACTTACAGTTCCTAGCATCGAAAGCCAGAGCTTTATCCAGGACACGGCTTCCTAGGGGCTTCTCTGCAGTGCAGGCCAGGCTGGTTGCTTAGGAATCCCTCAGAGTGGTGGTTAAAACTGCACATTCCTGAAAATTCTGAATGAGTAGGTCAGAGGTGGGACAAGGGAGTCTATAAGGGTGAGCTTTGAAAAGCTCCTGGTGAGTTTGGTGCACAGCCTGCTTTGGGAGTGAGCAGTGGTTCACAGTCCAGGCTGCACCTTAGAATCACCTAAAAAGCCAATGCCCAAGCTGCCCCACAGACCTATAAAATCAGACTTTTGGCCAGGCACAGTGGTTCACGCCTGTAATCCCAGCACTTTGGGAGGCCGAGGCAGGCAGATTGCCTGAGCTCAGGAGTTTACGACCAGCCTGGGCAACACGGTGAAACCCCATCTCTACTAAAATATAAAAAATTAGCTGGGTGTGGCGGCGTGTTCCTGTAGTCCCAGCTACTCAGGAGGCTGAGGCAGGAGAATTGCTTGAACCCGGGAGGTGGAGGTTGCAGTGAGCCGAGATTGCGCCACTGTACTCCAGCCTAGGCAGCCTAGGTGACAGAGCGAGACTCCATCTCAAAAAAAAAAAAAAAAAAAATCAGACTTTCTAGAGGTAAGATCTGGGTATCAATATTTTTAGAAAAGCTCCCCAAGAGCTTTAAAAATCTATCAAAGTGTATTGATGAAGACATTATGCTAAAAGCAATAAAACAGAAACTAAAGGACAAATACTGTATGATGCCACTTAAACGAGATTCCTAGAGTAGTCAAATTCATAAAGATGGAAAATAGAATGGTGGTTTCCAGGACTGGGGGGAGGGTGGATGGGGAGTTATTGTTTAATAGGTACAGAGTTTCACTTTGGGAAGATGAAACAGTTCTGGAGATGGGTGGTGTTGATATTTACACAGCAATGTGAGTGTGCTTGTGTTAGTTTGTTCTCATGCTGCTATAAAGAAATACCTGACTAGGTAATTTATAAAGAAAAGAGGTTTAACTGGCTCACAGTTCCACAGGCTCTACAGGAAGCATGACTGGGAAGGCCTCAGGAAACTTCCTATCATGGCAGAAAGCGATGGGGAATCAGGCACATCTTACAAGGCTAGGGCAGGAGGAAAAGAGAGTCAGGTGTGGGGGGATGCGCTACACACTTTTAAACAACCAGATCTCATAATAACTCACTCACTATCACAAGAACAGCACTAAAGAAGAAATCTGCCCCCATGATTCAATCACCTCCCACCAGACCCCACCTCCAACATTGGGGATTACTCAAGATTTGCGCGGGGACACACACCCAAACCATATCAGTCCTCAATGCCACTGAACTGTACACTTAAAAACAGTTAAAATGGTAAATTTTATGTATGTATATTTTACCACAATCAAAAAGGGGGTGTTGACTAAAGTGTGCCTTTGTCTTCCTAGTCCCTTAGTTCTCCCCAGAAAAATCATATTACCCAGTTTCACATTACCTAGTTTCTTCATTATCCTTCCAGACATATTCTATGCACTTATAAGCACATTGGAATATAGGTATTTTTTTTCACATCGATGTGGAAACATTACACGTTTACATGATGCTTTTTTTTTTTTTTTGATGGAGTCTCACTGTCACCCAGGCTGAAGTGTAATGGCACGATCTCAGCTCACTGCAACCTCTGCCTCCCAGGTTCAAGTGATTCTCCTGCTTCAGCCTCCCAGGTAGGTGTGCACCACCATGCCCAGCTAATTTTTGTATTTTTAGTGGAGACAAGGTTTCACCATGTTGGCCAGGCTGGTCTTGAACTCCTGACCTCAAGTGATCCACTGCCTCTACCTCCCAAAGTGCTGGGATTACAGGTGTGAGCCACCACGCCTGGTCTACATGCTGCCTTTTTAATTTTTAAAAACTTATTTATATTATTAATTAATTTGAGACAGAATCTCGTTCTGTTACCCAGGCTGGAGTTCAGTGGTTTGATCATGGCTCTCTATAGCCTCCACCTCCTGGGCTCAAGCCACTCTCCCGCCTCAGCCTCCTGAGTAACTGAGAAAGAATTTGTAGAGGGGTGAGTGGGGAGTGGAGGGCCAGCTGCCTTCACAGCCCCGGTACCTTGGCTGCCAAACATCTCCAGCCCTGGGTTCTGCACTCACAGCAGTGGTGGCCACCTCAGTCAGAGGGGGGGACACCAAAGCTGCTCAGTGACCAGAGGAGGGCGACAACATCCCTGCTTTTCACCCTCTAAGAGCCATTCTTTCAACAGACAGGTTTAGACTCTCCAGACCACACTTGGAATTCTCACACCAAGGAAGGCTTTGTTCTGTTGCAGGGGAAGGAGAGGGAACCACTCTTCATAGCAAAGGCTTGCAATTTCTTTTCATTCATATCTCCAGCCTTTAAATGGGTATTTGTTGAAGCCTTTTGATGTGCTTTGTGCTAATCGCCTAAGGATTACACTGCCTTGTCCTATGGGAGCAGTAGCCTCTGCCCTCCTGTATCTCTGGCCACAGGTATCTTTCTACTGCTGAGGTGCCCCAGCCCAGTCCACTCACCTTGGCTTGGGCTGCTCCAAGGGAAGCACTTCTCCTTGCTTTCCTGGGCTGGCTAATTTCCCCTCACTGTTTCAGAATCCATGCCATGCCCCTTCTGTGTGTGTGTGTGTGTGTGTGTGTGTGTGTGTGTGTGTGTGTTTGGAGGAGGGGTGTGTACAATTCACATAATATAACATTAATCATGTAACCATTTAAAAGCGTACAATTCAGGCTAGGATGAAATGTACACTGATTATGGGCTCATACCTGTAATCCCAGCACTTTGGGAGGCCGAGGCTGGCGGATCACTTGAGGTCAGGAGTTTGAGACCAGCCTGGTCAACATGGTGAAACCTCATCCCTACTGAAAATACAAAAATTAGCCAGGCATGGTGGCGCACACCTGTGATCTCAGCTACATGAACTGCTTGAACCTGGGAGGCAGAGGTTGCAAGCGAGCTGAGATCATGCCACTGCACTCCAGCCTGGGCAAAAGAGCAAGACTGTCTAAAAAAAAAAAGTGTACAATTCAATGACATTAGTACATTCATAATTTTGTGCAGCCTTTACTACTATGTAGTTCTGGAACATTTTTATTACTTCCAAAGGAAATTCTGTACCCTTTATTCAGTCACTCCCCTTTTCCCCTTCCCCCTAGTCCCTAGCAATCACTAATCTGCTTTCTGTCTCTATGGGTTCACCTGTCCTGGACATTTCTTATAAATGGAGTCATACAATATATGGCCTTCTTTGTGTCTGACTTCTTTTGCTGAACATGTTTTTAAGGTTCATCCACACTGTAGCATGCATCAGTACCTCATTCCTTTTTATGCTGGACAATATTTCTGTGCATGGATTTACCACATTTTGTTTCTCCATCCACCTGTTGATGAACACTAGTTAGATCGTTTTCACCTTTGGCTGCTGTGATAAAGCTGCTATGAACATCAGTATACATGTATCTGTTTGAGTCCCTGCTTTCAAGTCTTTTGGGTGTATATCTAGGAGTAGAATTGCCAGGTCATATCGTAAGTCGATGTTGAACCACCAAACTGTTTTCCACAGTGGTTCACCATTTTTCATTCCTGCCAGCAATGTACAAGGGTTCCAACTTCTCCACGTCCTCACAAACACGTATGTTCCATTAAAAAAATTATGTCCATTCTAGTCAGTGTGAGGCGGTATTTAATTATGATTTTGATTTGCATTTTCCTAATGACTAATGATATTGAGCATCCTTTTATGTGCTTGTTGGCTGTTTGTATATCTTCTTTAGAAAAATATCTATTCAAGTCCTTTTCTCATTTAAACTATTGGGTTGTCTTTTTGTTATTGAATTGTAAGAGTGCCTTATACATTCCCAATACTAGACTTTTATCAGATATACGATTTTTAAATATTTTCTCCCATTCTGTGGTCTGTCTTTTCACTTTCATTATAGTATCTTTTGATGCAACAAAATTTTTCATTTTTGTTTTTGTGAGACAAAATCTGGCTTTATCACCCAGGCTAGAGTGCAATGGCATGATCTCGGCTGTCTGCAACCTCCGCCTCCCGGGCTCAAGCCATCCTCCCGCCTCAGTCTCCCAAGTAGCTAGGACTGTAGGCATACACCACCATGCCTGGCTAATTTTTGGATTTTTTTTTGTTTTTTTTGTAGAGATGAGGTCTAATAAAAGCCAACTAGATCTTTCAAACTCAATTGGTGGAAATTTGGTTCTTTGATAATCTGAACTTTATTAAGAAAATAAATTTCTCACTGTTTCTTACTTTTTTGTTGTTGTTGTTGAGACCGTCTTGCTCTGTCGCCCAGGCTGGAGAGCAGTGGCGCGATCTCGGCTCACTGCAACCTCTGCCTCCCAGGTTCAAGCGATTCTCCTGCCTCAGCCTCCTGAGTAGCTGGGGTTACAGGCACGCGCCACCACACTTAGCTAATTTTTGTATTTTTAGTAGAGATGGGGTTTCACCATGTTGGTCTGGCTGGTCTCGAATTCCTGACCTCATGATCCGCCAGCCTTAGCCTCCAAAAGTGCTGGGATTACAGTTGTGAGCCACCATGCCCAGCCTGTTTCTTACTTTTAATTGGTCTTTGTTTGCCTCTCAATTCTTAAGCCTCCTCTCCCCCAGTAACATTTCCCCCACCCCATGACAGCCACCCACTTTCATTGGTATTTCCTTTACCTTATCACCAATAACTCCACTTTCCATAATCATAGTTTCAGAAACCCCAGGCTCCAACCACCACCTCATATGTCATCAGGGAATTGCAAATTAAAAAAATAAGGTATCACTACACACCTATTAGGATGGCTGAAATCCAAAACACTGACAACACCAAATGCTGGTGAAGATGTGGAGCCACAGGAACTCTTCTTCACTGTTGGTGACAATGCGAAATAGTGCAGCTACTTTGGAGGACAATTTAGCAGTTTCTTATATAGCTAACATAGTTTTACCATATGACCCAGCAATCACACACCTAGGTATTTACCCAAATGAGTTGACAACTTAGGCCTACACAAAAACCTTAACACAAATATTTATGGCAGCTTTATTCATAATTGCCAAAATTTAGAAACAACCAAAATATCCCTAATATATATGAATGGATAAACAAACTACAGTACACCATGCAATGAAATATTATTTAGTAATTTAAAAATGAGCTGTGATGCCATGAAAAGATATGGAGGAATCTTAAATGCATATTGCTAAGTGGAAGAAGCCAATCTGAACCCACATACTATATTATTATGGAAAAGTCAAAACTATGGAGACAGGAAGATCAGTGGTTGCCGGGGGCTAGCAAAGACAGAAAAAGAGGTAAACTTGTAGAGTACAAAGAATTTTTAGGGCAGTGAAGCTGTTCTGTATGTTACAGTAATGACGGATAGATGACATTATACATTTGTCAAAACCACAGAACTCTACAAACAAGTGTGAACCCTAATGTAAACTGTGGAGTTTAACTAATAATAGTGTATCAATATTAGTTCATCAACTGTAACGGATGTATCACACCAATGCAAGATATTAATAATAGGGGAACTGTAAGGGGAAAGAAGGAAGTGAATGGGAATTCTCTGTATTTTTTGCTCAATTCTTCTGTAAACATAAAACTCTTTAAAAAAAATTTAAACCTCTTCAGCCAAAAAAAAAAAAAAAGAGAGAGAGAAAGTACTTTTTCTGTGCCATTGTTCCCTTTTGCTGTCTTTGAATGTTGTTTACTTGAAACTATAATGTTGAGAACTGCTGTATCTATCCCATCTTGCAACTATGAAGGCACAAAGTGGAGAACAAAATCCAGCACCTTGAGGTGAGCAGAATTAAACAAAACAAAACAACAGTAAAATTGTTTTTAAAGACGTTGAAGGTTTGGATTAACTGTCCCTGAAACTGTCCTATCTCCAGACTTCTTTTTGTAAGAAAATAGATTTCTCAGCAAGCATGGTGGCTCATACCTGTAATCCCAACACTTTGAGAGGCCGAGGCGGATGGATCACCTGAGGTCAGGAGTTTGAGACCAGCCTGACAAATATGGTGAAACCCCGTCTAATACTAAAAATACAAAAATTAGCCAGGTGTGGTGGCAGGCACCTGTAGTCCCAGCTACTTGGGAAGCTGAGGCAGGAGAATCACATGAAACCAGGAGGCAGAGGTTGCAGTGAGCTGAGATCATGCCACTGCACTCCCTCCTGGGAGACAGAGCAAGACTCCGTCTCAAAAAAAAAAAAAAAAAAAAAAGAAAGAAATAAAATAAATTTCTCATTATTACTTTTAATTGGTCATTTGTCTGCAGTTGAAAACATACTAATTAAAATATGACAATTAGCCCATTTCATACATAGGTAAACTGAGGTTAGAAGTTCAGCTACTTGCGCAATAACATACAGCTAGAAAGTCTGATTCAAGCCTGGTTTTCCTAACTCCTGACGGTCCAGTCTTTAAATTTAATGTGCACTTCTCTTGTATGTGGGCAGAACATGTGACTTGCTTTTAGCCAACAGAATATGACAAAGGTGTTAGAGAGACTCTTATTGCTGGCTTGATGAATTAAGTGGCCATGTCATAGAAGAAAAGAACAGTGGGTAGTCGAACTGCAGGGGACCTCTAGGATCTGATGGTGGCCTCCAGCAGATAGCACACAAAAACCCTGGGACTTCAGTCATAGAGTCCAAGGAAATGAATTCTGCCAGAACAAGAATGAGCTCAGAAGCAGATTCTTTCCCACTCAAGCCTCTAGAAGAGGATGCAGCCTGGCTAACACACTGGGTGCAGCCTTCTGTCCCTAAGCAGAGGACTAGGTAAGCTATGCCTGGACTCCTGCCACTGCACTCCAGAAATTGTGAAATAATAAATGGATGATGTTTTAAGCTGCTAAATTTGTAGTAATTTGCTACGCAGCAATAGAAAATGAATATACTATCCTCTGCACAAGCCACATTTTGATTTTCCACAATTATCTAAATTATGTTTTACAAATTCTGACATTTACGCAGATATTAGATCTTATATATTAGATGGGTAAACAATGGTTCTGGAATGAAGCTAGCAAGAGTTCTTATCTTTTTGCTTTGAGCTGCAGGAAAATATAAAGAAAGATGTCTTTTGAATAGAACATAATTAAATCGTCTTTCTTGAGACCTTGTGTCAATCTGATTAGCACACAAATTGTTTTTTCATTTGGCTCCTCTGGGTTGTAAATATTTCCTTTCTTCCAACTTCCTTGGAGGATGCATCTGAGGGGAGTGTTCCATAGCACGGAAACACAATTACCTATCAGCGAAGAGAGAACCGAAGAGAAGAAAGGAAAAAGAAGGTGTTTTTTAAAGGAGTCCCAAGGGTTCAGGATGCATTTGAAAGGGGTACAGACTAAAGATGAATGGCTACCCATCTAGAAAGAGGGAAGCAGGCATCCCTGATTCCCTTCTCTTCCTAGCAGATACCTGGGGTACATGAGGGAGAGAGGGAAAAGCGTCCTCTTTCCCTCTTCCATCCTTGCATTCCCGAGTCCCAGTGACCTTGGCAAGTCCCGCCATGAATGCCAAAACGGTTTGTACCCATGAAGCAGGGAAGGCCTAGAGAATAGGAATTATCCACTCTCACCTAAGCCTCTATCCCCCCTACTGTCAAGTCAGTAGCCTTGGAGTTCCCTAGACCTCATTTATGCTATGGATATTAATGTGGCCTTTATCCATGAAACAGGAAGCTTGGGGTTGGCTTAATGGGCAGGAATCAGCCATGCTCGCCTGCACTGTACCTTTTAACCTCTCCTGTTATTTGTCTCTGGATCCCTCAGATCCAGTTTTCTTTCCTAGGGCTTTGACCTGAAGCTTGGAATTGAGTCTGGGACAAAAATGTATCTCAGCAGGGGTTGCACGGGCTCCTTGTCATAAGCCAAATGCCAAGGTGGAACTGTGGAACTGAGTCCTCCTCCAACAAGGGAGAGGAAAGGATGTCTTGCGACACACCCAGATAACTGGTAGCTATAGTTATGTTTGCTAGGATTTGGGTGCATGGTGCTTGGCTTTGGTTAGTTCCCTTGGTCTTACTTTCCCAAAAAGGAACCTCCAAGTGATCCTATTTATTCCCACCTGGCAGGATTTGCAGGATAATTGCTAAGAACTAGAATATTGATCCAGATTTTTACATTATCCATCCCTCTTTTTCTTTCTGAGCTGCAACCAGAGATTGCTGGTAGGTTCACAGGAATAAGTGGGGTCAGTCTAAAATGTAGGCAAAAACTTAAACACAGCTAATGAGTTTAGAATTTAATGACAGATGTATAATAAGTTTGATTAGCTCTGGAACATGATTTCTCCCTCTTTGGTCCTCATGTTTGTTTAAAAAAAAAAACAAATTATGATAGGACTGAGTGGTTTCCAAAATAGATTTTAGTCTTATACTTGGCCTGATTATTTGCATAAAGTACAGCAAGAATAATTATTTCTACATAGGTCTTTGGAGTGACTTTGATGGAACTCTGCTCCCCAAGGAATCTCAGATAAGATCTTTTAAAGCTGAGCCCAACCACGGGTTTGTATCCTCAAATACCTGTGAGTTGGGTGATCCTCTCCTCTTAAGGTCCCAAGATAAACTTGGAGCTCCTAGACCTGTTAGAAAGTGACATTCTTTACTGGCCACAGGTCAGGAACCCTGTACAGGGACTGTGAAGATGAGGGTATGAGGCCAGTTTCCCCATGGGGCTTTTATTGGCTCTGCAATTCGAGCTTAACTCCTTAAAGGGAAGCATACCCTTCCAGTCAAAGCCTTAGTAAAATAACCATTTTCTCCAATTCTGTCCTGTTGCAAAAGAAAAACAAATTCTTATTGAACTGATGCAAACACCTATATTTCCATAGGTTAAGAATACTCAAAGATAGTTTCTAAGTTCTGGAGGAACCAGGCAGAGAGAAACAAACATCCTCCAAATTTTGATCATAGGATCAAAATGCTTAATTATTAAAGGCTGTAAATAGCTCAAAATAAGTTTCCTTGACTCTGAAAAACAAAACAAGGATCAGCAATATTCCAAGCAAAAGTCAAAAAGGTTGCTTCAGCTTCCTGAGTTCAGTCCATTTAGTTAACTCTTGTTTTGCTAGATATTTGTGAGCATTTCAGCTCATGAGTCCTGTACATTTTCCTGTATTCCAAAGTCACAATATCCAATTATCAGAAGCCTGTATTTGAGTGCACCTGTCAAAGTCCTACAGCTTATTATGAACTACGTTTTGAAAGGATTAAAACAAGACAACAACTGTCTGTGAATAGCAAAATGTCCAGGATAGTTACAGTTAGAAACACAAATGACAAAGAAGTGTGGTTATCTTCTGTGGTTTACAACAACGTAACATAACAATCTTAGTTATAATTGATAGCATATACTCAGACATTAGAATTTCAGCAATCTCATACAATTTTGGAACACATATTAGCATTATTCCCCAATATATAAACTAAAGAAGATTGAGCATTATTTTGGCAATCCCATGTACCTAAACATGTCAAACAATCCTGTTTACCTCTCTTTTCTGGACACTTCAGGCACCCTCTGAAGTATCTGAAAAGCTAGGTGCCATGGAAGACAATTTTGAAACTGAAGTTTGATTTTGGGAAGGCTGTTAATTGTTTGAGGTTTAAAACACTTGATATTATGAAATAGAATTCCAGATTACCATAAGTTATTTATTTTGCCAAAGAGCAGATTAGCGCCTTAGGAAAACTTTGTTATGCTTTTATTTCAATGCTCAACTTACAGAAAAACCATATAATACCCTTTTTTGAATTTAGTCAATATTTTCACACAGAGAACCTCTTCTCCAAGATTAATTTCCACAATTCTTCCACCACTTCTTTGAACCTTCAGCTTTTCCTATCTAACTCAAAACAATCCTTTAACCCTAGACCACAGTTTACATTTCCATGCCTTCTCATAACCTTTTCCAAAAAACAAAACAAAACAAAAACCACATTTTATTGTTTTTATACCCCTTGATTCTAAATCTATTTCCAGTAGTCCACAATTACATGTTATAATGGTAATCCCTCCTAATTTTTAACTTTAAGGTAAAACTTGGTAAGTTGCTTTAATTGTGTGCTAACTGCAGCCAAGGTCTGCCTTCTTAGTTAAAGGGTGGTTACTTCCACATGTCCCTAGGCCTTGCCAGTTGTGAAGCTGGCAAGTCAAATAGTTCTCAAAACCCAGAAAGCAGTTTGTAACCTCAAAATACTTAACAAACCTTGCCTCTGACCTGCATTTTACCAATAGTCTTTAGGGCTGTTTTTTTTTCTTGAAGGTTAAAGTCACCTGAACTGAAAGGTACTACAGCCTTTACCTTGCCTTAAGAAAAGTAGTTGATCCAAGGGTTTGCGCTTCTTTATGCCAAATTAATTAGAGCTCTTTTTACAGACATCATACACAGTACACACATTCATAAGAGAACCCAGTCACTGGCTGGGGGCCTTTAAGAGACAGGGATAGGAAAACATGCAGCTATCGAACCCGAGAGGGCTCATCCCCTCAGGCAGGACTGCTAAACAAAGCTGCCAAGTGGCTACCAGCTATGCCCTCAGGATAGAAAACAAGATGGAGGCTTGATTTCACAGCCAAAACTTTGCAGATAATACAGTGATAGTTGGGGGAGCGGTGGGGGGCTGGGGGGGTTGCCTAGCCTAGTAAAACATCTTCTAAAAGAAAAAACATTTTTTAAAGTTAACTTGCTGACTGGGTAGAGAAGGGGAAAGAAAAGAAAAAGTTTAATGCCTGGGGAAGAACGTCTTATTCTTATGCAAGTGGTTCCTCCACCAGGGAGACAAGATTTTTTTGTTCTGTTTTGTTTTTGTTTTTTGAGACGGAGTCTCTCTCTGTTGCCCAGGCTGGAGTGCAGTGGCGCGATCTCGGCTCACTGCAAGCTCTGCCTCCCGGTATTCTCCTGCCTCAGCCTCCTGAGTAGCTGGGATTACAGGTGCCTGCCCCCACGCCCGGCTAATTTTTTTTTGTATTTTTAGTAGAGACAGGGTTTCACCGTGTTAGCCAGGATGGTCTCCATCGCCTGACCTCGTGATCCGCCAGCCCCAGCCTCCCAAAGTGCTGGAATTACAGGCATGAGCCACCGCGCCCCGCCAGGAGACAAGTTTAAGCTTAATCACTGTCCGATATTGTTAAAGCCCTTGGCCAGGGAAGGGGAAGGATGCATGTTGCTGGGAACCAGACAGCCAGCTGTGCGGGACGCTTGGGCCATGCATCCCAGCCCCGGCAGGGAGAGGGGAGCCATGGTGAGCTCCCTGGTGGGTCCTGAAAAAGGAAGGAAAAGGCAGTGAAAAAGTCCAGGAGCGATGGGGGTGGGGGGCGGTAGGGGTGGAGGCATGGTTTCCCCCACCCTCAGAAGTCCGAGGATGAAAAGGCGTAAAAGCAAGAGTGAGAGGTTTTGAGTCCCCACTTCAGTCACTGCTTCTCGAGCCCACACGTTGCACACCAAAAATGTTGCAGGATTCTCCTTAGTTCAGCTAAAGACGGGGGAAGTTCTTGTCCATCCCATGGCCACGAAAATTCAGGCTCGTAGATGGCTTAAAGGGTGAGTAAAACAGGGTTTTATTAGGTAAAAAGGGAAGAAGTGGGGAAACAGGGACTCTTGCAAGGCCAGAGTCCCTCCACTAAAGCGCCTCCTGTCAGGCCGTTTGAATCCCAAGTTCCACACAGGAAGAGGAGGGGCCAGGCCCCTCCCCGATGCAAAGGGCGTGAACTTCCTGAGGCTCTACCTCAGTGGGCAGGCTGGTGGGAGTTTCTCCAGGGACCCGCTCACATCTGGCTGTCTCGGTAAGAATCATCATTTCCTAGCCTGGTCACCCCAGCTTACAAGTATGCATTATTCAAAAGTGGAATGCCATGAAACTGAGGGCTACCGAGGTGGACAGAACACCAAGGCTAAGGTAAACTGCTAGAAAACAAATTACCAGGACTAGTGCTAGATCACAAGATTAAAACTACTAAGGAATTCTGGGTTTGAGTTACTGGTACATCAGATTGAGTAGGAATAGTTTGAAAGCCTATTCCTTTTTTATTGATACATAATATTTGTACATATTTATGGGGTACATGTGATATTTTTGCATAGGAATGTGTAATGATCAAGTGAGGGTATTTCAGATATCCATCACCTCGAGTATTTATCATTTCTGTGTATTGGGGATATTTCAAGTCCTCTCTGCTAGCTGTTTTGAAATATACAGTACGTTTTTGTTAACTATAGTCACCCTACTCTGCTATTAAGCATTACAACTTGTTCCTTCAATCTTACTGTATGTTTGTACCCATCGACCAACCGCTTTCCATCCTCCCTTACACTACCACCCATATGCACACAGATACCCTTCTCAGCCTCTGATGTGTATCATTCTACTCTCTACCTCCATGAAATCAACTTGTTTAACTCTTGCATATGAGTGAGAACATGCAATATTTGTCTTTCTGTGCCCGGGTTATTTCACTTAATATATGACCTCCAGTTTCGTCCATTTATCACTGCAAATGACAGAATTTAGTTCCTTTTATGGCTGAATAGCATTCCATTGTGAATATATACTATATTTTCTTTATTCATTCATCCATTGATAGACAGTTAGGTTGATTCTATATCTTTGGTATTGTGAATAGTGTGTCAATAAACATGGGGATGCAGGTATTCCTTTGATGTACTGATTTCCTTCCCTTTGGATAAATACCCAGTAGTGGGATCACTGGATTGTATGGTAGTTCTGTTTCTAGTTTTTTGAGAACTCTTCATATTTTTTTCCATGATGACTACTAATTTACATTCCCACCTATGGTTTCCTTTTCTCCACATCCTTGCCAGCACCTGTTATTTTTTGTGTGTTTTTTTTTTATGATAGCCATTTTAGCTGGGGTAATATCTCATTCTGGTTTTGATTTGCATTTCCCTGATGATAGTGATGTTGTGCATCTATTCATATGCCTGTTGGCCATTTGTGTGTCTTCTTTTGATAAATATCTACTTATGTCCTTTGTCCACTTTTTAATGGAATTGTCTGTTTGTTTTACTGTTGAGTTGTTTTAATTCCTTGTATATTCTGGATTTTAGTTCCTTGTCAGATGAATAGTTTGCAAATATTTTCTTTTATTCTACAGGTTGTCTCTTCACTCTGTTGATTGTTTCCTTTGCTGTGCAGAAGCTTTTTAGTTTAATAGAGTCCCATTTGTCTACTTTTGCTTTTGTTGTCTGTGCTTTTGAGGCCTTAGCCTTAAAATCTTTTCCAAGATTAATGTTCTGAAGTGTTTTCCCTATCTTTTCTTCTAGTAGTGTTATAGCTTTGGGTCTTATGTTTAAGTCTTTAATCTATCTTGAGTTGCTTATTGTATATGGTGAGAGATAGGCGTCTAGTTTCATTATTTGGCATATGGATATCCAGTTTTCCCAGCACCATTTGTTGAAGAGGGTGTCCTTTCCCCCATGTATATTATTGATGCCTTTGTCAAAAATTGGTTGGCTGTAGGTAAGTATAGTTATTTCTGGGCTCTGTATTGTGCTCCATTGGTGTATGTGTCTGTTTTTATACCACTATCGTACAGTTTTGGTTATAATAGCCTTGTAATATATTTTGAAGTTAGCTAGTGTGATGCCTCCAGCTTTTTTCTTTTTAATCAGGATTTCCTTAGCTATTTGGGCTCTTTTTTGGTGTCATACAAGTATTAGGATTGTTTTTTTCTATTTCTGTGAAAAATATCCTTGGTATCTTGATAGAGATTGATTGAGTCTTTAGATTGCTTTGGGCAATATGGCCATTTTAATAATATTAGTTCTCCTGATTCACAAGCATGGGATGTATTTCTATTTGTGTCCTCTTCAATTTATTTCATCAGTGTTTTGTAGTTGTCCTTGTAGAACCCTTTCACTTCCTTGGTTAAATTTATTCATAGGTTTTTTTTTTTGGTAGCAATTATAAGTGAGATTGCCTTCTTGATTTTTTTTCAGCTAGTTCATTATTGGTGTATATATTTTTGCATGTTGATTTTATATCCTGCAACCTTACTGAATTTATCATACCTAAAGAGTATTGTGCTGGAGTCTTTAGGTTTTTCTAAATATAAGATCATGTCATTTCCAAAGAGGGACAATTTGACTTCCCCTTTTTCAATTTGAATGCCTTTTATTTCTTTCTCTTGCCTGATTGCTCTGGCTAAGACTTCCAGTACTCTGTCAAATAGGAGTGATAAAAGTGGGCATACTTATTTTGTTCCATTTCTCAGAGGAAAGGCTTTCAACTTTCCTCCATGGTGTTAGCTGTGGTTTTGTCATACATGGTCTTTATTACATTGAGGGTTTTTTTTTCTCCTACCCCTAGTTTGTTGAGAGTTTTTATCATGAAGGGATGTTGAACTTTATCAAATGCTTTTTCTACCTCAATTGACATGATCATATGGTTTTTGTCCTTCATTCTGTTGATATGATGTATTGCATTTATTGATTTGTGTATGTTGAACCATCCTTGTATCCCTGGAACAAATCCCCCTTGATAATGGTGTATTATCTTTTTGATATGCTGTTGGATTTGGTTTGATTTGGATTTTGTTCAGAAATTTTGCATCGATATTTGTAATGGTTAATATTAAGTGTCAACTTGATTGGATTGAACGATGTAAAGTATTGTTTCTGGGTGTGTCTGTAAGGGTGCTGCCAGAGAAGATTAACATTTGAGTCAGTGGACTGGGAGAGGAAGACCCACTCTCAATGTGGGTGGGCACCATCCAGTCGGTTTCCAGAGTGGCTAGAAAAAGCAGGTGGAAGAAGATGGAATAAGCTGGGTTGCTGAGCCTTCCAGTTTTAATCTTTTTCCTGTGCTAGATGTTTCCTGCCCTTGAACATCCTGCCCTTGAACAGGTTCTTTGGCCTTTGGACTCTTGGACTTACACCAGTGGTTCTGCCAGGGGCTCTCAGGCCTTCAACCACAGACTGAAGGCTGCACTGTTGGCTTTCCTACTTTTGAGGCTTTGGGACTTGGACTGAGCCATTACTGGCTTCCTTGCTCCTCAGCTTGCCGATGGCCTATCATGGGACTTCACTTTGTGATTGTGTGAGTCAATTCTTCTTAATAAACTCCATTTCATTTATACATATATCCTATTAGTTCTGTACCTCTGGAGAACCCTTACCAATACAATATTTATCAGGGATATTGTCTTGTAGTTTTCTTCTTTTCCTTGAATCCTTGTCTGGTTTTATTGAAAGGGTAATGCTGGCCTCATAGAATTAGTTAGGGAGAATTCCCTCCTCTTAAATTTTTTTTGAAAGAATTTGAGAAGAAATGATGTTAGTTCTTTATAAGTTTGGTAGATTTTGGCAGTGAAGACATCTGGTTCTGGGCTTTTCTTTGTTGGGAGACTTTTTATTACTGATTGAATCTTGTTACTCATTATGGTCTGTTCAGATTTTCTGTTTCTTCCTGATACAATCTTGGCAGGTTGTGTATGGCCAGGAATTTATCTATTTCCTCTAGGCTTTCCAGTGTGTTAATGTATAGTTGTTCGTAGTAGTCTCTGATGATCTTTTGTATTTCTGTGGTGTCAACTGTAATATCTCATTTCTTATTTCTGATTTGTTTATTGGGTTTTTTAAATCTTTTTCTTGATTAGCCTAGCTAGCACTTTATCAATTTTATTTATCTTTTCAAAAAACAAATTTTCATTTTGTTGAATATATATATATATATATATATATTTTTTTTTTTTTTTTTTTTTTTTTTTAGATGGAGTCTCTCTCTGTCACCCAGGCTGGAGTGCAGTGGCGTGATCTCAGCTCACTGCAACCTCCATCTCCTGGGTTCAAGCTATTCTCCTGTCTCAGCCTCCCCAGTAGCTGGGATTACAGGTGCATGCCACCACACCTGGCTAATTTTTTATATTTTTGGTAGAGATGGATTTCACCATGCTGACTGGGCTGGTCTTGAGCTTCTGACCTCAAGTGATCTACTCACCTCGGCCTCCCAAAGTGTTGGGGCTACAGGCATGAGCCGCTGTGCCAGGCCTTTTTATATTGTTTTTCTAGTCATATTTTGTTTAGTTCTGCTTTGATTTTTACTTTTTTTTCTTCTCTTAATTTAGGGTTTGGTTTGTTCTTGCTTTTCTAGTTCCTTGAGGTGTGTCATTAGACTATTTGAAATCTTTCTGCATTTTTGATGTAGGAATTTATTGCTATAAACTTCCCTCTTAGCACTGTTTTTGCTGTACCCATAGGTTTTGGTATGTTGTGTTTCCTTTTTCATTAGTTTCAAAAAGTCTTTTTATTTTCTTCTTAATTTCTTCATTGACCCAAAGTCGCTCAGGAACATGCTGTTTAATCTCCATGTATTTTTACAGTTTCCAAAGTTCCTCTTGTTATTGAGTTCTAGTTTTATTCCATTGTGGTCTGAGAAGATGTTTGATATGATTTTGATTTCTAAATTTGTTGAGAATTTTTTTGTGGTCTAAAATATGGCCTATCCTAATGTGTGTTCCATGTGCTGACAAGAAAAACGTGTATTCTGCAACTGTTGGATTAAGTGTTCTGTAAATGTCTCTTAGGCCCATTTTATCTGAAATGCAGTTTAAATCCAATGTTTCTTTGTTAATTTTCAGTCTACCTGATCTGTGTAATGCTGAGAGTGGAGTGTTGAAGCTCCCAACTATTGTGTATTGGAGTCTATCTCTCCCTTTCAGTCTAATAATATTTGCTTTATATATCAGGGTGCTCTAGTGTTGAGTGTATATTTATGTAAAATTGTTGTAGCCTTTTGCTGAATTAATCCCTTTAACATTACATAGTGTATTAGTCAGGGTTCTCTAGAGGGACAGAACTAATAGGATAGATGTATGTATAGAGAGGAGTTTATTAAGGAGTATTGACTCACACGATCACAAGGTGAGGTTCCACAATAGGCCTTCTGCAAGCAGAAGAGCAAGGAAACCAGTCTGAGTCTCAGAGCTGAAGAACTTGGAGTCTGATGTTCAAGGGCAGGAAGCATCCAGCATGGGAGAAAGATGTAGGCTGGAAGACTGATCTAATCTAGTCTTTCCATGTTCTTCTGCCTGCTTTTATTCTGGCTGTGCTGACAGCTGATTAGATTGTGCAGATTGAGGGTGGGTCTGCCTTTCCCAGTCCACTGACTCAAAGGTTAATCTCCTTTGGCAACACCCTCACAGAAATACCCAGGAACAAAACTGTGCATCCTTTAGTCCTATCAAGTTGACGCTCTATATTAACCATCACACATAGTGACCTTCTTTGTCTCTTTTTACCATTTAAACTTAAAGTCTGTTTTATATGACATAAGTATAGATACTACTGCTTGCTTTTTGTTTCCATTTGCATGAAATATCTTTATTCCATTGCTTTATTTTTAGTCTATATGTCTACAGGTAAAGTGAGTTTCTTGAAAGCAGCATATAGTTGGGTTATGGTTTTTCATCCATTCAGCCAGTCTGCATCTTTTAAGTGGAAAATTTAATCTGTTTACATTCAATGTTATTATTGACATGTGAGAACTTAATTCCTGACATTTTGTTGTTTTCTGCTTGTTCTGTATATCATTTGTTCCCTTCTTTCTCTCTTATTGTTTATTATTGCAGTTTGTGGTTTTCAGTAGTGGTAACATTAGAGTTCTTTCTCCTCTTTATTTGTGTGTTTGCTTTACCAGTGAGTTTTATACTTTCATGTGTTTTCATAATGGTAGACTACAAGAAATGCTTAAGGGAGTCCTACATTTGGAAGTGAATCATCCTTTCATTTCCAGGTATAGAACTCCCTTAAGTATTTCTTGTAGGACTGCTCAAGTGGTGATAAATTCCCTCAGTTTTTGCTTGTCTGGGGAACACTTTATTTCTCCTTCATTTTTAAGGATAACTTTACTGGGTATAGGATTCTTGGCTGACAGTTTTTTTTTTTTCTTCAGCACTTTGAATATATCATCTCAATTTTTTCTGGCCTGCAAGATTTCTGCTGAGAAATTCACTGTTAGTTTAATGAAGATTCCCTTATAAGTGACTAGACATTTTTCTCCTACTGTTTTTGAAATTCTCTCTTTGTCTTTGAATTTTGTGTTTGACTATGATGTGCCATGGATTGTGTTTATTTGGGAATCTCTGAGATTCATATATCTGTATGCCTAACTTTCTTGCTAGACTTGGGGATTTTTCATCTGTTATTTTGTTGAATAGGTTTTCTAATTCCTTTGTTCTCTCTTTGCCTTCTGGAACCTCAATAATTTGACTATTTGGTCACTTTATGGTGTACTATATGTCATGTAGGCTTTGTTTATTCTTTTTTACTCTTTATTCTCTTTTTCTTGTCTGGGTTATTTAAAAAGAACTGTCTTCAAGTTCTGAAATTCTTTCTTCTGCTTAATCTAGTATATATCAGAAGTTCCAAATGTATTTTAGTTTTTATCTTTGAATTCTTTAGTTCTAGGATTTCTTTTTGATTCTTTTTTATAATATCTATCATTTTGGTAAATTTTCATTCATATCCTGAATTTTCTGATTTCTTTGTATCATTTATCTGTGTTCTTGTATATCTCACTGAGCTGCTGCTGCTGCTGCTTCTAGATAGGCTCTCACTCTGTCACCCAGGCTGGAGTGCAGTGGCATGATCATGGCTCACTGTAGCCTCAACCTCCTGGGCTCAAGTGATCCTCCCACCTCAGCCTCCCAAGTAGCTGGGACAGCAGGTGTGTGCCACCATGCCTGGCTAATTTTTTAAATTTTTTTTTTTTTTAATAGAGACAAAGTTTCACTATGTTGCCCTGGCTGGTCTCTTAAACTCCTGGGCTCAAGCAATCCTCCTGCCTCGGCCTCCCAAAGTGCCAGGATTACAGGCATGAGACACTGTGTCTGGCCTCACTGAGCTTCTTTAATATCATTACTTTGAATTATTTTCCCAGCATTTCATACATTTCTTTTTCATTGGAATCTGTTGCTGGAGAATTATTGTGGTACTTTGGAGGTGTCATATTTCCTTGCTTTTCGATTTCTCTTATTACAGTACCTGTGCATCTGGTGTAACAGTCTCTTCTTCCAATTTTTTGGATTGGCTTTCATAGGGGAATACATTTTCCTAAAGCTGTATCTATGGTGTTGGTCAGGAGGGCATTTTAGCTTTGATTCTGGGTGTGCATAGTAGTGTTGTCTCTGTACAATTTCTTCAGCTGTAAACAGCATCAGTAGTGTCTGTTATTTCCTCAGTGGCTTAGGTTGCAGTTTTTAGTGGAAGGTATGGTGAGGTTTTGCTGGGGACAGGGATGGTGGCCAGTTCTCAGGTCCCAGTGGTCATAGTGGCCGGCTGAGGTTGCCTGTCTTTGGGCCCCTGGGAGGTATACATAGTGTTAACACTGCTAACATTGGTGTTAGCAGGTCCAGGTGGGCTGATTCTTAGGCCTCCAGGTGGATTGTTCAGGTGCTGGCTATGGCAGTGGTGGGCTGGGCAAGTAGGTTATTCCTTAGTCCTCTGGATAGGATGTGTGGGATGAGCAATGGCAGTAGTGTTCGTGGGACAACCTTTGGGCTCCAAACCAGCATGTGCTGTTGTTAGCAGTGGCTGTGATGGGCTGTGCACGCCAGTCCCCAGGTTCCCATGTGGTGCATATGGGTGGGCGCTGGTGGTGATGGTAGCAACAGGCTGGGTGGGCCTGTCTTCTGGCCCCTGGGAGAAGTGCATAGATGCCAGCAGTGGGGGGTGGGATATGATGATCCTCAGGCTTCTGGGCATCATGATTGGGCAAAAGGTGGGGGGTGGCTGGTGCTAGGCCACCTAGGCCTGTCATCTGGCCTTCTAGTGGGGTGCATGGGCACAGGCTGTGGTGGGCAGGGTGGGGCAATCCCCAGGCTCCCTAGTAGCACATTCAGGTGGTGGTGGCAGCCATGATGGTGGACTGGGAGAGTCTGTCTTCAGCATATGTGCACACACACTGCAGCCCTGATGCTGGGGTTGGGGGTTGGGGTTGCTGTCAGTGGGAGTGGTCCCAGGGAGGTGGCTCTCAGACTCTGGGAAGTGTGTGCTTTGGCCCCTGAAGCCTATTAAATTTAAAGGAAACTTTATTGCCAGAAAATATTACAGAGTTGGCAGATAATTCCTAGGTCAATCTTTAAGTTGCTTACAGAGAATAGAATGTTAAACCTGGAGTTCTGGAGGCTGAGAAGTCTAAGATCAAGTTTCTGGCATTTGGTATCTAGTGAGGACCTTCTTGCTGCACCGTCACATAATAGAAACCAGAAGGGCAAAAAGGGATGAACTTTATGTCCTTGCATGGCAGAAGAACAGAAGAGAGCAAACCTACTCTTGCAAGCCCTTTTTATAGCAGCATTAATCCTTTCATGAGGACTCTGTCCTCATGACTTAAACACCTTTCAAAAAGCTTCAAAGCTTCATCTTCTATAACTGCTACATTGGTGATTAAGTTTCCAACACATGAATTTTGGAGGCACAGTCAAATCGTAGCAGGAGTTCCTGCTATTTCTATTCCAGTGACTACCACGTGTGGTTTCCCATTCTCCCTTTCTCAAACTGGAGTTTGAATTGTCATTATCCTGTTCTCCTCACATGAGCATGCTGGGCATGCTCAAGTACTTGACTTACTTTCCAGCCTTCAATCACTGACCTTTTTAGCCAAAGCCTATCGGGGAATTATTCATCTTTCAGAGATGCTGGATTTGGAGGTGGATGAATCAACTTGTTGAACCTTTAGGTGCTTTCTTTTGGGGAATGATATGATTTGGCTCTGTGTTCCCACCGAAATCTCATGTTGAATTGTAATTCCCAGTGTTGGGGGAGGTACCTGGTGGGGGTGGGGCGATTGGATTGTGGGGGATGATTTCTCCCTTGTTGTTCTTGTGATAGTGAGATCTCACAAGATCTGATGGTTTAAAAGTGTGTGGGACTTTCTCCTTCACACACTCTCTCTCCTGCTGCCATGTGAAGATGTGCTTGCTTCCCCTTCACCCTTCCACCATGACTGTGAGTTTCCTGAGGCCTCCCAACCGTGCTTCCTGGATAGCCTGTGGAACTGTGAGTCAATTCAAACTCTTTTTTTTATAAGTTACCCAGTCTTAGGTAGTTCCTTATAGTAGTGTTAGAGTGAACTAATACAGAAAATTGGTACCAAAGAAGTGGGGGCATTGCTATAAAGATACTTTGAAATGTAGAAGAAGCTTTGGAATTGGGTAATGGACAGAGGTTGGAACAGTTTGGAGGGCTCAGAAGAAGACAGAAAGTGGTGGGAAAATTCAGAACTTCCTAGAGACCTGTTGAACAGCTTTGCTGAAAATACTGATAGTGATATGGACAATGAAGTCCAGGTTGAGGTGGTCTCAGATGGAGATGTGGAACTTGTTGGGAACTGGAATAAAGGTGAGATCATTTTGTAGCTTTAAGATTTAATGACTGCCCTGCTGGGTTTCGGACTTTCATGGGACCTGTAGTCCCTTTGTTTTGGCCAATTTCTCCCACTTGGAATGGGAGCATTTACCTGATGCCTGTATCTCTGTTGTATCTTGGAAGTAACTAACTTTTTTTTTTATTTTACACGGTCATAGGTGAAAGGAACTTGAGCCATGTCTCAGATGAGACTTCAGACCCAGACATTTGAGTTAATGCTGGATTAAGTTAACACTTTGGGGGACTATTGGGAAGACATGATTGTGTTTTGAAATGTGAGAAGGACATGAGATTTGGGAGGGGCTGGTGTGGAATGACATGACTTGGCTCTGTGTCCCTACCCAAACCTCATGGTGAATTGTTATTCCCAGTGTTGGGGGAGAGACCTGGTGGGAGGTGATTGGATCATGGGGGCAGATTTCCCCCTTGCTGTTCCCATGATAGTGAGTGAGTTCTTACAAGATCTGATGGTTTAAAAGTGCATGGCACTTACCTCTTTGCTTTCTGTCTCTCCTGCTGCCATATGAAGATGTGCCTTGTGCCATGATCATAAGTTTCCTGAGGCCTCCCAACCATGGTTCCTGTACAGCTGTGGAACTGTGAGTCAATTAAACCTATTTTCTTCATAAATTACCCAATCTAAAGTAGTTCTTTGTATCAGTGTGAGAACAAACTAATGTAGGGAGGGACTCAACATACAGCTGACAATTAAGCAGAGAAGGGATCAGAAAGACTGTCTTAAAAAATGCAGCATTTCCCATTTCCAGTTGCCAGCACTGCTGGCCCGACAGTCTTCTTTATTTTTGTCTAATATTTGTCACCTCCTGCACATTACATTTTGCTTATTATCTGTCTCTCCTCATTAGAATGAAGAGCAGGGACTTTGTGTATTTTTTTTATTGCTGTATCCTCAGTACACAAAACTGGGCTGGATATTAAATAAATACTTGTATGATTCAATTTACAGTC
This sequence comes from Homo sapiens, assembly GCF_000001405.40. Classification (NCBI taxonomy): domain Eukaryota; kingdom Metazoa; phylum Chordata; class Mammalia; order Primates; family Hominidae; genus Homo; species Homo sapiens. The sequence continues at coordinate 50,764,737 of NC_000018.10, read as the reverse complement.
AGGAACATTAAATTTTTTCAAGACAGGCAATAAAAAAGAAATGTGCATTTTAAAGAATTAGGAGTTTTTTTTTCTTTGGTTTGTTTTTGTTTTTTGTTTTGCCTCTGTCTGTTCTCCTTAACAGTGATTGTGAATTTTGGCTGAGTGTGCCTCTGACTCCAATTTTCTTGAATGTGGAACAACTTAAAAGGTTGAAAAATAGGAGACGTGAGAAGTTAGGCTGGAACTTCATCCTAACCAGGAAAAGCTGGGGCTGGGGCAGGGTTGAATGGGGAGTTTAACCAACATCCAGGTACCCAAATCCCTAGGGACACTATAGAGAGCCATGACATTGTCTTAGGGTCATATACCAAGACACAGCAGAGGGTGAGGAGCCAGAATGAAAAGAGAGGGGTGTGGAATGCAACATGGTAGGAAGAATCAGTTAAGGAAAAGCTCATGGAAATAAAAATTAAACTATATGCATATGTAAAGTGCTTGAAAAATGTCCTAGAAGGAATAACCCCAAAAAGAACAATAGGAAAGTAGAGATAAAACAAATTACTATTCCAGGAGCCTGACATCTAATCGCCACTCTAGAGAGAGACAAAAGAGAAAACACTAAGGAGGAACTTATCAACTAGTACATGAATATTGACCAGAAAGGAAGTACATAAGTGTCAGATTAAAAATACCTAGCACAATAAATGGGAAAAAAATCCATATCAAGGCATGTCATTGTGAAATTTCATAACAGCAGAAATAAAAATGTAATCCTAAAATCTATCAGAGAGAGAAAGAGAAAAAATATGGGAACAACAACAACAGGCAGAAGAGGTCAGATACAAAGCCTCAGGAAAGAGCCTGGCATGATGAGGCTTCCCAACAGCAACATTGGAAGCTAAGGGACATGGGACACTTTCTTTTCAAAATTCTGGGAGAAAATTGTCTCTTATCTTGAATTCTATTCCCACACATTATTAATTGAGTATGAAACACAATCAAGACATTTTAGATATGACATTTTTTTTTTTTGAGACGGAATCTCGCTCTGTCACCCAGTGGTGCAATCTCAGCTCACTGCAACCTCCACTTCCTGGGTTCAAGCGATTCTTGTGCCTCAGCCTCCCAAGTAGCTGGGATTACAGGCGTGTGTCACCATGCCTGGCTTATTTTTCTATTTTTAGTAGAGATGGGGTTTCACCATGTTGGCCAGGCTGGTCTCGAACTCCTGACCTCAAGTGGTCTGCCCACGTCTGTCTCCCAAAGTGCTGGGATTACAGGCATGAGCCACTGTGCCTGGCCATGAAAAATATTTTTAAAAATTAATCTCCTGCAATAGTCATTAGTGCTATTCAACAAGTATTTTCCATTCTCCTTTTTCCTCTTTGATTTGGTGTGGCCATATCAAATATAAGCAGAAATGATGTGGGATACCTCCAGGTGGAAGCTTCACTATGCTGTTTCCTTTAGTCTGTCTCAGTGAGCTACAATGCTTGTGATAATGACTCTTTGGGTAGCTTAGATTCTGTAGTGAGGAGATGTGGAACATTGCTTCCAGCTGGTAATCCCCAGTGATTATGTCATGGAGTGAGAAATAAACCTTTAGTATTAAAGTTGCTAAATTCTTGAGGTTGTGTGCTACTGAAGCATAAACCATTCTATCCTGATATACCTCCACACACTCTCTCAGGAGGCTCTTGGAGGATAGTTCATCAAAATTAGCAAGTACAACAAAGCAGATGTGATCCAGTAAACCTGGGATCTAGCTCCAGAGAGAGAAGAAGGGTGAAGGTGTGAGTGACAAGAGTAAAGTAGGTCTAGGGAGTCAGGAAAGTTGGTTCTGAGTGGACCAGAGAATAGGGAGCTCTGTGGGGGAAACTCAAGGGGAAAATGGAACTGACAGAAGACTTGACAGGTTGACAGTATGTAAGTTTTGATTGAAAGATATTTTACAGAGCTGTTGGAGGTTGTGGGAAGTCTTAAAACCATAAGTTTAAGAAAATGATTGGAATAAAAAAAGACAATTATTAACTCCAGGAAAAACAAACTATAAGAAAGGAAATGTAATCAGAGAACATTACTTAGCTCAATAATAAACATAGAGTAATAGATTCTAATGTGTTGTCTTTTTTTTTTTTTTTTTTTTTTTAATGGAGTCTCACTCTGTGGCCCAGGCTAGAGTGCAGTGGCATGATCTTGGCTCACAGCAACCTCTGCCTCCCAGATTCAAGTGATTCTCCTGCCTCATCCTTCCGAGTAGCTGGGACTACAGGCATGTGCCACCACATGCGGCTAATTTTTGTATTTTTAGTAGAGACAGGGTTTCGCCATGTTGACCAGGCTGCCCTTGAGCTCCTGACCTCAGGTGATCCATCTTTCTTGGCCTCCCAAAGTGCTGGGATTACAGGTGTGAGCCACCACGCCCGGCCCAGATTCTAAATATAAACTTAATTCAAAGTCATAACTTCATTAGGATGTAAGGAGCAGAAAGGGATGTGGGATAAGACCTCAATTTTTATGTCTGTGATAAGAAGTCAGTAGATGATGTCTAAAGTTGTTAAACCAAGAGTAATCACTAGAGCAGTATTAGTAGATGGACAGTATATGCTAGCTATAATTATTATTACTTGTAATTCTGTGAATTTATAGTGATTTTTATTATAGGATGCTGTGACTGTGTTAGTCAAGTGGCCCATCGTTGTCACCTAGGCTCCCTTGTGCACATCTACCCCCTTCATAGTTGTCCTAGAGGTTGAATAGTGGTTAGTGGTGGTGTTGCTGTTACGGTTATTTTCCCATTCACTAAGTGCCGGTCACAAGAAGGGATCCAGGGGCTCAGATACGAAAAAGACAGGAAGACCTCCTTCACACTCCTGCCTGAGTGTGTGGTTAAGTTGTGATTCACAGGGATATGACTTTTTATAGTATTTCCCAAGGTGAAGGGGATGGAAACCTATTCTCCTATTTCAGAAAGTTGAGATGTCCCTTGAACAGAATGAGATTCCTTAGGGATTACATTTGTTGGGCAGAACTGAAACTGAGAGGTGAACTTAATGTCATTTAATAGTGCCCTATTCTGACATTTGTGGGTCACAGGGATGTGTGAGTTAACCTAGATAGCAGAACAGTGGCTGTGACAGTGAAACTCTTGTAAAGAATGCATGAAAAGGTCGGGTGCAGTGGCTGACACCTATAATCCCAGTGCTTTGGGAGGCCAAGGCGGGCAGATCACTTGAGGTCGGGAGTTTGAGACCAGCCTGGCCAACATGGTTAAACCCCATCTCTATTAAAATTACAAAAATTAGCCGGGAGTGGTGGTATGTGCCTGTAGTCCCAGCTACTGGGGTGGCTGAGGCAGGAGAATTGCTTAAACCCGGGAGATGGAGGTTGCAGTGAGCCAAGATCATGCCATTGTACTCTAGCCTGGGCGACAGAGCGAGACTCCATTAAAAAAAAAAAAAAAAAAGAATGCGTGAAAGATTGTAACTCCTACAACGTCTAGCAAGTAACTTGAATGAGTCCTGAAAGTAGATAATGTGTTAGCCTTTCTCTAAGTTCATTTAGGCTTCTCTAACAAAATACCTTAGACTGAGTAATTTATAAACAACAGGAATTGATTGCTTAGAGTTCTGGAGTCTAAGAAGTCCAAGATCAAGGTGCAAGCAGATTCAGTGTCTTTTGAGGGTCTTGTTCTTCATAGATGGCACCTTCTGCTGTGTCCTCACATGGTAGACATGGTAGAAGGGGTAAACACACACACACACATACCCCTCCCTCGGACTTCTTTTATTCAGGGCATTAATCCCACTCATGAGGACAGAGCTCTCATGACATAATCACCTCCCAAAGGCTGATCCTTTTAATATCCCCTTGGGGATTAGATTTCAACATATGAGTTAGAGGGGATAAAACATTCAGATCATAGCAGCCTTGAGCCCATGTCTGGCTATCAGTAGCAGATCCAAGAGAGAGCAGAAGGAAATTTTAGATGTGCCAGAAGAAGCAGAATTAGGATGTGATAGGGAGGGGGCAGTTCTGTTGGGTCCAGAGCTGCCACCAGAAGTGGGAAGGGTTGGGAGTAGGGTACCTTGGGTAGCCTGAGAGCTGTACTCCCCTATTGGGAGGTAAGTTGAGTGCTACCTGACTTGAAAGTCCTGGAGGACCTCTGGTTGGTTCAGGAGATGAAGCCTAGGTGCTCTGAGAAGCTTCCAGAACCAACTAGATTGGTAGATAGTCTGTGCCAGACCCAAGAATATGGTTCCCACTCCCAAGCCACAGAGAACTCCCAATCCACCCTCTTTGCCTCCAGATAGCCCTTGCAGGGAGGGGCTGTGGGCTGCATGCACTGGCAAGGCAGGATGGGAAAAGATGAGGCAAATGACTGAGCTGAGGGGAACAGAAAGACCCCAGGGAGAAGCAACAGCTCCCCTTCACCTCCCTGTGCTTTCATCTGTATCCATTTGTTCGTTCAGACCCTGCCTTGTTTCAAAGAAATCAAGATAGATTATTCATCTTCATTGACCAGTTTATAGCTCAGTTCCCCCCTCCTCCGTCTAGCCCTAGCATTTCTTTGCGGTTTTCCTGTGTCTTGCAAGTGCCCACTTTTTGTCCCTGCTTGATTTTTTTTTTTTTTTTAAGACAGGGTCTCACCCTGTCACCCACACTAGAGCGCAGTGGTGCCATCTTGGCTCACTGCAACCTCTGCCTCCTGGGCTCAAGCGATTCTGCCATCTCAACCTCCCAAGTAGTTGGGACTACAGTTGTGTGCCACCACACCTGGATGATTTTTGTATTTTTTGTAGAGATGGGCTCTCACCATGTTTTCCAGGCTGGTCTTGAACTCCTGAGCCCAAGTGATCAGCCCACCGTGGCCTCCTAAAGTGCTGGGATTACAGGCATGAGCCACTGTGCCTGGCCCCCGTGCTTGATCTTTTGACTAGTTTTGATTCATGTCAGAAACTAAGAGGTACTTTGTATTTTGTTGTTGAAGAATAAAATAGAGGCCAGGAGGCCTTCTCTGGCAGTTCTGCAGTACAGGCAGTACTTTGGTTGGATGGCCACATGGAACAGCCCAGATAATTCACACTAATTTAGCAGTCATTTGCACCACTCAGTCGGAATCTAACATGCAGCTTCTTTGCCTCATTGCTTCCCAAGACCTCAGAGAGGAGCCTTTGGTGCAAAGTGTTCTGGAAGCATGGAGCTTTCAGATACATTTATTATCACTTATTTGGATATAATTTATGTTTTCCGCTTAACATGAAAAAGGCTAGAATGTATAATGTTTGCCAAAGATCCACTGATTTTCTTTAAAGGGTTTTAACTATGCATTAGAAGGATCAGCCTTCTCTGTTCATTCCTTATTTTTCACCTGGAAATTTCTTATGGCAACAGTGAAAGTGGTTGTCCAACCCATATGCCTTTATGAAGCTGACCTCTCTCCTGTCATGCATAAGACCTTGGAAGTTCTGACTTTTAAGCCAGACAAAGCCAGGAAGAGCTGCAGAATCCAAGCAAATGTCATTTTGATGGATTTAAATGGATTCATAGATTGTAGGGAGTACATGAAATGAATTCATAGTAGCATCAAGTAAATAGATAGTCAAATCCCATCAAATGTCTGCCATCCTGGTTTTGGGTTAGATACAGAATCATTAGACTTAAGAATGAGGTAATATGTAACTTGAATTCAAGCAACTTCATCATCTATCAAATGATCTTAATTCAGGATCATCTCTCAAATGTACTTAAGCTTCATCTGTTAGCACTACTTTACTTATAAATGCATGTTGCAAGAAGAAATGTTCCTTTATCTATGTTCCTAATGTTAAGAAAGCTAGTTTGTTCATTTTATAGGAGTTAATTTGAGCCAGACAAGTGATGTCACAGTGAATTAATTTGTCACCAAGATTGTTGGGAAAAATCAACTTCCTATGACAAATGTAGCTTAGAACTTCAAGTGAACAAATGCTGTTTTCTACAATAAACATCCTCTGTAATGTATTTACATAAAACAAACACATTAGTCTTAAGATTATAAGCCAAAATCTTTGGAACTACAAAAATAAAACTTTCAATATTACAGCACAGATCATTGGACTTTCTAGCAAACTAGACGAGATTTCAACTCTGAGGACAAGATACAGACTGGTGATAGAATTAGCTTACGTTTTTTGTTCACAGTTGTGTAAATATGCACTTTATTTTCCTTTTCTACCTAATAAGATTTAATGGCTACATCAGGACTTATTTTTTCAAAGCACCTGTATCAACAGTCTCTCATGTTTTTAGGGTTGTTCCTGGGCAGTTGCTAACCGGGCCTTGGAAACTCTGCTTTCCTCCACATTTTCTAGCCAAAGCTAATTCATGATTTTATAGTTTGTAATCTCTGTTTCCACAATTCCATTGGAAGGCATGAACTTAGATTCCCATTGGTGTGGTAACTGTGGAAGATGGCTCGGTTACAGTTTTTCTTTTCTTTTCCTTCTTTCAACTTTTTTTTTTTTTAAGAGATGGAGTCTTGCTTTGTTCCCGAGGCTGAAGTGCAGTGGCACAATCATAGCTCACTGCACTCCTTGATCTCCTGTGCTCAAGAAATCCTTCCACCTCAGCCTCCTGAGTAGCTGAGACTACAAGGGCATGCTACTGCGCCCAGCTAGTTTTATTTATTTATTTTATTTTGTAGAGACAGGCTCTTACCATCTTACCCAGGCTGGTCTCCAACTCTTGGGCTCAAGTAATCCTATCCTCCCTCTTCAGCCTCCCAAGATACTGGGATTGTAGGTGTGAGCCATGGTGTCTGGCCTTTCACAGTTTCTGATCTCAAATCCTGTCAAAATCTCTAGCCAATTTGCAAAATGGCCCAGCTGACAGAAAACCTGAAAATTTGCTTGAAATCCCTCTAATTGCTTAGAATTACTTAATTGTTTCCTTAGTGGGCACTGTGGCGTTATGTGTCCCCCTGAAAAGAGATACACTGATGTCCTCATCCCCAGTACTGCAGAATGTAGCCTTATTTGGAAATAAAGTCTTGCAGAGAACCAAGTTAAGATGAAGTCATTCGGGTGGGCCCCGATCCAGTACTTGTGTATCCTTATAAAAATGGGAAATCTGGATGCCAGCATACACAGAAGGAAGTTGATGTGAAGACGCACACAGGGAGAAAGCCATGTGAAGATGGAGGCAGAGACTGGAGTGATGCAGCTGCAAGCCAAGGGACGCTAAGGATTGTGGGCCACCACCAGAGCCAGGGCGGGGCAAGGAAGCATTCTACCCAGAGTCTCAAGGGAGCGTGGCTCTGCTGACACCTTGATTTAAGACTTTCAGCCCCTAGAACTCTGAGATAATACGTTTCACTTGTTTTAAGCCACCCAGGTGTGGTACTTTGTTATGGCAGCTCTGGTGAATCTTTTAACCCTGGGGAGATTTAGAACTGAGAACAGAGATTATGAAGCAAATCAAACCCCTAGTATGACTATTGTGTAAAATCTGGGAATAATTTGTGTGCATTAGCATTTGTCTTAGCCAGCATTCACCTTGGAAAGCAGAGCTGAGAGGAAGCTCAGGGGCAGGTAGTTTATCTGATAAGGGATATAGGGAACAGGAGTAAAACAATAAAACTGGGTGCATAATTGACTTGGTCATTGCTACGGGCAACTGATGCTCCATCCTTCTGGGCACTTCTGAGGAACCATGTGGAATAAGCCTCAGGTTTGTCTGCCGGAAAAATGGTAGAGGAGATCCTTTATCCACTGGCTTCATTCTCTCACTGGATATCCCGTACACTTCTGGGGTCAGTCTCTCTCTCTCTCTCTCTCTCCCCCTCTCCCTCTCCCTCCCTTCTCTCTCTCTCTCTCTCTCTCTCTCTCTCTCTCGCTCGCTCTGTGTGTGTGTGTGTGTGTGTGTGTGTGTGTGTGTGTGTGTTTATGAATGTAGAGCAGTTCCCAAGGAGCCCTTTGCCATAGCGTCTGAATGTCTGAGAATTACACAGGTACAAAGCAAGAGACTGAAGCTGAGAGGTGCTGTCTGGCCTCACCTGTGGTTACTACAGGAGTGATTAAAGCAAAAGGTAGGCTGTGAGGGTGTGAGGTAGGACCCAAGTGGTGTTATTAGTCCATTTTCATGCTGCTGTTAAAGACATACCTGAGACTAGGTAATTTACAGAAAGAGGTTTAATGGACTTACAGTTCCACGTGGCTGGGGAAGCCTCAGAGTCATGGCAGAAGGCAAGGAGGAGCAAATCACATCTTATGTGGATGGTGGCAGGCAAAGAAAGGATGAGCTTGTGCAGGGAAACTCCTCTTTTTAAAACCATCAGATCTCATGCATCTTATTCACTATAATGAGAACAGCACAAGAAAGACTTGTCCCCATGATTTAATTACCTCCCACTGGGTCCCTCCCACAACATGTGGGAATTCAAGATGAGATTTGGGTGGGGACACAGCCAAACTGTATCAGGTGTCCAAAAGTATTTGGAGAATTTGGCTAATTACAGTCCCGAGCAATCAATTTAAATTCTAAGCTGAAAACTGCAAGAGAATCTTAGTCTATAAATAGCATAGGCACATTTAAAAGAACTTCATCATTGTATTTATAAACTTGATTTAGGAGATTTGTAAGAATCACTTTAGTACTTGGAAAAGTTGGTTAGCTAGACAACTGAATTATTTTAAAAAGGGAATTTATTATGTTGGGTTTATAAATACAGATAAAATATTCCAAGGAATTAAGTTATACAAATCTTCTTAAAATTATTGTGAAATTTGAAAGATTTATAAATTGAATACTATGTCTAAATTGAACTTAAAAACATAGGGAAAACTAAGCCTTTGAATTTGTTTCTGTAATAATTGGCTTTAAATACCAAAGTAAATTCTGAAGATTATTTTTCATGCACAAAAAAAGCTATCTCTAAAGACTAAAAACATTTACGGTTGTATCTTCAAATCATGTGAAAATTATTCTTTTCTACACTGTTCATCTGAAAAGTGGGTTCTTAAAAAGGGGGTTAAATACAGTAGTCCCCCCCTTATCCAAGGCAGATACGTTCCAAGATGTTTCATGGGAGCCTGAAACCTTGGATAATACTGAACCCTATATATTCTATGTTTTTTCTACACACATATATATGGATGATAAGGTTTAATATATTAATTAGGCACTGTAAGAGATTAACAACCATAACTAATAATAAAATAGAACAATTATAATATACTATAAGGAAAGTCTTTTGAAACTTATGAATTGTTTATTTCTGAAGTTTCCCATTTAATGTTTTCAGACCATGGTTGATCCTGGATAACTGAAACCGCCAAAAGTGAAACTGTGAATAAGGGGAGACTACTAGATAAGATATTCACTTAATTAGCAGCTTAAATTTTGTATCAATTGGAGTTCTTTGGTTGCAAACAACAGAAATCAATTTTGGCAAAGCAAAGGAAACTTACTAGAAGGATTCTGGTAAATTTCACAGATAATCAGTGAAAAGGCTAAGAGCCAATCTCTGAAATGGAGAGAAACCAAGTTGGCTCTGGGAGTGTGAGCAGGGTATTTGGGCTCTGCATTAGGTAGGTTCAGTTGCAGGTATGAGAAGCTACTCTGGTTCTTGTCAGCAGAGAAGGATTTAATACAGGGAGTTGGGTGCTTACAAAGTCCATGCAAAGGCTGCAGGAGCAGACTGTAGACCACTAGAAGATTGACCTGCTGAGGGTATGCTAACTTTGCCACTGCCAGGAAGACTGAGGTTGAGGAAGCTGCTTTCCTGTGAGCTGTCTTTTTTCTCCCACTACCCTCACCTCTTGTGGTAACATGCAGTGGAGGGTCATCCTTGTGAACTGGGGTCAGCCCAGCATCCTTAGTTGGGGCTTTGATTTTGTCCTGGTGCTTCTACTGCTGCACAACTGTCCCAATGCCCAGTGGTATAAAACAATAGCCATGTTATTATGCCATGGATTCTGTGGGTCAGGAGTTCAGATAGGGTTTTGTGGAAATGGCTTTGTCTGCTCCATGATGTCTGGGAAAACTTGAACAAAAAGGGCTGGAGTCATAGGCAGCTTCTTCGCCTACATATCTGGTGTGGGTCTGAAGGGTGGGCTTAGCTGGAATTGTCAACCAGAGCATGTATGCATAGTCTCTCCGTGATGGTATCTTAGGACAGTGGAACCTCTTACGTGGAGGCTCAGTTCTCCAAAAGCACAGGTTCCAGTCAGCAAAGTGGAAACTGCCTGTTTTTTTATGACCCAGCCTTGGAAATCACACAGCATCACACTTCTGCTGTACTCTATTGGTCAAAGCAGTCACAAGCCCACTTAGCAGAGGGGACTTGGACACCATCTCTTCATGGGAGGGGTGGGGATATGGACACCATCTCTTCATGGGAGGGATGTTAAGAATTTGCAGCCATGGTTTGAAACTACCATGGTTTCATTCTTCTGAGGTCTAACACTCCCAGGTTATAGTACCCTTGTTTTCCATTAATCTTGACTGCCCCGGTAGCTACAAATCAGAAACCCACCTATAACCATGTAGCTGGAGGTCCTTAGCCAGGGTGCATGGCTTACTATGATATTGATCCTCTCAGCCCTTGGGACTGGAGGGGTTGTGGGGTCCTGGGTCAGCTGGAGGATCTGGGCTGGTCCCCACCAGCCAGAGTGATCTCATCAGTCACTCTGATAGTTGATACACATTTAATCATTTTCTAGGTGTACCTCAAGGTGAAAAAAGTTGGGGTGCACTGCACTAGACCATAAGCTTCTTGCAGGTAGGAACCTTATTTGCTTTCTCCGTCACTATACCCCCAGGGTGCCTGACATAGCAGGGCTCAATAAACAGATGAATGAATGAATGAATGAATTTGTGCTAACACTCATGAGGTGGAAGCAGCCATTGCGGCTTTGCCTGTCTTTGTCTGTTAGGGGAGGACCATCTACAGGAGTTACCAGGAGTGTCCTGAAATAGTGGGCCACTCTCCCCATCACAAGTCCTTGGTTCCAGGGAGCAAGTTTCCTTTGTCCCTTTATCCATGAGTTCAGGGTTTTCATCATCACTTGGAGTCCCACTAGCCAATTGGTGCCTCCTTAGGCTCTGATCAGCTGAGAAAGAAAAAAGGGAGTTTGAAGGGGAAGAGAGACAAAGCAGAAGCACTGCAGCAGAAAAGGCTCTCCCTGCCTTCCCCACTCCCTGCCATAGGTTTCCCCCAAGCCTCTGAGCCAAGGCCTCCAACCCTGGGGTTGCAGCCCAGCCCAGCCATGGACCAGCTGTGTAGTTGTAGAGAGACAGCACCGAAACTCCTGCCCTCAGAGTTCTCTTCTGGAACCTGCCTCCCTCATGAGGCTGTGTTGAGGTCACAGTGCTGCCCACAGTGCAGGCTCTGAAGTCCTCAACAGGAAAGAAGGTGCAGTTGTCTTTAGTTGCTCTATGGCTGTGATATTTATCTCTGTTTCCCCAGCCAGGCCCTGGGGGACAGTAGACCCTCACTCCATATTTGTTCATTGAGGAAATAACTGAAGTGATTTTTAATTGTCCTGGTTTTGTAGGCCAGAAAACGATGGCACAGGAATAGAGTGGCCTGACTTGAGTTTAGAGTGACGGTAACAGTTTCAGACTGACACTTACTGAATTGCCAGCTGTCTCCTGGCCTCCAGATATCCTCATTTCTTTTTTTTTGAGACAGAGTCTCACTCTGTCTCCCAGGCTGGAGTGCAGTGGTGTGATCTCAGCTCATTGCAACCTCCAGCTCCCAGGTTCAAGCAATTCTCCTGCCTCAGCCTCCCAAGTAGCTGGGATTACAGGCGTGCGCCACCACACCCGGCTAATTTTTGTATTTTTAGTAGAGACGGGGTTTCACCACATTGGCCAGGCTGGTCTCGAACTCCTGACCTCAAATGATCTGCCGCCTCGGCCTCTAAAAGTGCTGGGATTACAGGCGTGAGCCACTGCGCCCAGCCCAGATGTCCTCATTTCTTATTGTCCATGTCAGCTGGAACAACGAGGCCCAAGGATCAGATTCAAACCATGGCTGCCACGGAATGCAATCTTTATAAATCCAGCCTCCTTTTCTCCTAACTCAGTCTGTTCCTGCTCTTATAGTTTCTTCCCTGATTCTGATGGAAGTTTGGCTCCATGGACCAAGTCTGCATGTCAGGGTGTTGGAGACAAGAGTGGATGTTTCTGAACTAATGGTACAGGGAAGAGGTGAGCCCATGCTTCTGGAGAGTGCTGAAGTGAGAGGTGGCTAGCACAGACTTCTCCCTGCAGGTGCATAACCCCAAGGGTTCGGTATCTTTCCCTGTCCCAGAATCTCCAGTTGTCCCACTTGGTGTTTGCATTCTGCATGTGTCCAGATATATATATATATATATATATATATATTTTCTTGGCTCCTGGAACAGGATTGTCATTGAGGAAGCTGGTGGGGAGCGTGCTGTTAGAGACACTCAATAGGACAAATAGCTCATGGGGGTAAGTACACAGAAATCAAATTGAGTAACATTCTAATTCATAGGAAAACAAGCCCCTGGGTAGCTTGTGCCAGATGAGGTAAGTGGAGAGCATGATGTCACTGTTCCAGACATAAGTCTCCACCTCTTTGGTGTCCCCACTCCTTCTCCCCTTTTCTGCTTTTCCTTTTTTATCCTCCCCCATTGCCTCCCTCCCCCATTGTCTCCCTCCCTGCCCCTTTACTCTCAGGGTAAGCTGCATTCCTTGCTCTGTCTCCATTATTCTTGGGGGCATCTTCTCTGGTTTCCAAGGGCACCTTTTGACAGGTGACAAGCATCTCCCAGGGGAAAGAGTCCTAACAGTGGAAACTCCTTCCCCACCTTGTGGGTGGGCGGGATGTTTTTTATGTTTGGGATCATTTTCTAGTCCTCAAGTTATATCATGTAGAACCTACGTATTAGGCTGGCAGTTCAGAATTCAGCTGGGTAGACCATTTGGGCAGGTGGGAAATGATGAGATGAGATTAACTTGGTTCAGAAGCAAGTCTGGTCTGTGTTGCCGGCCTGAGGGGACCAGCCGCTGCCCCTTCCAGCCTGGACCACGTGGTCAGCAGACACAAGACAGGTTGCTCCTCCCGCTGGCTCCTCTGGAGCCTGATCTAATTATCCTCTCCTCCAGCCTTTGCAGCAGCTGCTGGCTGCATTCTCCTCAACTCCTTCCCCTCTCCCTGCCTCCCCCAACCTATTAGTCCTTGCACTTCCTGGTAATTCCATCTCCCAGCATTTGATCCAATTTGGGGGTTCATGGCTTCCAAGAAGTGGCAGATGGAAGGCATCAGAGTCCCCCCTAAGTGAAGAATTGGCTTGGAACTTTGCCCCTGTCAGACTGGTGATGCTCAAAGCATACTAGTAGTCATAGTGGGTAAGTTTCAGCCAGCCATCCAGGTGTGTGTGAACCTTAACTCCTCCTTTTGAAGTAATCCTGCAGACTGCACATGCATTAGGACTTTGTAATATGTTGCACTTCTAGACCTGCCATCCCAATGGATCAGCTCAATCATGAGATGCAGATGAGGCAGGGTTCCCACTCCCCACTGACATGTGTGGGCAGGCAAAGGCTCAGAGAGATGAAGGACTGGACCTCAGATACTAAGACCTGGATCTCCCGTCTCCTGGACTGGTGATCTTGCTACTACACACATGTACTCCAAACCTTTGTCTTAGTCCATCTGGGCTGCTATAACAAAATTCCATAGACTGGGCAGCTTGCTGGGAAGTCCAAGATCAAGGCAGATTTGGTGTCTGGTGAGGGCTTGCTTTCTGGCTGATAAACAGTGCCTTCTCAGTGTGTCCTCACATGGTGGAAGGAGCCAGGGGTCTCTCTCAGGCCTCTCTAATAAGGGCACTAATCTCATTTATGAGGGCTCTGCCTCCATGATGTAGTCGTCTCCCATAGACCTCATTTCTAACACCATCACCTTGGGGGTTAGAATTTCACCATATATAGGACGTCAACATTCAGACCATAGCAGCCTTCCATGCCTTGTGTCTGCTTCCCCAGAGGCCACTCTCCTTTCCTTGGCCCCAACCAGGTGTCACCCTGAGCTTCCCATTCTGTGTCCCCCAACCTGAAGACCAAGCCCCTGCTTCCCTTCAGTCCACTGTGGACTTCATGAGTGCTGGCCAGGGACCCTCTGGGTATCTGCCTTGCAGGCAGACAGTCCCAGGGTCTCCAGTTCTGCTCTCACTTCCCTCTCAGCAGAGTAGAGGCCATTTTCTGTCCTGTCCTGAGACTTGGCCCTCTCCCCGACCCTCCCCTTGACACTAGTTCAGTGGGTATTTTTCAATATCTTCTTAGCTTTATGATGTATCCAAAAATAATACACCTCCTCCTATGATTTCCAACCATTACCCCCTCTGCTCAGTGTGTTGGGGTTTGCATTTCAAAGCCCTGATTAAAATTGCCTAACTTCTCTTCATAGTTTGCACTTGCTCCTCTCCTCCCCAAGGCTGGTTAGGAACAACAGCAGCACCAAGGTAAGTGGCTAGTGGTTCCTTTAACAGCTGTCATTGTTTCTCTGCTTCCCCCCTGTTCCCACACTCCAGAAGAAGGGAGCCAGGGGGAGGGGTTACAGGATCAAGGAAGCTCTGGACAGGTGATGCACAGTCGGGCAGTGTGTTCCTGGTGGAAATCTAGAGTGACTTCTCTCTGGGCTGCTTTGTCCTGCGGTGTTTCTCAGTGGGATGTCATGATGTGAGGAGTGACAGTGGCAGCCTGGATTTCAGCACCATTGTCAGCCCTCGGGGCTGCAGTGAGAATCCTTTCCCCGCCCCCCACCTTCCTGGTGGGACACCTCACTCACCTTCTCTGGACTTCTGCAGTTAGTTTTAGCTTAGAAGAACACAGTTTTCCTTTGTGCATTATCTCAGCCCCCAAAGTGAACGTATTTAGCCTTTGTCTTAGGTAGTTTACATGGGCGAATTTATAGATCATGTGAGAAACCTTTCTGCTTTGTAATCTTCACACACAACAAGCCACACTCTTCACCTTATTAGCAGAGCGTCCCTGAACTGGAAGTACGGTTATTAACACTGAGGCCTCTGACAAGTGAGGGTTCATCGCCAAATCCCAGTCTGATTGTTATTAACCTGTCATTTGTTTGGTTCCCAAACCTGTAGTGCTGCAAGTCATGGAAACAGACCATTAAAGATGACATCAGACCTTCCAGGGAAGGTCAAAGGCTGCCCTGCATTGGTGGGCGGGTGGTAACCGTGGGGAGGGTGAGATGAGGGGACAGTAGACCATTTCTGTCTCCCAACTCTTTCTTGCCATCTCTCTTACCTTTGGGCCAAGGGGTGGGGCTTGGGAGGTTTCCAGCCTGGCCCTTGGCAACATGGCACCTCCTCGGGATGACTTTAGGGAACTCAGGGGAACAGTTATTTAATAGTTACCTTATAGCAAATTCTCTCAGATGGAAATCACTGCAGGGTCCTGGATTCTGATTTCTATCTCGGCACATGCAAACATCCCCATGGTAACCCTCCTTGGTCCTTCCTCTTGTTAGTAACCTGCCACCGATTCTGACGGTGAAAGCCTGACCCTGTTGAGCAAGTCAGCAGCATCTGATCACTGGCCAGTATTTGCAGTGGATCTGTGACCCATTTGACAGAAGATGGGCCGGAGCTCTGAGAGTAGAGAATTCAGAGCTTGATTTAGATCTGTCAGCCCAACCTACTCCCACATGTCCAGAGAGTCCATTCCTGGGATTCCAGATCATGAATACTAATGGCAGATCTGTCATCCTGCTGTTCTGTGCAAATGAAATGCCTCCTCCAGGCTGGGCTGACCCTGGTGAGAGAACAAGCCTTGAAAAGACCCTGACATGGTTGATTTTCGCCAGGGGCCACCACAGAGAGGTGTGAAAAGAGTAGAGGGAAAAAATTACACAAAGCAACTTGGAGGTTTTGCTGGCAAGCAACCAGAGTGTTATCAGCAATCTGTTCAGATCTGCTCTGGCCATTGAGGCCGGATTCCTGCGTTGCCTTATTCTTGCATTGCCTTCTGAAGCAGAGCTGCGTGTTGGGGCTGGAGAACAGCTGGGGAGCTGCAGGATAATCACTCTCACAGCTAGGCTGGGGCTCATAAAACTTTAACAGCAGCTTCACAGAGCCTAATCCTATAACCCTAGCAGGCTCACCCACCCTTCCTCTTTGAAGTCGAGTTTCTTTCTAGAAGAGAAAAGCCAAGAAGTGACCTGTTTGTCACTTGCACAGCAGGGACCCTGGCCTGAGCCCCAGGAGAGGGAGGCAGGTCTAGGCTTGCTTGGGGCCTGGTGGCGGGAACCTGCTGGGAGCCTATTTGCCTGAGGAGACCAAGCCCCTCCCTCTGCCTTTATTTAAGGAAAGGGAGCGTTCAAGCAGTAGGAGGAGGCAGGAAAAGGGAAAATGGCAGTCTTTGTAGAACTTAGAGCCTCAGGCAGCCACAGGAAGGGGCTCTGAGTAGGGCTTCTGTGTTACTCCCCTGCAGCTCCTGCAGTCACAGCAGCTGCCATGTGAACATCAGGTCCCCGTGGCCTCCACTGCAAGCATGCCCTCTCTGAGCCTGAGCTGAAAGGGGGACATGGGGTGGCCAAGATGGCTTCTTTGGTACACAGGTAAGGTGCCTCTTGGTGACTTTAGAAATTATTGGAGAAGAAACTGGCTAGGGCTGAAAGTCTTGTAACATCAGGAGTTCAAAGAAAAACTTTGGACAAATTAAATTTAGCAGAATTTATTTGAGCGAAAGATGATTCATGAATTGGACAGCACTCAGAACCAAGAGAGGTTCAGAGGGCTCTGCTTTAGCAGCATGAGCAGAGGGCTTTTATAGGCTGAAAGCAGAGGCAAAGAATTATTTGATGGGCTGCAGGCAGGTATTTGCCTTGTTTGGGTATGATCTGGTGGCAAGTCCCCCAGTTAGAGGTTAGTTGTCAGTTTCTGACTGATCAAGCTTAAGTTTCATTTTATTGCTGACACTGGCCTTTGTTCGTTTATGTAGGAACCCAAGGTGCCGGAACAGTGTAAGCCTAATGGCCTCCCAGTTAATTTTTTTTTAACACAGTCTAGAGAAGAGGCAAAGACATGCTGTCCACATTGGTCTCAGTACCACAAGGCTAGCTTACCTCTCAGGTTATCAGGTCTGGGAAACATGGCAATGTAGGTTTTTGTTTGTTTGTTTAATCATCCAGCCCAAAATGTCAAGCAATATAGTTTTTAAAAGGAGAAATTATCAACACGGATTTCACCTTTAAGGAAAGATCCACTAAAGGGCTTCTGGTTAGTGAATAGGCCAACCCAGGAAGGTCACACCTGAAAGACTAAATGCTTGCAGTGTTTGCACAAGTTATGAAGCTGTGGACAGGTACAGACACCTCCTCCTCCATCTTCACCAGGTCTTATTCTCAGCCTCCTGCAAGTTTCTGCCCCAGAGTGGGGCTTGCTCCTGGCCTGATCTGGCTTTCCCTCTCCTGAGAGGGATTTCAGATTCTCTATCTAGGAAAACAAAAACAAAAACAACAAAAAAACCCAAGTTATCCCAGAGGGCCTTTCCCCAACTCTCCCTGTGGAAATTCACTTCTTTATTCTCTGTCCAGTTTAACTTCTAGCTCCTTTACCAAGTGGTCACTGATTCTTCCACTTGCTTTTTAGTTTCTGTTTCTTGAAAAGAGATTCTGTTGCAGGCTCATGCTTTTTCTGCCCATTTCATCAAAACCAGCCTGATCTCTATCCCTTTCTCTGCAACCTGTTCCAAATCTAGCTGAGCTGATGAAGGAACTCAGGCTAGTGAAATGCGTTGTTTCTTCTGGGTAGTGTGGTTGCATGTGATCTCAATGGTGTGGCTGTTAAGGGCTAGAGGTTGGCATCTGGGAACAGATTAGAGTGGGAAAGAGGGTCTGGGGGTCTTCTCTGCAGAGTTTTGATCACTCCATTTGGGGAGACATCTGCCACTCTCATAAGAGGTCTAGCCCTGAGCTGGCCGCGGTGGCTCACACCTGTAATCTCAGCACTTTGGGAGGCCGAGGCGGGAGGATCACTTGAGGTCAGGAGTTTGAGACCAGCCTGGCCAACATTGTGAAGCCCTGTCTCTACTAAAAAATTAGCTGGGCATGGTGGCACACACCTGTAATCCCAGCTACTCTGGAGGCTGAGGCAGGAGATTGCTTGAGCTTGGGAGGCAGAGGTTGCAGTGAGCCAAGATCATGCCATTGCACTCCAGCCTGGGTGACAGAGAGAGACTCCATCCCAAAAAAAAAAAAAAAAAAAAAAGAAGAAGAAGAAAAGGAAAGAGGTTTAGCTCTGGCTGTCTGACCAAGTCTCACTAGGTATTTAAGGAATGAAGTTTGATTTCCACCATCCTCCGTATATGCAAATCTTCATAATTATGAGTTATCATAAGAGTGTTCTCTTTTCACCTAATTTTACAAGCCAAAAGGCAAGTTTCATGAGAGTGAAAGGCTTACCCCCTCCCCCAACATTAAATCAGTGAACATCTTGGCAGCAGCTCCTTCCATTTTCAGAATCAGACTAAAATTTCCTCTGCATGCACAAGGCGGACTTATGTCATTGTCAAGTCTAATAAATAAATCACAGCCTAGCGTCATGGGACTCAAATGTAAAATGCAACGTCTGGCACCACTAGAGATAAAATAAATTACCTGTAATCTGGTAAGCAGGTCATCTTGAGTCTCCACTCCGTCCTGGTGACTTCAGAGATTGATCTGCTAAACTTAGGTGAAGCAGAAGGACATATAGGTTCAGGGCTTGAAGTGAAATTAAAGTGTTTGGGCCAAGAGATGAGAAAATAAAACGCTTTGCACAGGGAGGTGGAGAAAAGAACCTTGGCCTTGGCTTCCCAGGGGCTTAAGGGTAGTTCCTTATGAGACCCAGTTTGGCCTCTTGCCCTCCAATTTCGAGAGATACTATTCTGTCTAATAAACATCACTTTTGGCCAAGCACTGTGGCTCATGCCTGTAATCCCAGCAATTTGGGAGGCTGAGGCGGGTGGATCATTTGAGGTCAGGAGTTAGAAACCACCTTGGCCAACATGGTGAAACCCCGTCTCTACTAAAAATATAAGAATTACCTGGACATGGTGGTGGGCGCCTGTAATCTCAGCTAGTCGGGAGACTGAGGCAAGAGAATTGCTTGAGCTTGGGAGGCAGAGGTTGTAGTGAGCAGAGATCGCACCATTGCACTCCAGCTTGGGCAACAGAGAGAGACTCTGTCTCAAAACAAAACAAAACAAAAAACCACTTTTTTGTTGTTGTTTGGGGCTATTTGAGTTTGTAGACAATCTTTATGACAAGAGACCAACACTTTTGTGATTGATTTGAAGGAGGCCTGCCCCACAAAGGATACATGGGGCCTGGAGCTCAGCTATGAGTGCCCCTCCTTTGGTTTCAGAAGATAAAGACCCCACTGAAGTGGAATATTATTGAAAAAGGATTATGGCTGTAGTCAGCTCATAGCATTCTAGAACTATGCTGTCCAATAGCATTGTAAAGGTGCCACATGGGCGATTTAAAATTTGTGTATTAGCCTGCCACATTAAAAAGAGACAGGGGAAGTTAGTTCTAATATATTTTATTTAATATATCAAAAATATTATCATTTGAACATGTAATCAATATAAAAAATTATGAATGAGATATTTTATTTTTGGGGGGTGAGCTAAGTCTTTGAAATTTGGTGTCTATTTTATACTTGCAGCTGAAGGGGATCAGAATACATCACCCTAAAATATGCCACTTTGCCATAAGGATTATTTTTAGCTGAAGACAATTGAGAAACAGCAGATGCTAGGATTGAAAACAACTCCCTGCCCTCTCCCCCATTTTCCTAAAAACAGACAGGGACACCTTTAGATTCTTATCAGCTCGGAAATAGCAACAAGAGGACTCTGCATAACAACCTTACTAAACGCACCTTTTTTCTTTTTTCTGAGACGGAGTCTTGCTCTGTTGCCCAGGCTGGAGTGCCGCAATCTTGGGTCACTGCAACCTCTGCCTCCTGGGCTCAAGTGATCCTCCTGTCTCAGCCTCTCAAGTAGCTGGGACTACAGGTGTATGCCACCACATTTGGCTAATGTTTGTGTTTTTAGTAGAGACAGGGTTTCGCTATGTTGCCCAGGCTGATCTTGAACTCCTGGACTCAAGTGATCCACCCACCTTCGCCTCTCAAAATGCTGGACTAAAGGCATGAAACACTGCACCTGGCCTTAAAATAACTTTTCTCTTCCATTAGTTCCACCTGTCATATATTTACCTTCTCACAGCTTGCCACTGCTAAAGCCTAAATCCTTTTTCCTTTGTCTCTTTTCTACAATTTTATTGTTCTTTGTTAAAATGTTCTATAAGCCTCAAGTACTAACTACCCTTTTAAGTTAGTCATCGCTTAGTTTTTCCTGAGCGTATGCATGCTGGACATATTAATAACTGTTCGTTTTTCTCTTGTTAATCTATCTTTTGTCAATTTAGTATCTAGGGCCCCAGCAAGAGAATCAAGAACACAGTAGAGGAAAAGTGTTTTTTCTCCTTAAATAGCACATCTCAGTTTGGATTAATCACATTTCAAGTGCTCAGTGGCCACATGTGGCCACAGGTTACTGGATTAGACAGTGAGGACCAGGAACTTCTAGCAACCAGGATTTCAAAAGGGTAGGGCAAATCAATTTCAGTGAGAGAAGCAGGTAGAGAAAGGTCTCAGATTCTTCATCTTGTGCAGTTGTTAGTTCTAAGCCATGACTGCCCTGAGAGGGTATGGCTCAGAGAAGGGGAAGGAGACAGGGAGTGTGTGGTTTTGTGGGCCTCTGGGCTGAGCCTACAACATGTCCTCACGTTCTCCTCTTTTGCCAGAGCCACTCCTCACCCCTCATGCTGAAGGAGAAATAGGATTAAAATTTATGAGGAAATGGGGCTTGCAGATGGGAGTTTCTCTGTATAAATATCTATCTTCCCCCAGCAAATGCAAAGGTAGGAGACACAGGAAGATGTTAAAGTCAGGAGGACTTGAAAAATGGGGAATGGGTTGTTCCTGAGAGGGGCTAAGTATCCAGTAAACATCTCGAAATATAGGCTGGAGAGATGGATGGCTAGAGAGATATGGGTTAAAATGCAATAAATCAAGAAAATGTCTCTGGGTGGCAGGAGGAGGTGAGAGGCAACTTGTGGCTGTATAGTGTCTGTAAGAGCCCACTCATTCACTGTGATTTGAAAGCTTTGCTCATTTGGCTCTTTAAAAAGTCAGCTTTTTTGCAGCAAGAGACATAACACTGGGCAAAATATGCCCCTAAGAGCAGCCAGGTGGTCCCAGGCGTGTAACAAATTTCACCAACTGTAGGTGTTAGAGAACAGGACAAGTTTATATAGTCTACCAAGCTGCAGGGATCCCAGATTGCAAAGGGGTAGCAAGAACAAGATAGTGGAGAAACCAGGTGCCTTCAAATTCACCCTGTAATCACTGGGTTGCCTTCAGCTGTAAGCAAAGGAAAACTTGTGACCAAAGATGAATTGGCCTAATCACAAGGATATTTATTGCTTTCTTAACTGAAATGTAGGCAGCTCTAGGGCTGATTCAGCAGCTTAACTTTGTCATTGTGGGCTCTTTCTGTTCCTCTTTTACACTCCCTCAGTCTGTTTGGCTTTTTGTCCTTTGTCCTATTGCCTCATGATCTCAAGGGGGCTGCTGAGGTTCCAGCATTGCATCAACATTTAAAAGCAAAAAGCAGAGGGTAAAGGTTTGCTCCTCATGTGGCCCATTGAACTTGAGTATTGAGAAGCTTCTCAGGAAACATCCTTTTATATCTTGTTGAACTGGGTCACTGGCTGTGAGTTGCTCTCAGGAAGGCAAGGGAAGCAACTTTTTCAGCCTCTAGGGAGGAAGAGAAACAAGAGAAAAGAATGTTGGAATTTTTGAATAGCCAACCCCAGTGAATGCACAAATCCCAAGATAAAGTTTCATTCTGTAGAAGGAAGAGCACTAGATTATGAGCCAGGAGCCACCCGCTTGCCGTGTGAACTTGCAGCTGTCACCTAGCTTCCCTGGGCCTGCGACCCTCTCTCTAGGGTGACCGTTTGGATTCACTAGATGGCCTCTTTCTGCTCAGACATCCCTGATTTTATTAAAACTCCTCCAGGGTGTTGAATGAGCTGTCTGGTGGTAAGGTAATTAATTTAATGAGCTCCACTTGGTAAAAACAGCTGTGGCTTGTCTCCTTCCCATGGTCAGGGGACATTTGTTGGCTGAATCAACTTTCCTATTCACAGATCCTTATGGAAGTTTAATTACACCTACAACCTTGTGTCTTTGGTCCTTAAATGTCTTTCCCCAGTGAGAGCATCAGCTCAAGAAGGTGTCAAAGAGACCCTACGTATGTGCTAAACCAAAGAGACATCTCTTGTCATTGATTGATCTCTGCCCTGCCAAGGCAGGGTCAGCCTGATGTGGTTTGGGTGTTTGTCCCCTCCAAATCTCATGTTGAAATGTAATCCCCAGTATTGGAGGTAGGGCTTGGTGGGAGCGGTTGGATCATGGGGGCGGATCCCTCATGAATGGATTAGCATGAAACCCTTGGCAATGAGCGAGTCATGCGAGATCTGGTTGCTTGAAAATGTGTGGCATCTCCCTCACTCTCATGCTCCTGCTCTTGCCATGTGAGATGTCTGCTTCCCTTTCGCTTTCTGCCGTGATTGCAAGCTTCCTGAGGCCCCCCCCAGAAGCAGCTGTTGGCACCGTGCTTTTTATATAGCCTGCAGAACTGTGAGCCAATCAAACCTCTTTTCTTTATAAATTACCCAGTGTCAGGTTTTTTTTTTTTTTTAGATGGAATTTTGCTCTTGTCACCCAGGTTGGAGTGCAATGGCATGATCTCGGCTCACTGTAACCTCCACCTCCAAGGTTCAAGCAATTCTCCTGCCTCAGCCTCCGGAGTAGCCGGGATTACAGGCGCCCACCACCACATCTGGCTAATTTTTGTATTTTTTCAGTAGAGATGGGGTTTCACTATGTTGGCCAGGCTAGTCTCAAACTCCTGACCTCAGGTGATCCACCCGCCTCAGCCTCCTAAAGTGCTGGGATTACAGGCTTGAGCCACCCAGCTGGCCGGCGGAGGTATTTATAGTAATGCAAGAACGGCCAAAAGCACAGCCATAGGCAGAACTGTGAGGGAGGAAATTGGCCCTCTGAGGCCCCTCCACATCTCCCACTCCCACCTGGCATTCATGAGTCTCCTATAGTTGGATTCTCTCAGCTCTGGTCTGGTTGTAGGTTTTGTCTACATACTCCCTAGAGCTCTTGTCCTCAGTTTAAGCAACAGCAAAGACAGACAATCATCTCTGTACCTTAAATCTAAATTTCCAGGAGAGGGATTATTATTTGCTCAACTTGGATCAGGTGTGCACCCTGGTCCAATTACTGTGGTGGGAATGGGAGGGGTGATTGAGGAAGGTCACCACAGTACAAATCTGGATTCAGGGGCCTTCCCTGTGGGGTTAGAGGTGGGGCGTAGTGTACTTTTCAGTTGATTTTTATTTTTAATGGGGAAGTGGGACCAGGTGTGGTGGCTCAGGCCTGTAATCTCAACACTTTGGGGAGGCTGAGGCCTGAGGGCTGCTTGAGGCCGGGAATTCAAGACCGGCTTGGGCAACATAGCAAGACCGTGTCTCTACAAAAAATACAAACATTAACCAGGCGTAGTGGTGGGTGCCTGTAGTCACAGCCACTTGGGAGGCTGAGGTAAGAGAATTACTTGAGCCCAGGAGTTTGGGGCTGCAGGGAGTCACTATACCTGGCCCCACTTGGTGACAGAGCAAGAGTCTGCCTTTAAAAAAAGGGAGGGTAATAAGTGGATTTTCCATATTGTTTGATGTAGTGTGAAAACCCCAGAGATCACATAACATTGTCAGCATTATTAAGTTTGAATTCTGGATCCACCAATTACAATTGGTATAATCTTGTTCATTTTATTTTATTATTATTTTTTGAGAAGTGTCTCGCTCTGTTGCCCAGGCTGGAGTGCAGTGGCGCAATCTTAGTTCACTGCAACCTCTGCCTCCTGGGCTCGAGAAATCCTCTCACCTCAGCCTTCTAAGTAGCTGGGACCACAGGCGTGCACCACCAAACTCTGCTAATTTTTGTATTTTTTGTAGAGATGGGGTTTTGCCATGTTGCCCAGGATGGTCTTAAACTCCTGGGCTTAAGCAATCCACCTGCCTTGGCCTCCCAAAGTGTTGGGATTACAGGTGTGAGCCACTGCGCCTGGTCCTTGTTTATTTTAATTATTTATCAAACACTTACACAGTCATTCCTGGTATCCTTAGGGCCTTTTCTCCAAAACCTACAAGAATACCAAAATGTAGGATGCTGAAGTAACTGATGTAAAATGGCTTAGTTTTCTCCTATGACCTATGCATATCCTCCATATGCTTTAAATAATCTCTAGACTACTTATAATAATTTAATACAGTGGAAATGCTATGACAATAGTTGTTATACTCCAGTTTTTTTTTTTTGTTTGTTTGTTTGTTTGTTTTTTATGAGACAGGGTCTCATTCTGTCACCCAGGCTGGAGTGCATGGCGCAACCTTGGCTCACTGTAACTAACCTCTGCCTCTCGGGCTCAAGCCATCCTCTCACCTCAGCCTCCCGAGTAGTTGGGACTACAGCCGTGCACCACCACACCTGGCTAATTACTGCATTTTTTGTACAGACGGAGTTTTGCCATGTTGACCGGGCTGGTCTCAAACTCCTGGGCTCAAGTGATCCACCCGCCTCAGCCTTCAAAGTGCTGGAATTACAGACGAGCCACTGTGCCTGGCCTGCATTTTTTATTTGAATTTTTAAATTGTTTTATTGTTATTTTTTTCCCAAATATTTTTGATCCATTGTTGGTTGTGGATGAGAAGGGCCGGCTGCAAAACGTTTTCTACATACCTAACACTGTATTGGTCCAAGTGCTTTACATATTTAAACATCTTTAATCCTCATAGTAATGCTATAAGATAGATAACATTATTATCCCCATTTTACCGATGAGGGAACTGAGGCATAAAAAGGTTCAGTAACTTGCCCCAGGTCTCACAGCTAGTAACTGGAAGAGCTGGTATTCTAGTCCAGCCTGTCTGACTCTATTGTCCTTGCTCCAAACTCCTATGTTCGCTGACCTTGGACAAATTACTTCTCTGTGCCTCAGTTTCCTCATTGGTAAAATGGGTATAATAACCTATCTCTCCAGTTGTGGGAATTAAAATGGAACAGGACATGTAAAGTCCTGGAACCCCTGGTCAGGGTTCTCCAGAGAAACAGAATCAATAAGATATATGTGTACACATATACATATATATATGTATGTGTACACATATACATATATATATGTATGTGTATATATATATGTGTGTGTATATATATGTATATGCACACAAATATATACACACATATCTTTTTTTTAATTTAAATTTTAAGTACCAGGGTACATGTGCAGGATGTACATGTGCAGGATGTGTACCGACATCCTTATCTCTTAACCGTGCTTCTTTGTGCAGCCATTCCTCAGGCAACTGCACAGCCACAGAGCTCCCTTGGCCTCAGAACTCCAAAACCCTCAGTTTCACATTACAGTGCAGCTCTGGGGCGGCTGGAGATGATTGCTTTTCACGGCAACCCATCATTGCATGTTTGTTACGTAGGTAACATTACACAGGTTTGTTACATAGGTAAATGTGTGCCATGGTGGTTTGCTGCACCTATCAACCCATCACCTAGGTATTAAGCTGAACATGTGTTAGCTATTTATCCTAATACCCTCCCTCCCCTGACCCACCCCCCGACAGGCCCCAGTGTGTGTTTTTCCCCTCTTGTGTCCATGTGTTCTCATTGTTCAGCTCCCACTTATAAGTGAGTATATGCAGTGTACACACATATCTTATTGATTCCTTAAAATATATATTCCTTAAAATATAATTCCTTAAATATACTTCTCTCTGTGTGTATACATATTCCTAATAATTATACCTAATTCCTTAAAATTAAGTAAGAAATATATTTTAAGGAATTATGGAGGCTGGCAAGTCTGAAGTCTTCGGGGTGGGCCAGCAGCTGGAGATCCAGGGAAGAGCCAATGGTGCTTGGATGTTTAAGTCAGAAGGCTGTCTGCAGGCAGAGTTCCTTTTTGCTTGGGAGAGGTCATTTTTTGTTCTATTTAGGCCTTCCACTGATTAGGAGGGGCCCACTCGTGTTATGTAGGGCAATCTGATTTACATAAAGTCTCACTGACTTAATTATTAATTTCATCCAAAAACATCCTCACAAAAATATTTAGAATAATGTTTGGCTTGCCATGGTGGCCCAGCCAAATTGACACATAAAATCACACCCTCTAATCATACCCAGGGGGAGCCTATATGGGAGGAGTCTGACCTTTTCCTTCCTTCTCACCGCCAGAGCCCCCAGGAACCCAGCTCCACATGTCTCTTGGAATCTTCCAAGGTCTGGAGCTGTCACGTGGCTCAGCCTGGCTGTTGACATCCTCATCTCTTTTTTTTTTTTTTTTTTTCCTGAGACAGAGTCTCTCTCTGTCACCCAGGCTGGAGTACAGTGGTGCAATCTCGGCTCACTACAACCTCCGCCTTCCTGGTTGAAGCGATTCTCCTGCCTCAGCCTCCTGAGTAGCTGGGATTATAGGCATGGGCCACCACGCTGGCTGATTTTTGCATCTTTAGTAGAGACGGGGTTTCACTATGTTGGCCAGGCTGGTCTCATACTCCTGACCTCAAGTAATCTGCCTGCCTTGGCCTCCCAAAGTGCTGGGATTACAGGCGTGAGCCACTGCACCCGGCCGACATCCTTATCTCTTAACCGTGCTTCTTTGTGCAGCCATTCCTCAGGCAACTGCACAGCCACAGAGCTCCCTTGGCCTCAGAACTCCAAAGCCCTCAGTTTCACATTACAGTGCAGCTCTGGGGTGGCTGGAGATGATTGCTTTTCACAGCAACCCATCATTGCATGTAGCACTATTGCCCCCATGGTAATAACCACGCTGACAGAATGAGCAGTGAGCTAGCTTGCACATTCGTTGACAGGTTCAGCTTTCATAAGCAGACCATGATTCAATAAGAAATGGAATCTCAGGTGTTAGTTCTGCTCTGTCTCAGCATGCATGCTTCTATTGTTATGTTTTAATGATGCTACACATGCTTAAAAGTACGTAGGCACGTGTACCAAATAAGATCTCTATTATAAGTAGCTGTGTTGCCTCAGTTTTGCTGTAATGCTCACATAAGATAAACTCACATGACTTCAGAATTGCAAAAGATACAAATATATTCAATGTCACTGTGCAGTAAAGGGTTAAGTTGGTGGGCCCTGCTTGCTCAAACCCTGCACATTTCAAAGAAAGGCCTGTGTTTAGGAGGACAGGTTCTTGATTGGCCTCTGGGAGATAACCTCTGAGCCCTTGGAATAGACGGCCTGATAAGAGTGGTTTTTTTTGTGTGCCTGAGTCCCTGGGCCATGCTGTATCAGTGTGACCTCTGGGGGCTGGAGACTAAGTAGGTCACGTAGGCACTGCATGGCTATCTTTGACCATCCCCATAGAAACCCTGGACTCCAAGGCTCAGGTGACATTTTCTGGTTTGACAATACTACCCACATCGTTGCTGGAAGAATTAAGCACATCTTCATGCAATTCTATTGGGAGAGGACACCTGGAGGCTTAGATGTGGCTTCTCCTGGAGGTTGCTCATACGCCTTTTCCCTTTGCTGATTCTAATCCCTTTTCATGGTTATAAATGATAACCGTGAGTATACCAGCTTTTCTGTCTTGCGAGTCCTTCTAGTGAATCATGAAGCCTAAGGTGGTCTTGGGGATCCTCAAGACAGTCACTGGGCTGAGGGTTCTGAGGTGGGGAGCAGTGGTGGAGAGGCAACTTTTGGGAATATCAACAGCAGGAAATCAATAATGATGGGCCATGGAGGGCTCAACAGGTGGGGAACGTTGAAGGTCTCCAGGTGCACCTCAGAGACCTTATATATTTACCCCATTTTCCCACTTGAATGATAAAATCCTCTGGGGGCGGGTCCTTCTCCTACCTCTTTATCCCCCATAGTGCCTAGTGCAGTGCCCTGCAATGCAGGTGGTACCTGCCCAGATCCCCTACAGCAGGGAGTATACCCATCACCCAGCTGCTGTGGGTTGTGGCTGCTAAATAGCTCCTAGCTGCCTCTAGAGTTGCTCTTGGCTGAATGAGTTCTGTTTCCTCGCCCCACCCTCCCCAGCTGGCAGCCATGACTGGATGACATGGAGGCACCAAAGGCCATCCTCTTTTCTCAAGGTGGCCCCACTCTATGGTGCAATTCAGGCACCAGAGCTCTTGGTGGGACCAGGCTGAAGCTGGTCTGTAGCCAGGACCACAAGCCTGCTGAGATCCCCCTGGTCTAGGAAGGGGAAATACAGGAAGCTGATACTCTGTTGGTCTCTTGTATCCCCCACTTCCTAGAGCATTCGGGCAGTGAATCACTGGCCCCCAAATGCCCATCTCAGGCACTGATTTTAGGGAACCAACTCAAGACAACGATGGTCAAACTCTGATGGCCATTGCAACCCCACAGCCATATTTTGACACTATCAGTGGAGTGGAAAACTCACAGCATGGCTCACAGCGTCCTTGTTTCTGAATTTCTCAATGTTTAAAGCTCTACCTTAGTATTGAGCCCTTGAATTACAGGAGAGAAGACGTAAACCATTTTCGTGTACCTGTGAGCAGTTCTGGGAGACAGGATGAAGCAATTGTTGAAGACACGGTCTTGCTCTCAGCCACACACTTGCGTCATTCCTATGCTCCCTATTTTCCACCACAGAGCCTGTATGTTGGGTAGGTGCACTGAAGGGCCAACATGAGCCCATCGCAAGGGCCTTGAGACCGGTCTCACTTCAACCTTGAGATGGCTCTTTTTGGTTTCCGATGGAAACGGAGCCATTCACTACTAATGAAATGGAGTGTGGCCCAGAGTTTAGCAGAGCTGCCTGGCAGGAGTGCTGTGTCATGGAGCCTTGAGCCATGGGTTCAGCCCCCTGGTGGGTTGTGCTTGGTTTCCTGATTATGCACTGGACTCAGCCCTGCCACATTGTCACTCTTACGTGTGCCACTAGGCACTAACAGGCATCAAGGCATAGGAATGTTCAGATACTGGTGAGTCAAGAATGTGCAGAGCAAGGGAGAACATCAGTGCAGACTAAGTAATTTCAATTCTGAGATCTCAGGTGTCAACATCTAGAAGGGTTCTCGGTGGTCTTAGTGAAGTTCTTAATGTAATTCAATGAGGTGAAACTCACACCTCAAGGACCAAAATGTCCCTCAAGTCAGGCAAGAGCACACAACTCTTTCACTTAAGCCCCAGGCCTACTAGCAGGCTCTGACACAAAGACCCTACTGGTTTGACACCAACACTTCTCAACCATGGCTGGGATTGCTGATCCCAAAGTTGATTAGTGAGACTATTGGTAGAAAACTGATGGTACACTTGGGGTGTGTGGGAGATTGAAAAGAAAAGCCATGTGTTGCTGAAAGCCAGTTTTTATCCTTATAGGGAAGAAGGGAGGGCCAGGAAGAGTTGAGAAAACCCAAGCCAGGGCAGGGAGTGTGTTGCCAGCACTAAGCAGCTGTTCTCTGCCTGGGTCCTGGACCTGCTTCCTGTTAAATCCTACTGTTGACACCTGTCGGTGCTCTACTAATATCCATTTGGCCCTCACCTTTCTCTGCATGCCAGCCCGACTCCCATCTGTCAGCACCTGTGGCCTTTTGCCTATGCCCTTTTTCTTTCTTTCTTTTTTTTTTTTTTTGAGAGGGAGTCCCACTCTGTCGTCCAGGCTGGAGTGCAGCGGTGCGATCTCAGCTCACTGCAACCTCTGCCTCCCAGGTTCAAGTGATTCTCTTGCCTCAACCTCTGGAGTAGCTGGGATTACAGGCATATGCCACCACGCCCAGCTAATTTTTTTGTATTTTTAGTAGAGAGGGGGTTTCGCCATGTTGGTCAGGCTGGTCTCCAACTCCTGACCTAAGGTGATCCGCCCGCCTTGGCTTCCAAAAGTGTTGGGAATACAGGCATGAGCCACTGCGCCTGGTCCTGTGGCCTTTTTCTAGCCACTGGAGCCCATTCTGCTGCAGTGCAGGGCAGGCCAGAGGTGCTGCGGAGGGAGCATCCCAGGAGAGCAGTCCTCAACCCAGGCCTGGCTGCAGCAGGAAGTCTCACAGGTGTATGTTGCGCTCTGCCTCCTGGAGCTCCCTGCCAGGACACAGCTACAGTTCCCCACAGCAGGAGCTTGCACCGTTTATTGCTTCCTTGTCTTCCCTGTCACCTCCTCACTGCCCTCTCAGTGTTTCCTCATCCACAACCTTGCACTTGAATCCGTATCTCACGGTTTGCTGCTGAAGGAAATCAAACTAAGCCAGTGCCCTCTTCTCTTTTCTTTGTTTCCTTACTACACAGATCAGGCCCCAAGCTAGGCAGGAACTGTCTGGAGGGGCAGAAAGCCATTACTAAGGGCAGCTCTGGGGCTCCAGGCATCCAGAGGCTCAGGGCTCCAGCACCCAGGCAAAGAGGTGAGCAGAGCATGGGGCCTGTGATGGCCTGGTTCCTGCCTTTGTGGTCTGTTCTCATCCTCAGGGCTGATTTTGTTCCTCCAAGTATCAATCGCAGCATCTGTATCCCAGTTAGGTTGAATGAAACGAGTTTATCCTGGAAAGACTATTTGGGCTCTTGTTCTAGCTCTGCCACTGACTGTGTGGCTTTGGGCAAATTACTTTGCTGCTGTCAGTCTACTCATCAGCAAAATGAGGGGGTTGGATTAGATGATCTGTAAATGCCCATCTACTGTCAATTTTTATATTCATTGAATAATGAATAAAGACAGGACTATTACCCAGGCAGGTATTTCTGGGCTTTCTCAGTGATTCAGTCTCAATGAAGAGAATATGCTGTTTGACACACCCTTGCTACAGTTTGACTCATAATCGAGCAGTTGGGGACATCAGACATTTTCCCTCTCCATGTGGAGTTTACTAGTTCAATCGAGAACCACAGCTTTCAAGTCGAGCTTTTGCCTGTTCTAACCATCCTAGCAAAAAGCCTGGTTTCTAATCATGGTAGTAACCTCTGGCATAATGTCCCCTCAGCCTCAGCTCAAGTAGGATGGTTCCCACACTTTTAGAAACTTCTCACTAGCAAATGAAGACATTTCCCTAAAGAATGGAAAGTAAACGAGGATGTGTAATGAGACAATCATGTCATGAAAATAGGATGTGTAATTAGAAAATGTCATGGAAATGTGGCATTTCTGAACTGGAATGTCAGTGGCTAGAAAAGACAAGGCAAGTTGTGTACTTATTCACAAAGACGTGGAGGCCACATAGCATCTTACACAAGGGGTCAGCAAACTTTTTCTGGAGAGGGCCAGGTAATAAATATCTCAGGCTTTGTGGGCCATGAGGTTTCTGTTGCAACCGCTCAACTCTGTAGGATGGAGGCAGCCATAGATGAGGGCTAAGACTAGGTTGAGGGCCAGTGAGGCACACTTGCCTTGGGCACAAAATTTAAGGGTGCCGAAAGCCTCGGTAACCAAGATAAATATTTGAATGCAATATTTAAAAAATATTATTGCAAAAAATCCATGATATAAAATATCACAATTTAAAGTAAAGACAGAGGCCTGGCGTGGTGGTTCATGCCTGTAATCCCAGCACTTTGGGAGGCCGAGGTAGACGGATCACTTGAGATCAGGAGTTCGAGACCAGCCTGGCCAACATGGTAAAACCCCATCTCTATGAAAAATACAAAAGTTAGCTGGGCGTGTTGGAGGGGGTGCCTGTAATCCCAGCTACTCAGGAGGCTGAGCCAGGAGAATCGCTTGAACCTGGGAGGCAGGTTGCACTGAGCTGAGATTGTGCCACTGCACTCCAGCTTGGGCGACAGAGCACGACTCCATCTCAATAAATACATAAATAAAAATAAATAAAATAAAGACAAGATCAGACAAATATATAAATGAATAAGCGTAGTTTTGTTCCAATACAACCACTTGGCCTGGAGGCCATAGTTTGCTGATCCCTATGTTATTCACATAGGGTAGACCTAGGACCCCTCCTAACAGAAGTTTTCATCTTAGAATCAGAGGTGGCTGGATGAGATTGTGAACTATTACCTTTGAGGTGCCCTCTTTCCTCCTTTTTCGGTCCTCCTTCCTCTTTGGTGCTGTTTGCTGTTTGTGCTTCTCAATTCCCTCTCTCCACACTCCATTTCCTACATTCTAGCAGCCCAGGCCTCACATTGGGCTTCAAGTCTTCTTCAATATAAAATTTCAACCAGGTGTGTGGCCTGGCTCTGGCCTCCCTTCACCTGCATCCACTCAGCATGGCCACGCTCAGCAGACACTTTGGAAATAATCTGATAATTGGCTTAATAGGCTGCTCCTCTTGGCTCAGGTGCATTTCAACAGTAGAAAGTTCTTTTAGCCAAAAGACCTGTATTGTTTAAGGGTCAACTGTATTTGTTGAATTACAAATGAAGACTAACAGTTTAATATTACAAAGGGGTCGACTTCAGATGGATGGGATCTCAGGCATCTGTGAGGGGTAGCACGGGTGGGTATTTTTAGGTAGTTGGTTCCCCCCAATCTCATGATGTTGGCACCTTTTGTGACTAGAGGAGAGAACCAGCCCTGGTCAGAAGTTTTGGTGTTAGCGCCAAGATATAGTTTGAAATTCACAATATGGACACCAGGTCTCACCAGATGATTCTGGAATCACCTCCTGATTACCAATCTCTGTAGATTGTCCCCTCCCGAGTCCTTCCCCCACCCCCAAATACAGTGGCCTTCATGGGCACAGGGAGAAGCCAGCTAGGCTCTTAGCACTCTCAAAGACAGGATCAGATAATACATAAATGAATAATACATAAATAAATCTGTGTTCCAATAAAACTTTATTTGGCCTGACCTGATCAAGTTTAATAATGTTTAATAAATTTTTTAAAAACATTAGTAGTTATAACAATTCCTCTGTAATAACAGTTATATATGAACTCCTGGTCAAGGCCAGCAGCTTGTTCCTTTACCAAAAAAGTAAAGCCGCCCTCTGAGGACAAAATGGCACATGAGGAGTGGTGTACATTTCTTTTTCTTAAAGAAAAAACAAAACCCAAACACTTCCTATTTACATATTTTCCATTTAAAAGTTGGTCAGTGTGATTAATTCTGTTTTTAAATATAAGTTTCTAATGTGTTGCAGGTTTCAACGTACAAATTATAGTTTGCTGATTAGATTTAAGGTGCTGTGATGTGAGGGTGAACGCAGCCCAAGACCAACTGGTGGAATCCTCTACCTGGAAACTGGCTGGACTTCCTGTGGGTATCTTTGGGAGTGTTGGGGGAAGAGAAGGAGCTGAACACCAGTGGCAGAAATGGTAGAATGTTCCTGGGGACCAGATAGGGGCTGTCAGTGTCCCCACCCCACGCTTCTGCAGAGGGCCTGTGTCTACACACCATTACCCCATGCTCTGTGGGTGAGCACACAGGTTTGCATGCACCAAACTCACCTTAGCCTACACTATGAGGGGCATTGCTGCTTTGAGTCCCTTCCTTTGTCATGAGGTCTCCATGCTGGTGCCTGACCCCTAAGAGCCCTTGCTGTTGACACCTCTCTTTTCATATCTTCCTACCTTTCTGGATTCCTTGCCCCCAAGGTCACGACGTGCTCTCCAACACATCTCTGTAGGGTCTGCTGTTTGTCAAGGCTAAATGGATGATCAAACTCAGGAAAGTATTGATGAAGGATGTTGGGTCCCATGTGAAACCTTCTCTCCTAACACATTTGCTCTATGGCAGGACCTCACTGCTGTCCTCCAAATGAGCAGTTCATGTAGAGAACATTAGGTCCCGAGGTAGGTCTGGAGAGGCGCTGTGGTTAGGTGGGGGGGCCGGGTGTGGGGTGAAGGGGGAGTGCTGGCAGGGAGGTTGGAGGGATTCTTGGAATTGGTGCCTTCAACCTCACTGGGGTAGGACGCCCAGTGGGGAAAGAGGGCTGTGTCTTTGCGTGTCAGGAAAGTGCATAGGGAGTGCTGAGGGGGTGTGTGCACAGGCCTGGGAGAAGGGCTGATTTTACCCACAGACCCCAGGCTGTTCTGACCTGAAACGAAGATTTCCGACCATGCAGGGGTGAGGCAAATACAGGGGTGCGACAGATGAGAACATTTAAGTACTTGGGGAGCCAGGAAAGTATGCTTGGTGACTAGGAGAAACAAACTGGTTCAGTTTCCAGTTTCAGAATACAAGAAACATTGCTCTGAATAAAAGAACATCGAATGGTAATGGACAGGGAAGAAACATCTCAGACCAAGTTTCTAACAAAAAGCCAGAACGACCCCAGTAGAGGAAGACATTCTATGGTGGACAGACCCTGGCCTGGGGGCCAGGAGACTGGGATTTCAAGCTCGTCCTCACACTAAGCCTGTGATCTTAAGCGAGTGTCTCTGCCTCTCTGGGCCTAATTGCCTTTCCTCAGCTGTCAGTTGAGGCTAGTTGGGCCAGATGGTTTCGGAGCTACCTCTGCAAGATTTCTCGGCATCCTGCCACCCAGGTGGGGCCCGCAGACTGCTGTCTAAAGCCGTTTCTTCCCTGTGCACCACATGTGGTCTCCCCTTTGCTAGGAAAGTGATCAACCCCTAAGCCAGGGTCCTGTTCAAACCCGCTCCCACAGGTTAAAGGCTAGTTATTAAGGCAGTTTAAGAAATGGACATTCCTCTCGCTCCTCGGATCCTTCACGTGTTCTGCCAACCCCAAGGCAGCAGAGAGGGGCGGGAAGGGCGGCCGCCTCCTGCCAGCCCCGGCTTTCTCTGGGGGTCTCCTGCTCTGTGGGGCCTGGAGCGGCCCCTCCGCCCTCACCACCTTTCTTTGGAGAAGGCCTCGGTCTGCACGAGGTCGCCAGGGTGCTCGGGGATGCACGCACCATTGAGGTCGCCCAGTTTATTGTCCGGCAGGTCCTCGGGCTTGGTGCAGAGCTTCAGGGCGCGGGAGATGAACACGTCCAGGTCGAACTGGGGGCTGGCGCCGCCGTCCACCGGGGCCGGGCGGCCGGGGGGCGAGGCAGACAAGCGGCGCTCGGGGTCGTCGGCGGGCGGGCTGGCGTGCTCTGGGCCGCCCTGCGTGCTCTTGACCCACTGCGCGATCTCCAGGAAGAGGCTGGCCGGCTCGTCCTCGCGCGCCCCCGTGTCCGCCAGCCCCGTGGCCGTGGGGGGCGCGCCGGCCGCCTGCTTCCAGTGCGACAGGTCCAGGATGAGCTTGGGCTCCGAGTAGTGGTGCGGCTTGTTGTCGCGCCACAGCAGCTTGTCCAGGTAGGACGGCGACCCCACCTTGTAGTCGCAGGAGCGCCCGTAGTCGGCCTCGAAGGCGCGCTCCATGGACGAGTGCGACTGCTCTAGGAAGCGCTCGGAGCTGCTGTGCGAGTCCTTGCGCGGGTCCACCTGCACGTCCTCAGCCAGTGGCGCCGAACCCGCGCGCGGGTCGCGCTGTACCTCGCTGGCGTCCTGGCACCGGTCAGGCCGCCACTCCAGGTCCGACGACAGGCTCACAGGGTACCTGCAAGGGTACAAACAGAGCGGTGATTGGATGCCCAAGCCAGGTAGCTTCCGGGAGGGAGCCAAGCCCTCTAATCCCTGTTTGCCACTCACACACCTGCCTTCGACCCCCATCCCTCAAGGTGGGAGGGTGATGGACAGGTAATGGCGAGCCTTGGGGGCTCAGCTGGGGACATGGATTGTTCGGCTTAACTCTTGTGTTCTTTTGTACGCATTCGAAACCCTGCAGATATTTCCTGCGCACCTACCATGTGCCAGCACTCACTGTTCCAGACATTACTGAATACAGCAGTGAACAAAACAAACGTCCCTGTCCTCGTGAAACTTTCTAGGGGATCCACCTGTGCAATGCTTCTCAAAAGCTGATAGATGCACGAATCACCTGCGGGTCTTGCTAAAATGCAGATGTTGATTCTGTAGATCTGAGATGGGGCCTGAGATTCTAACAAGCTCCCAGCTGCTCTGATGCTGCTGGGCATTGGACCCACATTTTGAGGAGCAAGGCTCCAGTGAGTGCTTCTCAACCCTGGATCAGATTAGAGTCACATAGGGGAATTAAAAATAAAATAGCATGTCTGCCTCACTGCTTCCCCCCACCAATTCTGACTGAGTAGGTCTAGGGTGGGGACCTGATTAAGCATGTTTTGAAGATCCCCCAGGTGATTCTAAGTACAGCCAGGGCTGAGAACCCCTGCCCTGGTGGATCTGCTTGGGGGCCCCATAGCACCTTGCATTGACGCAGGGCAGGTGGGACCTACAGAAAGATTACAGACACCCTCCAGAGAAGCTGAAGATCTTTGGCATTCTGCCCCGTTCGACTGCTCTGCAGCCATGGAGAGTGAAGTCAGCTAGCCAAGAGCAAATGAAGGGCAGATGGGCAGACAGGCAGGCCATCAGCTCTGGCGGAGCCCTCCCTTCCTTGTGCGGGTGCTCTACCTAGAACCCTGGGGTTGTGGGGCAGGCAGGAGCACAGAGGACATCAGCCTGCAGCCAGCTACTCCCTGAGCAGGCCCAACAGATAGACCAAGGAGAGGCAGATTCGGCTGTGTGGGATAGACCTGGCAGCTGTAGCCCACAGAGTGTGACTGGAGAGGCACAGGAAGGCCTCAGCACTGCCCGCCTCCCAGTGACGCTGCTAGGGCAGGAATTGCTCCTACAGCTGAACCCTGCCTCCTTGATTGAGTGGCCTTGGGCAGAAATTTCCAGGAGGAAGAGTGTGTGAAGACGCTGACCCTTGGCTGCTCTATTCCAAGTGCCAAACATACATTATCTGTAGTCTTCATAGCAACCCTGTGGACTTTGTGTTATCACCCCCGCTTTACAGTTGGGAAACTAGCATTCCAAGAGGGTAAGGAGCTTGCCCACAGCAAGAAGGTCCTTTGTCATCCTCTTCCCTTGGGCAGGTGTGATGGCAAAGGTTGGGAGCACAGGTGAGGTGCACCAGGTTTAGGGGTGGTCAGGGTGGACAGGCAGCAACAAATCCTGTGACAGTTTTTCCTGGCACAACCCTATGCCACAGTCGCAGAAAGTATAGGATGACTCTCCCTGAGCCAATGTTCTTTGCCTCCAGGCTCTCTGGAGGAAGGGGAAGCTGCCGCAGGAACCACAGTCAAGGGCAGGGCTGCCCCAGGGGTGGCAGAAGACAGAGTCTTCATTAATCTCTATTTGTTGGCAATGCTTGAAAACAACAATTGACAACAACAAGCCAGCAAACCTGTCCAAAAATAGCAGCGTCGCCCTGGCCCTCCCTCAGTGCCTCCTTAATCTGAAACCCATCATCTGTCAAATGACTAAAAAGGAGAAATTGCTCATCTGTCACTTATGTAACTAGCTGTCACATTCCCCCGGCAGTGGGACTCCCAGTTAGGCCCCCTCGGAGTCCTAGCTGCTTGAGCCCTCGACTGCTGTTTCTAAACTGAGCAGCTACCAGCACTCCCTCCCAGAATTAGCAGATGGTGATGCCCAAATGTTTAGCTGCCTGATCTAAGAACGTCAGAACAGGAAAAGATCTAAGAGATCATTACGTGCCTAGGCAGAAATTGTTTAAAAATACATCTTCTACCCAACGCTGATTCATTGGTAGTGGCTTCCAGGGACACCTGTTGAGGATTCTGTAGCCAAGCCCAGTTTAGCAGGAAATGGTCCTATAATTGCTTAGCAGCGTCTGACATGGATGCAGATTGCAGAGAGGCCCATCAGGGGTGTGACATGATGCCAGTCTCTTAACCTTGCAGCTGAAGCTTCCTTGTGTGTCAATGGGCAATAATAATGTAGCCCCCGTTAATGGCATTTTTTTTTTTTTGACAGGGTCTCACTCTGCAACCTCAAACTTCTGGGCTCAAGGGATTCCCCAGCCTCAGCCTTCCCAGTGTCTGGGACTACAGCCGTGTGCCACCATGCCTGGCTAATTAAAAAAAAAAATTTGTAGAGATGGGGTCTTGCTTTGTTTCCCAGGCTGGTCTGGAACTCCTGGCCTCAAGCTATCCTCCCACCTTGGCCTCCTAAAGTGCTGGGATTACAGATATGAGCCACCGAACCTGGTTTTTAATGGCATTTTTAAGAGTTACCAACATGAAACATGAGATAGCGTTTTGTAATGGTAATCTCTGCTTTGTTTTTTTGCCTCGCCTTGTTGCAGTTTACTTTTCAAGGGCAAGTTCCCAGGCTGCTAGAAGTGAGCTCCTACCATGGTGTTCACTAAATCCTTGCGGAGCACTGTATTGAACCCCATGTTCAGTAGAGTCATGGTGAGGGAAGCTGGGGGTGTTGCACAAAGGAAGGCCTCTGACCCACACATGCAACTCACACTGGTCATTTACTGGTAGTGTCTGGGCACAAGAGAAAGGCAGGAAGCTAAGCTGGAGAAGTCGTCCAATGAGCTATGCAACTTGGGAGACAGAGGGGAAGGTCACGGAGGATTAGAGGCAAAATAGAGATGGGAGGACAGGGAAATGTGGGCTCTGGAACCCAGGGCTGCGAGCACCTGGAACTGCACGTGTCCCAGTTGGACAGCTGGCTCTGGTTAGCGGCCATCAGCACGATGTCGTCGATCTCATCCTCAATGCGGAAGGGGTGTTGTGAGGTGGGCTCGTCCTCAGGGCACGAGTATGGGCTCATGTAGGGGTGTTGCAGCCCCATCTCAGCTGTTAGGCGATCCATGGGGTTAAAGGTCAGGATCTTCTCCAGAAAGTCGATGGCTGCAGGGAGCAAAGCCGGACATGAAGGTCATTTGTTGCCCTTGTTGAGCTCAGAAGGAGATTCCTCAGCACGGTGACATTCTGTGCTGGTGTCTGTGCTTCTGCATTTGTTAAAAGGTTTTTAGCCATTTTCTTTCTCAAGACCCTTGTCACAATCCAGTGACAAAGGCAAAGCAGATGCTGCCTTCTAGATTTTGTAAATGAATTAAACAGACTCAGAGGATCAAGTGACTTGCTCAAGGTCCAGCCTCAGCCTGGGTTTCTCCAGAGACAGAACCAGAGACAAGGCTTAGGGTTGTAGGTAGTTTATGTGGTGGGGGATCCCAGCAAGCACAGGTGGGGGAGTGAGGGGGAACCAGAACAAGGCACACTCATGACAGGTTACTCCTGTGGGCATCTGGGATCCTCCAGAGACAGTGTGGGCCACACTCAGAGGTGGTTCCCCTTGCGGGGCAGGGAAGCTGGGATATTTATATACCAACTTCCCTTTGTCATGGCTTAAGGGGCTGCTGGAATGGGACGGAGGAGCCTGCTCCTGAGGAAGCCCTGAGGCTGGAGTGCCAGGTGCAGCAGTAAAAAGCCTTAGTGAGAAAGGGGAATGCTGCAGTCGAGGGGTGGGACAGGGTCTCCACAGCCCAGAGCTCCTGGGTCCGAATCCAGAGCTCTTCCTACCATATGCTGCCCCTGGAAGTTCAACAAAGGCAGACAGCCTTGATGGATGGATAGATATTACAGATACTGAACAACCAGGCTGAATTCCCCTGCTCTGCCAAGCAGTAGTCCTTTCATGTCTGGATCAAGGGGGAGTTCTGGGCAGTGGGAACCTGGGGAAGGGAAGGGACACTCAGAAGCCTTGTGCGAGAGGCTGTTTGCTAACCAGCATGAATGTATGCCAAAATTCAGCAGATAGCAGCTCTGCACACAGGCACTGGTGGCCCTTCCCTTGAGCAGGGGTGGGTGCCCTGGGAGCTCTGCTCTTGGAGCTCTGCCCTGGGTTATCTCAGCGCAAGGACTAGCCTAGAAGTTTGGATTCCTTCTCAGCACTGGCATCTCTGGAGGTCCGCTTAAATCATGACTTGGCTCCTCATGTTACAGCCCACATGGAGAGGGAGAAATGGAGCTGAGCTCAAGGCCCAGGCTGCCCATCCCTCCGAGGAGCTCCCTCGTGGGCCTCAGCCTGCACCATTAACCTGCCCCTCACACCAGCCCTGTATCTCTTTGCAAGAAAATTCATCAGTGATTGAGGAAATCGATGGATTCAGAAGGTCACTGGCCTCCCAGGAGGACGCAGTGCTGCAGTGTAACCCTAGACCCCCAAATTAGTTAAGCAGCAGTAACTCTGATCACCCCCAACAGTCTGATGCTCAGAGCGTGTTTCTGGGTCTGGAGTTGCAAACTTAAAAGAGGATCTGCCTGACAAATTCCTAGGACTGGAAGAATCGGGCCAGTCTAGTGCGGGGCCCAGCTTCAAGTCTGGGCAGGTTTTTCTCTCTTTGGGCCTCTGGCCCCTTTTTTGGCCCCAGCCATGACTTGACCTTTTGACAAGGAAATGAGAGAATTAAAGCTGTAAAGATTGAGGCAGGCAGTATCATCTTTAAAAAAGATGAGTACCACCACTGGGGCAGTGGCTCATATCTGTAATCCCAGGACTTTGGGAGGCCAAGGCAGGAGGATTGCTTGAACCTGGGAGTTTGAGATCACCCTGGGCTTGTTTCTAGCAAGACGAGTAGTAGTTGGCCAGGTGGGCCAGTAGTGGGTTGTCTCTACAAAAAAAATTTTAAAATTAGCCAGCCAAGGTGGCGCATGCTTGTGGTGCCAGCTACTCGGGAGGCTGAGGTGGGAGGATCACTTGAGCCCTCGAGGCTGAGGTTATAGTGAGCCATGATTATACCACTGCACTCCAGCCTGGGTGACAAGTGAGACCCTGTCGCAAAAGAAAAAAAGTCGAGTACCAACCCCAAAGCTGCTCCACAGACTCCATCACGGATGAAAATCTGCTCTTCCCTCTCCCTGACAGCTGATCCTCCTGCAGGTCCCCAGATACTTCTGGGAAGCCCAAACACTAGGAAATTCTTCATTTCTTTTTTTTTTTTTTTTGAGACAGGGTCTCACTCCTGCCATCCAGGTTGGAGTACAGTGATGGGAATACGGCTCACTGCAGCCTCAACTTTCCAGGTTCAGGTGATCCTCCTGCCTCAGACTCCCAAGTAGCTGAGACCATAGGTGTGCGCCACCATGCCCAGCTAATTTGTTATATTTTTAGTGGAGATGGGGTCTCCCTATGTTGCCCAGGCTGGCCTGAAACTCCTGGGCTCAAGAGGTCTGCCCGCCTCGGCCTCCCAAAGTGCTGGGATTACAGGCTTGAGCCACCACACCTGCCCCAGAAAATACTTCCTTTTATCAAACTTAAATCCCCCTTTAACTTCTACCCTAGGGCCTACCTCTGCCTTCAGTGGTTTCCCCAAAGCAGCATGTCCTCTCTGTCCCACGATTTCCCCTCTTCTGTTTCAAGGCAGCAGTCATGTCCCATGTGACATCCATCCTGGCACCCTTCTGACCTGCCTTTCCAAGCCCCTCCTGCAGTGAGAAATGGCTGTGTGCCTGGGGCTGATGGAATGGGGGTGGAAGTGCTGTGTGTACCCCACTTCCAGGCCTGACCCAGAAAAACCTCCTGCAAGAGTCTCTGCTCTCTCTTCCCCTGGCTTTGGCTGGAAGGGAATGCCCAAGGTGACCTTGAAAGCCACCTGCTGAAGATGGCAGACCTGATGGCCTGGGTCCCGGGCACAGCCACTCATCCTCCCCTGCCCATCCATGCTCCCAACTCTGCCTGGAAGTGAAGTAAACAATGAATAAACTGTAAGTGGGTTAAGCCACGGAGATTTCAGGGTTATCTGCTACTGTACAAGCTTCACCTTAACTCCTAAGCCACCGCCCCTCAGAAACTCCTCCTCCCTAGGCTCACCCTCCCCGGATGTTTTTAAGTCATTTCTTAGATAATGAAGCTTCTGTACAATCTTGTCACCTTCCTCTGGCCCAGTGGATTCCAAACTGAGCTGCTCAGAGCCCCAGGGGTTCTGGAAGGGTTCTCAGGAGCATGTCTGGAGATTGAGAGGCAGGTGGGCAGGACACTGAGCCCCTCAACCCTGCTTCATCCAGAGCCCGCCTTTCACCTGTGCCGCACCTGAGTTTTTGTCATCAGATTCATCACCTTTGGTCTATTTCTGTCCTGTAATAAATGGAGCTCAGAATTAATGCCCCCAGTGTGGTCTTGGGGCCTGCCTCCCTTGTTCTGCACCTGTCACAAGATGGACGTTTCGGCTGCTGAGGGATGCTGTCACCGAGACTGGGTCTCCTGAGCCTCTGAGAGCTAGAGGCAGCTAGAGCCTTTGGCCTCTTCCCAGGCCTGCTGAGCCTTGAATATACAGTAGAGGGAGTAAGCCTGAGGAGTGAAGGGCGGTCCTTGCCTGAGGCCACACAGCTCATCACTGGTGGAATGGGACCTGGGTCTTGCCCTCAGGCTGAGGAAGCTCCTGTTCTTTGCAGCACACCAAGCCTTCCAGGACAAAAATGTGAGGGAGGATGAAGGAAAGAGAGGGAGGAAGGTGAGCAAGGAAGATGAGAAGCAAAAGGCAGCAGAAACAAGGGTAGAACACTAATGACTGCCCCTAATGGACTCCTGAGGCCCAGCATCCACAGCTTGGAAGTAGTTAGGGCAAAGGCCCACTGGCAGGGGAGCCTTGACTTTTATATCCAAGGACCATGCTTTGCCCTTTTGGAAGGAGACCTGCCTGCCCCCTACCCCGCAAGGTGGAGCCTAGCTCATCCTCCCAGGACACTTGGCCTGGCTGCCAGGCTCAGGTACCTTCACTGTTCACTTCAGGGAGCAGCTTGCGCAGAGGCCTCTTCACCTCCCAGGTGCTGCTGACAAAGGAAGGCATCACCCTGAGCAGCTCGTCCTTGTCTTCCTCCCGGATTACAGGGATGGTCTCCAGGATGAGTTGCATCTGCTCCAGCTCATGGGCCCCTGGGGAGGCAATGCCAGATGGTTAAGTGTGCTGTCCAAGGGGCTGTGGTGTGCAGTAGCCCAAAAGCAGTGCCAGGTGTTCTGGGAGGGACAACACAGGGCAGTGGGGCAGCACTGGGCTGGGACCGGGGTTCTGGTCTTCATTTGCTGCTCAACTGTGGGCAGGTGGCTGACATCTCTGGGGCTTGGCTTTGTCAAAAGTAGAAAAAGGGAGTTGAATCTGGTAGTCTGCAAGGCCCCATCTATTCCCCTAGCATTCTGTGTCTCAGACCAGCTGGATATAAGTCAGCACTAAAGAATGGGAACAGCCTGGCTCAAGGCCTTCCAAGTGCAACTTCCCATAGACCTCTCTGCACAATCTTTACTAGGATGGGGAAGGAAACAGTTTTAAGGCTGGGAATGAGCCATACCTTTTGGTTTCTAATTAAGAGGGTTCCATCTAGGAAACTTTCAAGAGAAAAACAAATCAGGAATAACAAATTGGGTTTGGGATGTATCTTGAGCACATGGCCTCTGTGATCCTTGGGAGAAGGAAGGCAGGCCAGGCTATGCCAGGTTTGCAGGGGCACTTTGGTGGGACAGGATGGACTCAAACATTCATTTATTCCCTCATTCCATAAATAGTTATTTATCGAGCACCTTCTCCATGCCAGGCATCACGCTGACTGCTGGGAATCGGTGAGGCATAGTTTTCATTCATAAGAAGCTTCAGTCTTTGTCTCAGAAACTCAACTCACCTCCCACACCCAGACAACCACTGGCCACCGTATGGCATTTCTGGCTCTGGACAGATGGGTCTCCTTGCTGTCCTTCTCTGACCTCCAGGCTGTTCTTCTGTACTTCCATTTTCTCTTTTTTGATTGAGTTGCCTTTCCACTTAGCTGTACTAGGTTAAAACTTCAGCCATACCTCTCCTTCCTCAAGAAGTCTTCCCTGCCCATCCAGCTGCACAGAGGGCCCTCCCCTTGCCATGAATTCCCATGGGATTCCAGTCTTCCAGTCATCCAGCCTAGGATGAGGGCTCTCCCAGGTGCCCCCACAGTTCCCTGTGTGGCCCTAAGCACATGTGAATACTGACCGAAGAAGTGCCTGCAGCCTCAGGCTCTCTCCTGAAGAGGTCCTTTTGGCCTCTCCCTGCAGTGGACTCATTGGGTCAGTTCAGGGCTCTGGAAGCCCCCTGTGGGGTCCTCTCTCCAAATGTGTACTCCACACCACCCACCAGGGGACCATGAGGTCAATGGGTGATCAAGCTGCAGACAGAGATGGTGGGACCTTGCTCCCAAGCCCCTGACCCCTCTCCTGTGTGACACACAAACTAGTAATACACAACCTTCTGCTTGGAGTAGCTTCTTCAACCACAGCGGGGGTGGGGGCAGAGAATGAGCCTCTTTCACTTGTCTGCTCCTGCCCGAGATCAATGGTGTCATATGGGAGGCAGCCAGTGGGGCCTCCCTGGGAATCCATGGCCTGGGGCGGAAAGCAAGAGCTTTGGTGGCAGACAGCCCTGGAGGCAGACCTAGCTCCCCCACCCCTTGTGGAATGAGGATGATTATTTATACTTGGAATGAGTATTATAAGGAGTCAAGTGTGTTGGCAGATGAAGGCTCCGGGAGAAATACCTTGCTTGTAGCAGA
Source organism: Homo sapiens (assembly GCF_000001405.40). Taxonomy (NCBI): domain Eukaryota; kingdom Metazoa; phylum Chordata; class Mammalia; order Primates; family Hominidae; genus Homo; species Homo sapiens. The sequence goes on along the minus strand of NC_000018.10, from coordinate 50,720,303 downwards.
TGTTTAATAACTCTTGACTTCCTTTGCTTCTAGGAGTGGGGAAGAGTGGCTTTGAGAGAAGCTGATGGAATAATTCCACCTTGGGGATTTATGTCCTAATCATCCGTGAGTGATTCTTTGTGACAGACGTCACTTGGGGGAGGCATCTTAACACTGAGTCTACTAAGCCACCACTGAAAATGGGAGAAGGTGTGAAGCATGGAGGATACTATGGTCAATGTCCCTTTCCTACTGAAAGAAGGTCCTTTCCATGTCACACCAGCTGTTGCCTTCCCTGCCTCTCTTGCAATAAGGGGAGGCCATGTGATTCAATCAAACAGGGACAGGAATCTCCTGGAAGGACTTCCGGGGAAGGTGTTCCTCCCTGGTAAGAGAGAAATGTGAGGAGAGCTGTTTGGCTGCCCTGGCTGACCCCTCCCTACCTTTCTTCGTTGGACACTTCTGCATGAGAACCTGAAAGCGATTGCGACCATCTCGTGACCACAGACAGTGAGCCTGAAGATGAGAGGCCAATAGACTGTGGATTATACAGTCTCGTCTGGGCTCTCAGTGAGTCACCTGCCTGCTGTGGTATGGAGAAGCCCAGCTCTTCTCCGTCTGGCCTGAAGGTTGTCAGCCTGTTGGAAGGGCAGCTGGAGCACAGCCCTGTGAGCTGAGGGTTCAAGGCTGGGAGAATGGAGGCAGCCAGGCACCTATGACCCAGATCGTGGGGGCAGGGCCAGAGATGTTGAGCCATCCAGGGTTTAGTGGCTATGGCTAGGGTGGGAAGAGTCTTTGAGTCAGAGTCCAGGGCGAGACCTCCCTCCCACCTGTTCCTCCTTTCTCCCCTGCCTTGAATTGGCTGGAAAATACGGAACTGGGAGGTCTGTGCAATTTCAGTTGGAAAAATAAGATAGCAGGATGGCTCACCCTGGGCACAGATAGGTTCACTGTGTATTTTTTTTTGTTTTGTTTTTAACCCTTTTGTGTCCCCTGCTGGACCATCAGACCTTTGAGGACAGAGACTATGTCTTACTCAGACTTGTATCCCCAGCACGTGGTCAAGGATCCACCCAAAGCACAAAATCCACCAGAGGGAAAACTGTAGGGGCTCCTGAGAGTCCAGGGGGCAAATGAAGACGTTTGTACTCAGGGCCTAAATGTTTGGACATAAGCCCTGACTTCAGCTTCATCTGACTTTCCTGCCATTGTTTTTATTTTACCTTTTTTTTTTTTTTTTTGAGGTGGAGTCTTGCTCTGTCGCCCAGGCTGGAGTGCAGTGGCACGATCTCGGCTCACTGGAACCTCCACCGTCCTGGTTCAAGCAATTCCCCTGTCTTAGCCTCCCAAGTAGCTGGGATTACAGGTGCATGCCACCACGCCCAGCTAATTTTTTTGTATTTTTAGTAGAGACGGGGTTCCACCATGTTGGCCAGACTGGTCTGGAGCTCCTGACCTCAGGCAATCCGCCCACCTCGGCCTCCCAAAGTGCTGGGATTACAGACATGAACCACCATGCCCAACCTATTTTACCTTTTCTTGTTACTTAATGTTACATTAACATATAATTAATATTAACATATCATATTAATATATGTTTTATATATAGCATGTATTTTAAATACTTACTGGAAGAAGTTAGCATCATGAATGAAAGAGTGACTAGCCCAGCATAGCACTGAATAATTCCCTCATTGCTGTGATTGAGAGATTACATTTTCTGGGTCTCTCATTACTCCTTATTAGATAAATCTGCTCCTATGGTGCCTAAGATTTAACTGTGCCCAATATAAATATTTTCTTGGCAGGCTGGGTGCAGTGGCTCATGCCTGTAATCCCAGCACTTTGGGAGGCTGAGGCAGGTGGATCATTTGAGGTCAGGAGTTTGAGACCAGCCTGGCCAACATGGCAAAACTCCGTCTCTACTATAAATACAAAATTAGCTGGGTGTGGTGGCACATGCCTGTAATCCCAGCTACTCGGGAGGCTGAGACATGAGAATCGCTTGAAATGGGGGGTGGAGGTTGCAGTGAGCCAAGATCATGCCGTTGCACTCCAGCCTGGGGGACAGCACGAGACTGTCTCAAAAACAAAACACAATAAAGACTTTCTTAGCTATTCAGACATGGCTTTCTCTTAATGTCCTGCTGGTGTTCCCTCAGAAAGGCCACTGTTAGCCATTTCTTCTTCTCTGGGCTCATTTTCCCACCCTGCATTATTTGAAACCAAATCACCTGTTAAAAAAGAGGTGGGCTGTCCTGGGCCCCTTCTAGGGCTGGCATCTAAAATTCTGTCTCAAGACCATAAGTTCCCTGGAGAGGCCCTTGTCTGACTTTCTCCCCCTGCCTCCTCACTGTCCCTTTGTCCCACAGCAATCCCTCTCCCCATCCTTAGCACTATGTTCTGTGCACACAGCAGATGAGCAGCTGTGAGAGCCAGGGGCTTTGACAGGTGAGTGGGCAGCTCCTTTTCACCTGTGGGCTTAGGTGGTCTGCAGTGCCCATGAGCTAATTATTACACCAGCTGCCCATATGTGGTCACTCTACAGTGAACAAGAACAACAGGCCAGCAACTGAGATTGTCGGCTCCCCGTGGGGCCACAGGGAATCTTGATTAGCCCTGCCACTTGCAGGCTCAGGTTTGTAGACAGAGATTTCAGGGTGGAGGGAGCCCACATGGATGCTAAGGACACACCTTTGCTCTTAGGGGATACTAGAAGGGCCACTGCTGTCTTATATTTTGTGGGATTCAGGGGCTTTAGTGGGGGGAATCTTACTAGGTCTTGGGGTTCTGAAAGGGGGCTGGGGTAAGGCTATCCTACTCCCTCACTCTCCCCCTCCCTTCCCAACATGGAAGTGTGGGGTAGCCCCAGGAGCCTAGGCCTACCAATGCAGGCCATGAGTGCTGGCCATGCCTCCTGTAAGCTGATTGCCAAGAGAAAACACGCTCCCCCTGGGCCACACTGCAGTCATGATCAAGCAAGGAGGTGGGTGGGTACTTCTCAGGCCTTCCAGCTTTCGTGCCCTTTTCCATTCCCTGGACACTCAGCTCCCCAGCGTCTGCCACTCTGATACTCGCTTCAGATCTCTCCTCCCCTGAGCAGTTCTGGGTGATGACACAAAGTCCAGGGTGGATGTGGGGAGGACAGGCTGACAACAAGGGCAGTGAGTGTCCCAGGAACTGAGGATGTGGGGCTCTGTGTCAGGATAGTAGATAAGTGAGTCACATCAGCCTCACAGCCAGAATGATGTGGGACCAATTGTGGAGAGGGAGGCCATGACGTAGGTGCCAACAGCCTCAGTGTGGGGGATGATGGGAGATGAGATGAGGTGCTGGCACGGGAGGACAAGATAGAGAAGAAGAGGGGCCATCTGGTAGGCCACAGAGGAGGGCTGCTTTGTTAATAGCAGGCAAGCAATGGTGAGCAAGGAGGATGCAGAGGCTCTATCCCGCTCTGTGTACAGGGCATGGGAGAAAGGATGGCCTCAACTCAACAGAGCTGAGGGGAGACGGTGCCCCTGAGGAGAAGCAGGGCAGGCTGAGGAGGTGGGGAGAGCACTCACAGGGAGGCTGAGGCCAAGACAGCATGGTTAGGAGGACAGGGCGGGGCTGCAAGCACTGAGAAGAGAGGTCAGCCAGGAGGACCGGATATGAGGCCCGGAGTTCTGTAGGGGCATGGAATCCAGGCAGAGGACAGGTGGCAAGGAGGCAGGCCCACGGGGCTCATGCTGCAGCCAGAGCGTGTGGAGACTGGCCTCACCATGGTCCTCTACCAACGGTGGTTTGGAACATTTCTGGGCTTCCAGCCTCTACAAAGTTAGCCTGGGTGGAGGGGATGGATGAAAATTCTTTGAGTAAGTGACAGCAGCATTTAGGGCTGAGTGTGGAAACTTGGGAAGGGCTGAGGGACATAGTGCAGAGGAAGTAGAGCTCATGGTGGGTGAGAAGCAACTGAGGGGGGATTGCCAGAGAGGGAGGAGGAGACCCAGGGAAGAGGGTTTCAAGAAGGAGGTGACAGTCGTCGCTGACTACTGCTACAGAATGAGGCTGAAATGGGTTCCCTGGATTAAGAACACGGCAGTTTGGGTGGGAACAGCTTCAGACAGATGGAGGGGGCGTGAACCATGCTGCAGAGTGAGGAGAGAATGGAAGAGAGGGAGTGAAGAGAGCAAGTGCTCTTCCTAGCAAAGAGGGAGAGTGCGAGAATGAGTATGAAGTGCAATGGGAGAGCCAAGAAGGATGACTCATGCCCTGGGGAATTAGGAGAGACGTCATGGAGGACAAGACATAAGCTGGGTTTTGAAGGTTCACTAGGAGTTTTCTAAGCAGAGAAGGAGGTCTTTGTGCCAAAGTGAACAAAAAATGATGATAGATTAGGAAAACAGTGGGTCACTTGGTGTGGCCGAAGGACAGGGAACAGTGGCAGGGAGGGAGGAGGAAGGGGCTAAAAATGTAGGGTGGGTGTGTTTGCAGCCATCAGTCTCAAGATGTTTGAGTAGAAGTGTGTCTAAGTCCATTCAGGCTGCCATAACAAAGTACCATAGCCTAGGTGGCATATAAACAACAAACATTTATTTCTCACAGTTATAGAGGCTAGAAAATCCAATATTAAGGAGCTGGCAGATTTGGTGTCTGGTGAGAGGCCCATACTTCATAGATGATGCCATCTCAGTGTGTCCTTACACAGTGGAAGTGGCAAACAAGCTCCCTCCAGCCTCATTTACAAGGGCACTAATCCCATTCATGAGGGCTCCATCCTCATGACCTAATCACCTTCCAAAGGCTCCACCTCCTAATAGCATCACCTTGGGGGTTAGGATTTCAACCTTTGAATGTTAGGGGAACACAAGCATTTAGGTCATAGCAAAGTAGTTACTTGATTGCAAAAACTTCTGTGCTCAAAAGGCTACTATTTTTTTAGCCTCTCCAGTATTTTTGCCTGACAATATAATAAGGTGCCTCCAAATAGTGTCATAAAAGCCACAGAAGTAATTTCAGCAAAAGATGAGCATGTTTTGTGATTGTAAGTGTTTTGCACTCAGTTCCCCTTTCTATGGAACGACGCCAGATGAGAAGGAAGGTGGCATAGTTAGCAACTCACCAGCAAAGAGCATTCTCCCCGTAAGCATCTCAGCCAGGATGCAGCCGGCGGCCCACATGTCGATGGCTTTGGTGTAGTTATTGGGGGAAAGGAGCAGTCGTGGGGAACGGTACCACTTTGTTACCAACCCTTCTGACAGATAACCCTGAAAGACAAAATTTCTGGTTCCACTGATCAGTCATTTTTGGATACCCTTCCTCCCACGCCTCTTCCAGTTTCCCCTCCCATGAAACAGACCTCTTTCAGGGTCCCTTTCATTCTTGCCCCTTTCCCATTGATCTTGAAGGAGCATGAGTGAACAGACGTCTGGTTAGAGGGGCTGGGCCTGGTTTGTGGGGTTGAAATGCTTTGGTGAGAGAATCTTACGAGATCCGAGGGTTCTCCTTTATAGAAAGGAATTCAGGTTATTAATATTTTAGAAGAAATGATTTCCCACCCCACCTTGATGTAACTCTGCCCTTGTCTAGTAAGAAGATGGAGAAACAGGAGCCCTGCTCAAGTTCATTACTGCTAGCAACAGAGTAACCATGAGACTCTGGCGTTTTCTGTATCCAGTGGATGAATCTCAGAATTAGCCATATGCTTGAACTCAAGCTGGTTGCTTTGACACTGAAGATCAGAATTAATGCTGCCACAAAGCCAGGCACCAGGCTCTTGCTGAGAACAGATAAGACCATCTTCATAATGGATGCAGGAAAATGCTATGTGGAAGCAGTCCTGAACAACAAAGTGGACACAGCTTTCGTTGGTCCATGAGATTCTCGGAGTCTGACTGTGTCTTTCTGGGGGATAAATGTTCTAGCTGATTTTGCCCATGGCTCAGTGATTTGTGGTCTGAGATGGACTCCCTCCTTATGGTATATAGCGAGGACATATACCCATATATGATTTAGGAAAATATACCCAGGGAATTTAGAAATTGTTTTCTACATAATTCAGAAAACTGGGCCAAGAGTGACATCTGGGAAATGTCCATTTGAATTCCCTAGAACAGTCTTTCTAATGTAAGAAAAAAAATGTATAGATCCATTGGGGGTCAAGGTGAGACAGTTAGGACCAAGGAGATCCAATGGGAGATTCCAGGGATGGTCTTTTACTTCGCAGTTTAGCATTCACACTTTCCTTTCTACTGATGCAGAAGTATCACAGTCTCAGGTTAAAGCAGATGAAAAGTTAAGAAGGCCAGGACCCAGGAGCTTTTGACCTATTAATCTGAAATCCCTTAATTTGTTCAGCAAAGATTTATTAAATGTCTAAAACCTTTGGAAAGGACAGCAGTTTCCTCCCCTCTGTGGCACATATTTCCTCCGAGTAGAGCCTCAAACTGGTAGAAGGAAGGAGGAAAAGCAGAAGACACCCTTCAGCTGGAAATCATAGAGCATCCCATACGCTGGCCTCAATACTCTCACCAAAATGAACTCCTTAAAATTTGTAGAATGTGCCCTCTTCTTCTGTCCTTTGTGCATTTGACAGTGTACATTCCATGAGGGATATCCCCGTACTCATGGTGCTACCGGCTGACACGCTCAGGCCAGCTTCCTCTCAGAAGTTTCCTTGTTTTGTTGCTGTTTCTTTACTTCTCTGCATCCCCACCCCTCCAAGGACCACTAGACTGTGCGCCCCTCATGGGCAGCAGCTGTGTCTTGTTATGCAGCTACTGCGCATAGCCCAGCCCCATGCCTCCTAAGAAGTGTTCAGTAAACACTGCTGAACTGTTGAATGAATGAATGAAAAGGAAACATCTCATATGGTCTGAACCTCCTCCCAAATTTAGGCACCTTCTGCAGGGACCACTGATCCTCTTCTTTTATACACTTGACTACAAGGTGGTCCAGGTTCCACTTTCCAAGGTGGGTGTGGAGTTTATATAAGTTGATAGCCACTTATGCCTTATCTTGTTCCAACAAAGGATGGGCCAATGTCATTTTTATAAGAGTTTAATTGCTTTAAAAGTCAAGTTTATTGAAGTATAATTTACATAGGGTAAAATTCACCAGTTCTGTGAGTTTTGACAAAAGCATAGTCATGTCACCACCATCACAATCAAGATACGTAACAATTCCATCATCTCAAACAATTTATTCATGCCCTCTTTTGGTCACCCCTAGTCCCAGCCCCTAGCAACTGCTCTTTTCTGTCTCTCTAATTTTACCTTCTGTATAAATGGAATGACAGTATGTAGCCTTTTGAGTCTGAATTCCTTCACTTAGCACAATGCATCTGAGACTCATCCATGGTGTGTGTACAGTAGGCTGTTAGGAATTTAAGTTCGATTCTAAAAGTTACAGGAACAAGCCAAATACTGTCTGTAGAAGTTCATTTTTAGGTGGGTGGGTTCTAAAAAAATAGTCTGGTTTTATTTTCAGTCAGAGGGTGAGATTGTCAGGGAAAAGACTAAAGCAAGAGTACCCAGAGGGGAGGTAGCTTCAGGGGAGTTTTCTCTGATATGTAAATGCACAGTCTTTTATGAAACAGAATGGTCTGGAATTGACATCTGCCTCTCCTCAGAGTCTAGGGTTAAAGAACAGTGGGGACAGGGGGCTTTCTTCTGAAACACTTGCTCTGAAAGTAAAAGAAAGATGTTGACATGGGTAAGGCTGCCCTTGGGCCAGAATTACAGACCAGGTCATGATAGGAGCTAAGAAAGTTGCTTTCCAGCTCTTCCTTTTTTTTTTTTTAATGAAAAACAAGAGCCTGCTGAATTTTTAACTACTAGCTATCTTCCTATGGTTACTTGTTCTTCACACTCTTTAAAAAAACATAAAGTGGATTTTTTGTTTGTTTTTGTTTTCTTTGAGACAGGTTCTCGCATTCTGTCGCCCAGGCTGACATGCAGTGGCGCAACAGTGGCTCACTACAACCTCTGCCTCCCAGGCTCACGGGACCCTCCCACCTCAGCCTCCCAAGGAGCTGGGACCACAGGCGCACACCAACACACCCAGTTAATTTTTGTATGTTTTGTAGAGATGGGGTTTCGTCATGTTGCCCAAGCTAGTCTCAAACTCCTGAGCTCACGCAGTCTGCCTACCTCGGCCTTTCGAAGTGCTGGGATTACAGGCATGAGCCACTGTGCCCGACACTTAAAGGGGATTTGTTGATATGTTTCAGAAGCCACAAGGCTGAGAAGAATTTGGGAAGGTGCAGTGTCTTCTGCCAAGCTGGTGCAAGAGAAGCCCCAGGAAGGGGAGATGGGAATATATGGGAAGCTCCATTCCCAGGTCTGGGGGCAGACACAGTGGACCAGGGCCCTGCTGTCAGCTGAGCTGAGCCCTGGGTGTCCGAATGGGAGAGGCTCTGGGGCCCACAACATGGTACTGGTGATCAGAATTCAAGAGAGGAGTTGCAGTCGAGTGGATGGGGTGAAATTCAGGATAATTTTCTACAAAAAAAAAAAAAAAACTTTAAAGAATACCCAGAAGTCGAGACCCAATTTTATTAAAAGAGCTCATAAATCAATAAGTATATTGGCTCAAAAAAAATCTCCAAATAGCCCTCTGCCCAAGCCTGCAGGGTGAGGATAGTTTCAGCTTCTTTTGGATGTAGAGAGGAACATGTCTCTGTGATCAGACCTGGTCTCCCCAGGCAGGGCATGCCCATGCACAGGGTGGCCAAGGAGGGAGTGAGCAGGACAGCAGGCACACTTGGCGCACAAGTGGGTGCGTCTGCACGCGGCTGTTGCAGGCCAGCTGGGGCCAGCCTCTTGTGTGAGGCTTTGTAACATCACTGCTCTGAGAAGACATGAAGTGCACACTCCCACAGTTCTCTGTGACCACCACTCAGAGCACAAGAAACAAGATGGGAGTGGCCCCTTCCTAATCGTCTATTTCCTCCTGCCACCTTGTGCCCACTGGGAGGCAGATGAACATGGTTTCCTTTCTAGACCCTTTTAAGGGGCCTTGGGACTTTCGTCAGCTATTGCTCCCATCCACCCATTTTGCTGTCCCTTTAGAGTCACGCAGAGCCCATGGGAGGCTTTGACTTTAAAAGCTTCAGAGGTGTTTGGGAAATAATCTAGCAGCAGCTGCCCTGTGAGGAGCATAATTAGGGGCCCCTGAAGGATAGAGAGAAGGTATAATTAAAGCTCTGAGCATTCTCTTTGCAGAGGGAGCAGGGAAGCAGCCCTCGATCCCAGCTGCCTGCCAGGGAATTCAGAACAGCCTGGATCAAAGTCACTCCAGAAGGGTGGGCACTCCCAGCTGCTCCAGCAAGCCCGTGCTGGGTGGGCACCAGTTCTGATCTGGAGCCAAGTCTCCTGTGCCTGCCCTTGCTGTGCCCCCACTGCCTGATCTCTTGCGTGTGGGAGTTGGAAGGTTGGGGGAGAAGGCTCAATCCAATAAACTTTCTACTACACCCTTTAATGATAATGTGCCTACTAATCCCTTAGGGGTATGATGAATTTATTTATTTATTTATTTATTTATTTATTTATTTATTTATTTATTTAGAGACGGAGTCTCACTCTGTCACCCAGGCTGGCGTGCAGTGGCGCTATCTCTGCTCACTGCAAGCTCCGCCTCCCGGGTTCACGCCATTCTCCTGCCTCAGCCTCCTGAGTAGCCGGGACTGCAGGTGCCTGCCACCACGCCCGGCTAATTTTTTTTTGTATTTTTAGTAGAGATGGGATTTCACTGTGTTAGCCAGGATGGTCTCGATCTCCTGACCTCATGATCTGTCCACCTCGGCCTCCCAAAGTGCTGGGATTACAGGCGTGAGCCTCCGCGCCTGGCCTATTTATTTATTTGAGATAGGGTCTCGCTCTGTTGCCCAGGCTGGAGTGCAGTGGTGCCATCTTGGCTCTCTGCAACCTCCGCCTCCCGGATTCAAGCGATCCTCCCACCTCAGCCTCCCAAGTAGCTGAGACTACAGGCACACGCCACCACGCTTGGCTAATTTTTGTATTTTTTGTAGAGACAGAGTTTTGCCACGTTGCCCAGGCTGGTTTCGAACTCCTGAGCTCAAGCAATCCTCCCACCTCAGTCTTCCAAAGTGCTGGGATTACAGTCATGAGCCACCGTGCCTGGCCTGGTATGGTATGGTGAATTTAAATGAGATGACATTCTCCAAGAATAAAAGCCCAGTCAACTTTAGCTCTGGGGGATGAGGACAGGGTGGGAAGGGTTGCTTTTCCTTTCATGCTGAAGCAATGTTTAGGGCTGCCCCTGTTTCCAGGCTAGGATGATAAGAGACTCTGACAGCCTCGCCTTCCCAACCAGAAGTTTCTGCAATGTGTCCTGGGAGCCTAAGGTGTCTGTCCCTGTGTGAAGGATGGGAAAATGATTCAGATCATCCCTTGTCTTCAAAGAGCATTTCACATGGTTAGAGAGATGAAATGTTAATATGGAAAAAATGTAAGGACCAGGAAGTAATCATGGCCAACATTTCTGTGGGACTTACCCTGTGCCCAGCACTGTGTTAGTATTTTACATGAATTTGATGCAGGCCCTTCACAGACTAATAAAATGACTGGTTCAAGGTGCTGTAACTGGGAAGTGGTCAGGGGTGTCTGGCTCCTGCACTCATCACTTTCATACTGCCAGGCCTTCCCCCATCCCCAATGACATGCTTGTGAATTCACAAGCACTCCAAGAGATGTGCTTGTGAATGTGCAGACCACTCAGAGCTGCCGACTTGGAGTCCTCCAATCTCCATCTTGAATGAGCTCCCCAGGGGAGGCGAATGCCCCCTCCTAGTGCGGAAGGCGTTTCAGCGTAGGTTGCAGAAGGGCCATGTGTGTCTCTGCTTTTCTAATTAGCCTGGGCAGGCCTGCGCCCCTAGTGGGGCCCTTGCAAGTCTTACTAGCAGGTGGGCACTGGTGGAGCAAGGAGGCTGCAGGCTCTGTGCTCCCTCTCCACCCCATCACGCTTCCCCCAATTCCCCGGGCAGTCTGGAGAGCAGGGGATTAATGGACTCAGGAAGGCCTCAGGAAGGCCCCTGGCACTGCACTTCCTTGGAAGAAGAAAAACTTAGGGGAAAAGTGAGGCTGTGGCAGGGAGACTGTGATTCTTTCAGGGGACTGGGTTCCCAGGAGCCCTCCCGGTGGAGGAGCAGTGGAAATCAAAGGCCTGTCACACGAGAACCTGGCAATTTCAGTCTGGAGGACATGGAAGGGGTGGGCGTGAGAGCTGCCTGTAGACATTTGCAAGGCTGTCATGTAGAAGAGGAGCTAAGCTTGTTCTCTGAGGCTCTGGGGACAGCCGAGAGCCAATGTGTGAGACAGAAATCTATGCAACATGATAATACCAGCTAACATTTATTGAGCTCCTCAGACAGTTTTATCTGCTTTATATGGATTAACTCATTTCATCCTCACAGCAATCCCATGAGGTAGGGACTCTCATCATAGTTATTTTACAGGGAGGAAACTGAGGCACAGAGAGTGTAAGCAGCCTGTCCATACTCACACAGCCTATAAGTGGCACAGCTGGAATTCAACCCCAGGCTGTGCAGATGTAGCTCCTTTGACCTGAATAGAGGGCTCCACTGCCTCGCACATAAGAGAGACTTCTAAGGCTGCCAGGGCTTTCTGTGGGGGCCTGGGCTGTCTAGACAAGCAGAGGGTCCAAGCACAGAACAGACAGTCTCGTGGAGAGATGTGCCAAAACCGTCTTCCTGGTGGAGACCCTAAAGCTTGGCTTCTCAAACTTTGGGGTGCTCTCAGATCCCTTGAGGACCTCGACTGGTTAAGCGCAGATTCCATTTCTCAGTCTAAACAAGGTGATGCTGATGTTGCGGTTCAGATGACCACACTTGGACCAGCAAGTTCCTAGATGGTCTTTATGATACTGGCCTGCCCTAAGAAATTATGATTTGCTTTACTTACAGGCCAGGCAGATTTCTCAAACCGAGCAGCAGACTGACCTATAATAGGGGTTAATTCTTTGAGTTACAGACACTCATCAAAAGATCATTTAGAAGAACAACATCCTCCCAGAGGTCCCGCTGAAGCAGACATATACAGCCTCTCTTCTGTAGTCATCTCCCTCTGAAGGCATAATTCTTATTTGTGCCAATGTACATATGAGGCACGTGAGAAACCTTTTTTAAAAAGGAATAATACCACAGCCAAATAGCAAACTCATTCCATTAAACTTATTTGCAGGAAAGCATGCAGCAGGGACTCTCTCAAATTGAGGGAGGGAACACATCACAAAGCCTGGCTCACATCGCAATCACTGGGAAATCATCTGGCACGTTCTATTACGCAGCTAAAGTAAACATGGGTGAAGAAATCGTTTGGCTAAATCAGCTGCACTGAATTTTCATAAACTTCTAAGATGCCCTAAATGCTGATCTGCTGATCCCCTTTCAGGGCTGCCCCTTCTCCACTCCACCCTCTGGGGGATCCTGGACAGATCCTGAAATTCACCATCTCTTCCCAGGTTTCCATGGAAATCAACCAAAAGCTCATATAAATTCCCATAGGCCTGCAGGCCCTTGTTGGACACTCCAGGCCCTGTGTGGTCACTTTCTTTGACTTTAAAAAAATTATAATAAAATTGCCATAAAAAATTTAATTGTAATAAAATACACATACCATAAAGTTCACCATTTTAACTGTTAAGCATACGGTTCAGTGGCATTAAGTATATTCACAATGCTGTACAACCATCGCCACCATCCATCTCCAGAACTTTTTTTTTTTTTTTTTTTTTTTGAGACAGAGGCTCACTCTGTCACCAGGCTGGAGTGCAGTGGCACGATCATGACTCACTGCAGTCTCCCAGTAAGACTTGCAAGCGATCCTCGGGCTTTAACCCCCCAGAGTGACTGGGACTACAGGTGCGGGCCACCATGCCTTGCTAATTTTTGTATTTTTTGTAGAGATGGGGTTTTGCCATTTTGCCGAGGCTGCTCTTGAACTCCTGAGCTCAAGTGATCCACCTGCCTCCTCAGCCTCCCAAAGTGCTGGGATTACAGGCATGAGCCACTGTACCCAGCCAAGAACTCTTTTCATCTTGCAAAACTGAAAGTCTGTCCCCCTTAAACAATGACTCCCCATTGTTCTTGCCCCCTGCCTCTGGCAACCACCATGCTCCTTTCTATCTGTATGGGTTTGATGGCTCTAGGGACCTCACAGAAGCAGAATCATACAGGCTTTGTCCTTTTGCATCTGGCTTATTTCATTTAGCGTAATGTACTTCTCCTTACTTTTAAACAGCAGGAAAGTGGGAGCAATGGAGTTGGGCTTCTTTTTAAAAAGCACTTCGGTGAAATGTGGTTGTCTTCTAATTCAGCTAGAGCTCACCGTCTGATAAAAGCTTTGGACATTATCCTCATGGGGTCCAAATCAAGAACTCTGAATCCTATTACAGTTCAAAGACAGGATAACATGTTCTGTTTGTTCAGTGATGTACCAGGACTGGCAGCTCCATTACCACCATCCTCACCAGGACCAGTGGCTGGGCTGGGTAGAGAGGTGGGTGGAGGGATGATTTGGTTGGGCTGCTTCTGCCTCAGTTTCCTTATCTGATTTTGCTGCTGGAGGGGCTACAAGTTCTCCTCTGTGGGGCATTAGCATCCTGGGGTGCTGCATGACAATGGACAGCAATCTTTAAGTGAGAAGCCCTGCTAGGCCAAAGTGATTAATTTTTAATAGGCCAGTCCTTGTGCAAATGGCTTCTTTTAGTAAGATGCATTAACTGTCAAGCCACAAATAGACATCTGTCACGCTGGCTTTCAAGGGGAAATCTGGTGGCACTCTAGAGCACGGGCTCTCAGACCTGCTACAGGCTGGAAGCACCTAGGGAACTTAAAAAAAAAAAAAAACTGACGTTCAGGACTCCTGCTGTGCCAATCACATCAGAATCTGTGGGGGCGGAGGCGGGGGGGTGGGAACCAGGCATCAGTGATTTTTTTACAGCTCCCCAGGTGACTCCAAGGTGTAGCTGTATTTGAGAACCAGCATCTCTAGAGGTCTTGAGTTCACCTGCTTTGGAAAGGTAAGTAGTATTTTCATGGTTCCTGGATGAGTACAGGTTTCTATTTCTACCTCCCCTCAGGATAAGATAAATCCTTGAGTAGCCGCAGAGGTTTTCCCCAGATGGCTGAACCACAGGAAGTAAAAATTTACTGAAAAATCACTGATCATAATAATAGCTATCGTTTATTGAGAAATTATGATGTGCCAGGCACCGTGCCAAGTACTGCTTTATTAATAGTGCATTTAATTATCAAAATGACCCTGTGAAACAGGTAGAGAGATGGGGCTAACTTGAGCAAGATCAAATTAACTAATAATTGGCAGAGCTGAGATCTGATCCCAGCAGTGAGCAAAACAAAGTCCCTGTAATCATGAGGTGCACACTTTGGATGGAAAGACAGCTGAACAAACAAATGGATGATATGTCTAGTGGAGATAAGTGCAAGGAATGGAAATAAAGCAGGGTAAGGAGATAGAGAGTGATGGGGTGGGTGGTCCAGAAAGGCCTCTCATGTAAGGGGACATTCGAGCAGAGACCAGAGTGAGTCAAGGGGCGAGCCACGTGGCCATGTGGTAGAAGACATGAGACGTTGGTCTCTGAGCCCCAGGCCTCCCCTTTCTGTCCCCGACCTCTTCCCCCGAGGAGGGTGGAAACTTTCTCCGCCCTCCTAGCAAACTTTTCTCTCAGCTCCCTTATTAACATCCAGGTACATAACTGAGAGCACATTAGGGAGGGGAGGGAATATTTGTTGACATCCACTCTGTACAAGGGATTTTGCCAGCAGTAGCTCAGCTCACCTCCTGAGAACCCTGTTGAAGGTATTTATTTTTCATTTTACATTTGGGGATATTACTGCAGGACCCTCCTCTCTGACTTAGCTGGCAAGGCTTTGTGTTCACACAGCCTCCTGGACCCCTTCATCTAACTTCATTAACTCTATAGCAGGGGAGGCAGCGAGGGCTCCTGAAGGCAAGAGCCAGTTGTTTTCCCTCTGTCTGCAGTGCACCTCTGTACAAGATAGGCGCTCACTTACAATCGGGTGAATGAATGGAGTAAAAACGTTGAGCTAAAGGAATGATTGATATGCCCATGAAATTCAGGAACTGACCACCAGTCAGGAGAAAATTAGCTCGAAGTTTCATTGCCATGTAGAAATCTCAGGACAAAGGTAGTGTCTGTGCTCAAGCCTAGCCCTCTGCCGTGTGGGGTATGGGTCCGGTTTTCTATTGAACATGCTATTCATGCTACCGTGTGGAAGCCGGACCCCTCAGGCTGCTAATCTTGCCTGGGACCAACCTGGAGGTCAGACTCAGAGCTTTATTTCACCTCTCTACACCTCCACCCTCAAAAAGAAAGAAAGAAAATGTGAGTCCAAAAGCACTTTTGAGGAGTGGGTAATAATAACAGCCACCTGCCAGGTGCTGACCATGTGCTTGGGGTGCTCCTCACCCTCTGTTTCCTTCCATTTGGTCATCATGATGCTCTCCCAGGATGGCTGCTGTCATTGTCCCTGCTCCACAGAAGAGGATGCAGAGGCAGGGAGGGTAACGACACAACATAGTCCAACATCACAGAGTCCTCCATTAGGCCTCCAGGCCCCAAAGTTCCCTCCGATTCCAGCCTCTTCACAGCTGCTCCCACCCCACAGGACTGGAACTCTCCCCAGTTTGACTTGCAGAGAACGCTCAGAAGAACAAAAGGAACTTCCCTGACTTCTCCCTTCTCAGAAGGCTCTGGAATGTGACCCACAATGCTTGTGATGCAATCAGTAGACTAGGAGAAATAAGAGAGAGACACACATGATTGTCTTGCTTTTTTTTTGGAGACAGGGTCTCACTTTGTCACCCAGGCTAAAGTGCAGTGGCTTGACCTTCTGGGTTCAAGTGATCCTCCTGCCTCCCAAGTAGTTGGGACTACAGGCATGCACCACCACGCCTGGCTAATTTTTGTGTTTTCTGTAGAGACAGGGTTTCACCATGTTGGCCAGTTGGTCTCGAACTCCTGAGCTCAAGCATTGCACCCGCCTCAGCCTCCCAAAGTGCTAGGATTACAGGCATAAGACACCGTGTCTGGCCTTTCTTTTTTCTACTGATGCGGGATGAGGTAGAACTTAGATGGGTCTGGAGGGCGTGACAGATTTTGGAGTCTCCAGGTAGACTCATTATACAGATGGCGTGGGAGGGAATGGAATGGGCCCTAGAGAGCTTACCTGAAGTTTTAAAAGTCTCTCTGTCACAAGGTCTGCCTGGAAAGGGCAGGTGTGGGGAAGGAGGAGGCTCCTGGTGGTCCAGCCTAAATGTAGGCAGGAAGTAGCTCCCTGTGGAACACTGGGGATGCCCTGCTCCTCCTGAACTTGACCACCTGCCTGTCTGGGTGCAGGAGTCTCACCTACAGACTTGCTGTTTTTAGTTAAGATAGTAAGGTAGTGTTTCCTGAAATGAATTCATATTCCAAAGATGTTAATAGCTAGCAGGGGAGATAGGATGTGTGCCCAAACACCCTTGGGACAGGCTGGCAACAACCAGTGAAGCTTATTTATAAAGTCTCAGAATCTTCTAGATGGGGATTTAGTATGTAGTGCTTGTCAAACCTCTTTGACCACTTATCCACTTTTTTCTAAGTGCATCATGGGGACCAGTCTTTCTCAGGACAGGCTGTGAGGAATGCTGGGTAAGGTCCCTGTCAACATATCAACTCGATACCTGGGAGAGGAAACATACTGACCTGTTAAGCCCACTGTCTTCTGTTAGCAAGACTAATATTATGGCGCCTGCTGAATGCTCTGTGTGAATGGAGGCGCACTGCCTCCCCCACTTATCCTGAGAGCCCCTGAGTGCTGGGACCTCTTGGTGTGCCTGGTGCCTGCAGACAGAAGATGCTGAAGGCAGGTGGCTGCGTGTTATAAAAGCCATTAGAAATGCCAGCTACTTTCACTCCACAGAGGCTCTGGCCCCTTGGAAAAGCAGGGATGTTTTGGTTAGGAAAGGGAGGCTGGGCAAGGTGGAGAGTGCAGGTTACTGGAGGAAGGAGGTGCCTGCTGAATGAGTAGCACTGAGACCACTGCCCAGGCTGGCCAGGCAGGGAAGAAGTACAGGCAGTGGGGATGGAGAAGGGGAGTGAGCATGGGGAGGAGGGCAGCAGAAAGGTCTTGAGATCAATTTGAGAGGGGTCTCCAGAGTTGCTTCTGTTAGGGTCCAAATCCAACTCTTGGCTCAGTAACCCTGTCTGACCCTGACTTTGGGAAAGGTCTTTTTGGATCACACTATTCACAGGGAACCACATCTTTTCTGCAGAAACTCTTGTATTCTGGGAAAACCTGCAAGTTGCAGGCAGATACACCACTTTTGAAGTGCCCACATACTGGGAGGCAGCTCCCGGGTCACCTGTTCGAGAGAATTACAGTCTCATTTCAGATGCTCTTTTAACAGGCCTTTATAAAGTGTTTCCAGTAGGTCCGGCCCTGTTTGTGGTACTCTGAATCAGGGGACTGTCTTCAGGGAGCATACACTCCAGCTCTGGGCAGTAAGTATGCTGGTTCAACTGCAAAGACTATCATGAAACCAGGGCACAGTCAACACCAGATGAGGGCAGGAAGATGGGGCAGTCACTGTATGAAGAAGGAAACAGAAAAGGGGCCAGGGTGGATCTTGGTTTGGGGAGCCTCTTAAAAATACAAAATCATGAACACAAAATTAGATATGAAAATGAATATTTATGTTTAATCAGAAAAGGAACTGCAGCAAATTAAAAATTATAAAAAGCTGGCAAATACTACAAACACCACACCATTCATAAAAATAACATTTTTACTAATTAGCTGCTTGGCAAACTGCTGGCAGCAAATGTAAACATGCTGCATAATCTCTGATCTTCTCTTCTGTGACAATTTTGTAATATGCTTCTTTATTTTTTTAAGAGACAGGGTCTTGCTATGTTGCCTAGGCTAGATTCAAACTTCTGGGCTCAAGTGATCCTCCGACCTCAGGCTCCTGAGTAGCTGGGACTACAGGCATGCACCACCACGCCCAGCTTGAAAGATAACTCAGTCTTTGAAAGTTAGGTAGTTAAAAAGATAACTAAGTCTTTCTTCTAGTGTGGTTGATACTTTAGAATGGTTGATTTTTTTTTTTTTTTTTTTTTTGAGACAGAATCTCTCTCCATCACCCAGGCTGGAGTGCAGTGGTGTGATCTCAGCTCACTGCAACCTCCGCCTCCTGGGCTCAAGCGATCCTCCCACCTCAGCCTTTCTGGTAGCTGGGAACACAGGTGTGTACCACCATGCCCAGCTAATTTTTTCTGTTTTTAGTAGAGACAGGGTTTCACTATGTTGCCCAGGCTGGTCTCAAACTCCTGAGCTCAAGTGATTCGATCCACCTGCCTTGGCCTCCCAAAGCGTTGGGATTACAGGCATGAGCCACCATGCCCAGCCTTGTATGGCTGATATTTATAAGTTCTTTTACCTTATAAGTTTTCTGGATTATCAAATTTGGGAAATAATTCTATTTAGTGTTCTTTTGTACATGACCTATAAGATTTGGGGGGCGTTTCTAATTTTCTTATGTGGTGACTCAACTTCTATTCTCTTTGAATTAACGACACTCATTAACCAAGTTGTTGATGATGTCCTAGTTGCAGTCACATGTTATGAGTTGTAGGGTGGGCCGTGTTTGCATGAGGACCTCATGAGTTGATTCCGTGGGCCTTAGCAGGATTTCTAGAAGTTATTCCTACACCACAATGCTGGCAGTAACCTAACTGCACATACAGAAGTAACTGCAAACCACGTAAACATAGCCCACTAAAACTAAAAGCATCTCCACTGCAACCTCCCCTAAGTCAGCTCCCCCAAATGCCCAGCCAAGCAAGCGGCATCCAGCAGGAGGGAAAGTCTGAATGGCAATAGCCCATTTGCTAACAGATTGCTCTCAAAATAACTTGCTTTGTGAATATTACAAAAACACATGACCATGTGAACACAAGGTTAGGGTCCCTCCCAGGGCCTTGGTCAGGGTTGTGCAAAGGAGAGGCCTTGGGGTTAAGTTTCATGGACTCCACGGTAAATCTGGCCCTGACCAGAGTAAGCTGGGCAAAAGAAGAGGATAATGGCCAAGGAGGATGGGGGTGGGGGTGGGGGTGTCTTGTTAGAATTTAAGCTTGGAAAGCAGAAACATATTCTAGGAACCTTCTTTGAAGTAATCTAATCCATGGTAGGGCCCATGTTCTAATAGGCGGAGGAAAATCATCTCGAGGGCTGGAGAGTTTGCAAAGAGGTCCCTGGTATTCCTTAGAGGAGGGAACACGTGAAGGGCATGGCTGCAGGGGGAGCTGGTGTGGTTTTGAAAGGTGTTTCTGTCCTTCACCTAAACAAGCTGGTGAGAATTTCGGCCACCAGAAAAGGTTTGATTTCCTCCTCTGTCACCTTACTCTCTTAAATTCCTTTACCAAGGGCCAAAACCCACAGTTGCAACTTTGAGTGGAATAGCTAGAGAAGCAAATTCCCTGTCCCCCACCCCCAACTCCCGCCTAGAGAATCTGCAGGGATTTTCTCCTTCACACTTAGCAATGCACCCGAGAGGGTTTTGAAGAGCTGAGGAAGCAAAGAGAATGCAAATGTCCCAGACACTTGGAGGGAGGTGCGGCTCTGAGGAGGGGAAGAGGCACAGGAGGTGGGTATGGGCTCTGAAGATAAAGTCTGCCTGCTTCACAGTTTTCCACAACCCTGGTTGGTGGGTCCTGCCCACTCTCAGCAGATGGGCCCACAGAAGAGTGCTGATGTTTGCGTCACTATTAATCACACAGCGCTGCCAGTGAATTTGGTTTGCAAAACTGAAATATATGCAACAGTTGATGTGTGCACCTGTAGCTAATTCACTTTCACAGTTGTAGAGTATTCCAGTGTATTTATATGGAGAGTTTGTCAAGAGGGACTAGGTATTTTGTTGTTGTTGTTTGATTTACTTCTAACTGCCTGATACATCATAAAGAATTTGGCTGGTCTTTATTCTCAGTTCCTGGAGGAAGCTTCTAAACCCTTGGAATTTCCTGAGTGACAGGAGTGTCTGTTATTCATGGTGGGCTCCTGGAACCATATCTGACTTAATGCTAATGAGGCAACTCATGGTTGGTCCCTAGATGGCTTCAGGATGGGGATGACTGTGATTAGAAGGCTTGGGCTTTGAGCCACGTGGTATCAGCCCAACTTCCAGGGGGTGGAGAGGGGCTGGAGGTTGAGTTCAGTTAGGTGGCCAATGATTAAATCAATCATGCCTAGGTCATGAACCTAACTCCTACCCTCCCCAAAAAACTCTGGGCACTGAAGCTCAAGTGAGCTTCCCTGGTTGATGATACATACCCATGTGCTAAGAAGGTGACATGTCCTGAGAACACAAAAACTTCACATTTGGGAGCTTCCCAGACCTCATCCTCTAGGTCTCTTCTTTTGGCTGGTCCTGACTTTAATCCTTTGTAATAAAACTATAATAACAAATGCAGGGCTTTTCTGAGTTCTGGGAACCAGTCAAGTGAATGATTAAATCCGAGGGAAGATGAGAATCTCCAAATTTGTAGCTCTTGGGTCAGATGTGCAGGTGACCTAGGGACCCCCGGGCTTGTGGCAACTGACTGAGGTGAGAGCACCCTTGTGTGGGACTGCTCTTAACCTGCAAAGTTTGCCCTAATTCTGAGGCAGAACTTAATTGACAAATTGCCAAATATCATTTGGGTGCTATTATAAATGGTATACTATTTATGTTTTTTGCTTTTAGCCCCCAGTATACACAAATGAAATTGATTTTTGTATATTGATCTTATATTTAGCAATATTGCTAAAGTCTTTTTATTAAGTCACTAATTTGGTTGAGTTTTATTTAAACGATCAAATCATCTGTGAATAACAACAGTCTTATTTTATTTTGCTTGCTAGGACCACTAGTGCAATGATGTACTGAGAAATAGTGAACACCTTTATGTGTTCCTGGTTTTAAAGAAAAAGCTTTTAACATTTCATTGTTAAACATAATACGGCAGAAGGTTTTTGGTAGAAACAATTTCTTTTGGATGAAGGTAGTTCTTTTATTCCTGGTTATATCATTCACAGATACTGAATTTGCTAGAATGCTTTTTCTGCATCGATTGAGATGATCATGGGGTCTTTTTTTCCTCCTTTGTTTCTGGTAAGTCAAAAGAATAGATTTTTCTAATGTTAAACCAACTTTGCATTTCTAATATGAGTTCAATTTGGATATATTTTATATATTACTCAATTTTTATTTTTTTTTTGAGACAGAGTCTTGCTCTGTTGCCCAGGCTGGAGTGCAGTGGCACGATCTTGACTCACTGCAGCCTCTGCCTCTTGGGTTCAAGTGATTCTCCTGCCTCAGCCTCCCAGATAGCGGGGATTACAGGTGTGCACCACTATACCTAGCTAATTTTTGTATTTTTAGTAGAGACAAGGTTTTACCATGTTGGCCAGGCTTGAACTCCTGGCCTCAGGTGATCTGCCTGCCTTGGCCTCCCAAAGTGCTGGGATTACAGGTGTGAGCCACCGTGCTTGGCTATATTACTGAATTTTGTTTGTCAATATTGTTTTCAGGGCTTTTGCAAATATAGTCTCATAAGTGAGACTGGCCCGCAATTTTCCTTTTTCATATTACACTTGTCTGGTTTTGGTACCAAGGCTATAATGCAGGGAGGTAGAAGCTTTTTTTCTATTTTCTATTATTTGTTAATTGAAAGTCTGGTTGAAGTTGATAAAACTATTGGACATGAGGTTTTCTTTCTGAGAAGTTTTAGCTACTGATTCAATTTTAGTAGTGACTGCATTATTTAGGTGTTTTCTTTCTTTTTTAGTCAATTTGATGATATATTTTGCTAAGAACTTGTTTCATGTAATTAACAAAAAATACAAGGACATATTTATTTTATATACTTAGATATGTTTGATAAATATGTATTTACTTAATAAATGAATATTTATGAGCATGGAGTTCATGGTATTGCCATAGTTTTGAGTCTCTGTTGTGTCTATAGTTATGTTCCTTGATAATTTAGGGCTGTTTGAATGCCTCTGGTTCTAGAAGCCCCCTGGCCACTCAGTGGAAGGCCTAATACTCTGAAGCTTGTTGAATTGTAGCCCGATTTGATTTTATTTGATGTTGATCAAAGATGGTCATAAATAGAAGTATTTGGGGCAGGGCCAATAAATGTAATCTGGTCCCAGACTAGGTTTCTTCATTTATTCCTTCAGTAGAATGAAAGTCATGATCAGCTGCCACTTTGATTTCAGGGGAGAAGAGTATCATTGTTGCCTAAGGAGCTGATTTTTGTAGGCTTACAACAGTTCAGTATTTCCTAGAGTGACAGGGAATAAGAGCGAACTCCCCTAATTGAAGTGAGTAAAGAAGGCCTTGACAAGCCCTTTCCACAAGTCAGTCTGGAAAACCACAGGCCCTAAGGAGCAGCTGATAGGAGCACTTGGGCCAGTGAAACATCCAAGCTACCTGGGGACCCCTGAGCATTTCTATCTCCAGATGGCTGAGCATGGCTCTGTACTGGTAGGCCCAGGCTCAGGGGTGGCTGATGTTATTCGGCTTCCTACCTTCCCCTCTGTGGCCCAAGTGACAGCTTCCCCTGTCCCCTGCCCATTTAAATATTTTAGTGTGTGGTTAAAAACCTCAGAGGCTGTGGATCTGATCACCTGCCTCCTTCTCTAAAAGAGATGTTATAGTGATTTCAGTCAAGTCTCTCATTTTGCTGAACAGGAACTAATCATCACCATCACCAATAACAGCAGTATTACTAAAAGCACTTACGGTATGCCTGCCAAACACTGTGTTAACACTTTACATCAAAAATCTCAATGAATACATTTATTGAATTATTAATGTAGCAAATATCTATTGAGCTTCTACTCTGCTCCAGGTACTTTTCTGGGTGCTGGGACAGAGCAGTGAACCAAGCAGAGAAGCTCCCATTCTGTGACACCCATATGCTACGCCGGTAGGTTTGCTGTTCTTATTCCTATTTTACAGATGAGTAAAGTCAGGCTTGGGAAAGAGAAGGTGAGAGTGGCTAGTTAAGTGTGAAAACTGAATAAACCCAGGTTTTGTTTTGAACAGCTATGCTATGCTCTACATCAGCAATTCTCAACCTTAAGCATGCATCAGAACCCCCTGGGGAGTCTGCTAAAACTCATTGCTGGCCTCACCCCCAGGGTTTCTGATTCAGCAAGTCTCAGGTGTGGCCAGACAATGTGCATGTGTAATGAGTTCCGAGGGGATGCTGATGCTGCTGGTCTGGCCACCACCAAGTCTCTGCACCTTCCCTCCTGCCTCTTTCAGGACCCAAGTCTCTGCGCCTTCCCTCCTGCCTCTTTCAGGCCCCACTTTTTTCTCTCTCCAGGTGCTCAAGTGCCGTGTCTCTCCTCCAAATGTGTGCAAGGGACCCCATACCAGGAAGACTCCCTGTATGTCCCAGGACCTCAACCCCACTGCCATCAGCTGGTGTTGGTGTGTGCTGCCATCACCATCTGTCTGTGTGCATAATTACCTTAATTAAATAGGTTCTCACATAGAATCCGTGTAAACAAGTTACGCTGTTAAAAAGGGCAGTTCCTGCACCTGATTTCTCAGGCTGTGTTATGAGTAACACACATCAATCACACCAGCTGAGGCTCTGGCTTTCAGCCGGAAGATGAGGGGGTTCTCTGGGTTTGCGTTCAGGGTGAGTGGTGTGCGGATCCTCTCAGACCTGCAGGTTCTGCTGCATTTTTCATTTGCCTCTTTCCAAGGAAGCCCACGCTACTTGCTACTCAGCCAATTGTGTCTCAAGCATAGGAGATGCCGCCCACCTCAAAATCAGGACCTCACTGGCTGTATCCCCAACAGTGCTCAGCTCAGTGGGTCCCTAGGGCAGAAGCAGCTGTTCTGAGCCACTCAGGACTGATGCTGTTACAGTTCCCCTGTCCTGTATGCAATTCAAGTAAAAGCAATACAAACCATAAAATAAGTGTAAGGGAGTCCAACAAAGGTCAAGTTTTCTTCCCACAATGAGTATTTGATTTTTTGTAATAGCAAACATCAAATTCTTTATGAATCCTTCTAGGATGTCCTGGCTCCGCTGGTGCCCTGACTCTTGGGAGCTCCAGCACAGGGTAAGGGTGTACACAGTGCAGGGCCAACAGTTTTGTTTGCTTTTTTTTTTTTTTTAATCAGGGGAGCCTGGCTCTCATCTTGCCCACTGCATCCTGCAGTGCCCTCCCAGATGAGGATCCCTTGAGTACTGTGCTGAAAACACAAGCTCTGAGGCTGGGTTCAAATCCTGAGTCAGCAACTTATTTGCTGGTGACTTAAAGCAACTTTCTTAACCTCTCTGAGCCTCAGTTTCCTCAGCTGCATTAAAGGAGCCAATATCTACTTCATAGGGTTGCTGTCAGAATGAAACAGAAAATGTAGGAGAAGCTCCCAGCTCTGAATAGATGTCACTCTGCCCTCCCTTTCGCAATCTCCATTTTGATAGAGACTTTGATGGTTTCCTCTTGCTTGTTATATTTTGTCCAAATCCTGCAGCCTTATTTCTCAGGTGCTCCCTCTGCCTCCGTCCTCATCCTATGCAGCCTTCTCACTCTCGGCTCCCCAGGCGCTCTCTCTAGCTCTCTCTACTGCACGCGTGGCATCCGCCACCTTCTGTCTTGTCATCACCCTGACCTGGAGTGCCTCCTCCTCCCTCCCTCTTTAAATCTTGACAACCCACAAGGCTCACGTCAAGCGCCCTGTCCTCGGAATGCCCTCCAGCTCCAAATGACCCCTTATATAGGGGAAAACAGGGCTAGAAAGGTAGGAATGGAAAGGAAAGTGTTCCATACAAGACCCAGTCGGTATCACTCGCTTCACACTGGCTATACATGACACTTTCCCTGATGTGCTAAGACTTGAGTCTATCTTTTTTTTTTTTTTTTTTTTTTTTTTAAGATGGAGCCTTGACCTAGGCCAGGGTGCAGTGGCATGATCTTGGCTCACTGTAACCTCCGCCTCCCGGGTTCAAACGATTCTTCTGCCTCAGCCTCCTGAGTAGCTGGGATTACAGTCATGTGCCACCATACCCGGCTAAATTTTGTATTTTTAGTAGACACGGGGTTTCATCACGTTGGCCAGGCTGGTCTCGAACTCCTGACCTCAAGTGATCTGCCCACTTCGGCCTCCCAAAGTGCTGGTATTATAGGCGTGAGCCACCGTGCCTGGCCTGAGTCTATGTTCTTGTCTTTCCGGTTCAATCATCAGCTTCTGACAGGCAGAGAGCAACAGTAATAATAATAAACACTGCCAGTTATCAGGCACTTACCATTTAGGGTTATTTAATGCTTAGAGTGGCCAGGTAAAGAAGTAATAATATAATTTCCCTCCTGCAATACCCAGCACAGACTTTTCACAGTCAGTAAGCATCTGTCAATGGTGACAGTGGTGATGGAGTAATGACTAACATCTGGATGCCTCTTTGCTCTCTCCTCTCTCACTGAGGTTGGTGTGGATGCAGAGTAAGGGAGCAAGGAGAGCTGGGTGTTGGCAAAGAGACAAGCAGGTCCCAATCTTCCTGGATGAATAAGTGACCACCTCTATGGGGTCACCAAAGGCCTCTCTACTCAAACAACTTCCTGAGGGCCAGTCATGGGCCCGATATTCCCACATTAAGAATAAATTATTTGGGTTAATATTCTGGGTCCACCAGAGTGACATCTGTCATTCATTAAGTATTAATTACTCACAGCTGGGGAGATACAGCCATGAGCCCACTGTAAATAGCTTAACATAGGGCTCCGGTGGATGGAGAAGATACAAGAGAAAATAAACATGCTTTCTTAGTGGAGTTCATTTGGGAGTTTGCCATTTGTCTCTCAGCAGGACTTTGAGAGAACAGGACACCAGCCAGGGGACTTCTGAGGTGAGGGGGACGTGTTTGGCCCATGGGATAGGGATTATGAAGGGCAGTAATGGCCCTGGGTGGCCTGAGGAGCCCACGTGCATGAGGAGGGAGGATGGAGGCTGAGAGTCATCTAGGGCTGTCCTCAGAAAATCTGTGTCCAGCAAGATTGTGGCATCCTTGAGGGAGGTCATTCTGATGGCCAAGTTTTTCAGAGAGCAGCAGATTTACCGCAGTATGCACACAGCCCACGACTTTCTTTGGATTTTAGTCATTTTGGATAGAAATGTTCTCAGCATAGGACCTTTTTGATTTTCCCCATCCCAAGTCTCTTTCAGATAAATACCGAATGCTTCTCACTGAATCAGAGGCAAGAAGCCACAGCCCTGTGCATGAGCCTTCTCTGCATCCTACAGCAGCTCCTGCAACCCTCCTGTGGCCCTGGGGCAGAACCCTGGGGATCCAAGGAACAGGGTTTGAAAATGTGTTTGGTGGAAAATGCATTGAGCCTCAAGTCAGAAGTCCTGGAGTCAAGCCCAGATCTACCACTCACTCGTTTCATAAGCCCAGGCAAGTCTCTTAGCCACTCTAGGCCTTAGTTTTTCTCTCTATAAAATAATACACACCCTTCCTATACCACAGGATTACCACGGGAATCCAATGGTAAGCAAACACGTGGAAACAAACCCACGGAAAGCACATGCACGCTTGAAAGCACCACTCCACCCAGAGGCTACTGTCATTCACACAACTGGCTGCTTAAAATTGACGATAATTTAATATCCTTTTACAGGGTCAAGATTCGAACATCAGTTATGATTTGGATCATCACATAGTGCAGCACTCAGAAGTCGAAGGGCGGAAGAAACCTCTCTAAAGAGCCTGAGAGCTGTGACTCTTGGTGAATTCTCAGTCTGCCTTTGTATTTTTTTCTGTCTCTTTGTCAGACTGTCAGCTATCACTGCTCTCTGCTTGGTGTGCCTGTTGAGTCCCTAGTTTGCTGCTCGTAGTCCGCTGCGGATTTGACAACCACATGATGAAGTTTATTACAATTGTGTATAAAGTGAGGGCACACAGGCACAGGTAAAATATATTCACTTTGCTTGTAGACTGTGCACTATCTTTTTTTTTGAGATAGAGTCTCTCTCTGTTGCCTAGGCTGGAGTGCAGTGGTGCTATCGTGGCTCACTGCAACCTCCACCTCCCAGGTTCAAGTGATTCTCTTGCCTCAGCCTCCTGAGTAGCTGGGATTACAGGCATGCGCCACCATGCCAGGCTACTTTTTGTATTTTCTTTAGTAGAGACAGGGTTTCACCATGTTGGCCAGGCTGGTTTCGAACTCATGGCCTCAAGTGATCCACCCATCTCAGCCTCCCAAAGTGCTGGGATTACAGGCGTGAGCCACCGTGCCTAGCCTGCACTATCTATTTAACGCCTTAGGATCACTTCTGCCTTGCCTGTGGTTCAGGTGGATGCCCCTGCAAAACGGAGGAGCTGCTGTCCTTACTCATGAGTTCAAAACCCAGACTCTACTGGGAAGCCAGTCACCATTCCTAACTCGGTGTTCTCCTGCCTGGGGATCCTGTAAAAGGACACGATCAAAGCTGGAGCTGATGGAAACAGGTGTCATTATTCTGAGTTCTCCAACCCCAGCTTCTAGCCTGCTTTGGCCCTTTTGTTTTCTTTCTTCCCACAGGCCCCTAGCTCTGTCCCACCAAGTAATAAGAGCTGCAAACAGCTCATATTTATTGAGGGCCCTCTCCCTGCCCAGCACTATGCTAAGCACTTCGCATTCTTTATCTCATTTAGTCCTTAGAACAACCCTGTAAAATCAACACTGTTGTTTCCTTTTTATAGGTCAGAAAACTGAGCTTAGAGAGGGATACATAGCTTGCCTAAGGTCACATAATTCTTAAGGAACAGAACCAGGGCTCGTCCCTGCTACTGTCCAGCATTATTTCCCCTGGGCTCTCAACAGTGAATCTGAGGCCCTGCTTGATCCTGAATGTCGAAATTCTGTCCTACAAAGAATGCAGTGGCCTGCACCAGAGATCTCATATGCATCATTTGGTCCACGGAGAATGAGGGCCAATTCCCTCCAGAGCGCGGAGAGAGGCCCTGCATGGAGCCTCTGGGTGAGAATGCCCAGGACCTGGGCTACAGGCTAACAACAGTGAGGCAGTGTGGCTTCTGGAGCAACAGCAGAAGGGTTGTTCAAAAACCACTGCCTCTACCTGCTAGCTGATGCCTGAAGAATCTTTTACCTGGAAAGGGATTCAACCTCCCCTTTCATAATCCAAAATAAAACTTAAAATGTAGACATTCTAAGCTATGTGACCCTGAGTTACATTCATACTAAAGTGTAAAGGCTGGCACCAGCTCCCTTTTTAAGATCTATCAAAGAATTTTGAAAGAAGGTGGGTGTGAGGGGGGATGGGAAAGGAGATGGGGGTAACCAAAGTGTAGATCTGAGTGCTCAGGTAGGGAAGGGGTAGACAGATGGGAGACTGGGAGATTACAAGAAAAGACTCTGCCGTCTCTGCAGTTTTGGCTAAAACCAGTCCTGGCTGCCGATACTTTTATTCTCTTGACAAACTATTGGAGCTGCTCCCTTGACAAAGGTGCACTGGGGCCAGAGCCTGCTGAAAATCTTTAGGCAAAACCTGAAAATGATAAGCTATTTTGCAAAGGAATTCTCCAGGCTAAATGTCTCTTTTCCATATGCCCTGACTTGAGAATGATTGGTTCTGGAAAACTGCCTCAACTTGGATGTCATATGGCATTTAAATGACCACATATATGTGTGTAGGAACTGTATCGACACAGAGTAGGTATACACAATATGCCTCAGGATTTGTTAAGTTGAATGGCACGGGTCTTCATGATCTTTACGTTTTCTTATCAGAAAGCAAAACATGTCAAATTTCAACTGAGCATGAATCCTTCCTTTGTGCCTCCAGTTAAGTCAGACTCTTGTTCCCACCTCTTTGGTACCTGCCCTTCCCAGGACATGCTTTGCCTTCCTGGCCAGTTCATTTCTGGAGCTTTCATTTTGCCATCTAGCAGGGCAGATTTGCATTTAGATTTGTATTTTTTGGCCGGGTGTGGTGGCTCACACCTGTAATCCCAGCACTCTGGGAGGCCAAGGCGGGCGGATTGCTTGCAATCAAGAGTTTTGAGACCAGCCTGGACAACATGGTGAAACCCTGTCTCTACCAAAAATACAAAATTTAGCCAGTCTTGGTGGCACACACCTGTAGTCCAAGCTACATGGGAGGCTGAGGTGGGAGGATGGCTTGAGCCCAGGAGGCGGAGGTTGCAGTGAGCCATGATTGAGCCACTGCATTCCAGCCTGGGCGACACAGCGAGACCCTGTCTCAAAATAAAAAGAGGCAAATTTCAACTGAGCATGAATCCTTCCTTTGTGCCCCCAGTTAAGACAGACTTTTGTTCCTTCACACCTCTTTGGTACCTGCCATTCCCAGGGCACACTATGACTTCCTGGCCAGTCCATTTTTGGAGGCTTCATTTTGCCATCCAGCAAGGCAGATTTGTATTTTTTAATTGCAAAAGTAGCACAGGTTCATTTAAAAATTTCAATAATTAAAGAAGTACACTTCAGAGTGAATGTCGTTCCTCAATTCTCAAGCTACTCCCCACCTCCATTCCCTAAGAGGAATGACAAGTAGGTTTACTTCCCGTCTTTCCTTCCCTGTCTCCACATACAAACACATAGACTTTCTTTTTCCAAAATTGAAATGATCCTATTGTACTTTACTGGAACCTACTTTTTCTCCTTCATCTATTACAGATGACTTCTCATATTAGTGTTAAAAGAGCTTTTTAAATGGTTGCACAGGACAGAATCCCTTTGTCATTTAAAATCTGTTCAAAGCTCTTTACGTTTTTGTTCTGAATGTCTTGCTCTCCAAATAAGTTTGGGTTCTCTAAAACATTTCAGCCAGTGCTAACTCATGGTATTGAGCTGTTAGTAGTAAGATGCTCTTCTGAGAAAGAAATTGGTATGGTTTGCATTTAAACTCACACCTGGATCTGAAAGAGTAGGCGTGGGAGTAGGTTAGAAATATAAAAGCTCAACCTGAACGTATCACATTAAAATACAGAGTGCAGCTACCATTTTCCTTTTCTACTATTTGTAAGGAAAAAGCCCTGGGAAGAAGCAAGGCCAGAGCTTCTGGCCAGGGAGGTCACTTCAATGACTTGCTGAGGCAGGTGAAGGGAGTCCTGCCACCTGGCAGGAGAGCCAGCCTGGGAGTGGCAAGCCTTCTGGGGCTCTAGCTCAGGTGAGAGGGAAAAGCCAGCCCCTTCCCCAAACTCTTCCTGCCTATACTGTCCAGATGGGAACCTGGAGTCCTGATATGAGACCTCTAGGACCCCTTTCTAATAAGGATGACCAGATTCTAGGACCCACGGTATTAATTCCTAAGACACCATTTACAATAAGAGGTTGCACTAGCTCAATCTTCCTAAAGTGTTGTTGTTATTGTTATTGGATGTTACCTAGTGAATAGACTTCATGTCAAATTTGGAGAAATCTGAGATATAGTTAAACTGGTTTGTAAATTGCAGGACTTATCAGAGCCTTTATTAGCTTATGTACTTGAGTCTTCAAGAAGAACAGCCCCCCTTTTTTAAAATTTTGTCAAGGTGGGTTCTCGCTCTGTTGCCCAACCGAGGCTGGTCTTGAACTCCTGGGCTCAAGCGATTCTCTCAAAGTGCTGGGATTACAGGCGTGAGCTACCACGCCTGGCTGGACAACCTCATTTTTAACCTAGAGGCCCTTGAAGGAAAAGTCAGCAAATATGTGCAATTTTGTTAACTTGAACATCCTGTGACTTAGTCCTCAGTGCTGTTCTCTAAAACATCTATTCCCCCTGCCCATCTCCTCAAAGGTGGAACACCAGCGCATGAGGAATCAGAATTCCAGGCAGCAGAATAGCTTTTTTTTTTTTTTTTTTTTTTTTAAGATGGAGTTTCAAAACTCTTGTTGCCCAGGCTGGGGTGCAATGGCGCAATCTCGGATCATTGCAATCTCCACCTCCTCCTGGGTTCAAGCGATTTTCCTGCCTCAGCCTCTCGAGTAGCTGGGATTACAGGCTTGCACCACCACACCTGGGATAATTTTTTATATTTTTAGTAGAGACGGGGTTTCGCCATGTTGGCCAGGCTGGTCTCAAACTCCTGACTTCATGTGATCCGCCCGCCTCAGCCTCCCAAAGTGCTGGGATTACATGCTTGCACCACCACACCTGGGATAATTTTTTATATTTTTAGTAGAGACGGGGTTTTGCCATGTTGGCCAGGCTGGTCTCAAACTCCTGACTTCATGTGATCCGCCCGCCTCAGCCTCCCAAAGTGCTGGGATTACAGGCGTGAGCCACCGCACCAGGCCAGCAGGATAGCTTTATGCGAGCCTCTTTTGCTCTATGAGTCCTAGAAGGGATATGCACTGTCTTTCTTTTTTTTTTTTTTTTTTTTTATTTCCATAGGTTTTTGGGAGAACAGGTGGTATTTGGTTATATGAGTAAGTTCTTTAGTGGTGATCTGTGAGATTTTGGTGCACCCATCACCTAAGCAGTATAGACTGAACCCAATTTGTAGTCTTTTA
The DNA here is from genome assembly GCF_000001405.40 of Homo sapiens. Taxonomy (NCBI): domain Eukaryota; kingdom Metazoa; phylum Chordata; class Mammalia; order Primates; family Hominidae; genus Homo; species Homo sapiens. Next base: position 50,688,760 of record NC_000018.10, on the reverse strand, counting down.
TCCCTCACCCCCCTCCCACCCTTTCCCCAGAGTCCCTGATGTCCGTTGTATCATTCTTATGCCTTTGCATCCTCATAGCTTAGCTCCAACTTATGAGTGAGAACATACAATGTTTGGTTTTCCATTCCTGAGTTACTTCACTTAGAATAATAGTCTCCAGTTCCATCCAGGTTGTGATATGCACTGTCTTTCACTAGCAGAATTCATCCACAGATTCTCTGTCATCTTGAAATTCTGTGGGAAGCCTCTTTATTCTATTTGCCTTTCTTGAAGAGTCAGAAGCCAGGCAAGTACTTTCATGAGAGGTTAACTCAAGTCATGTTCCCCAGTGGGGCCTCCACATGCCTTTTCTGACCTCAGCTCTTTAGAGATAGGCTTACTGCTGTTTGGGGCCCTGGGGAGGGGTCTGGAGCCCAGACATTTCCAGTCTAAAGCAGCTTTTGGGGCCGTCTGTGCCTGGAACACTCATCTGCAGAACTCAGCACCTCCAAACTCCATCTTTCTTCAGTTGCACTGGCTCCTGCCTCCCTGATCACCCCAGCCCAGCCTCGTCTCTTCAGAGAGCTTTTGCAATCTCCATTTCATTTCTGTAAGCTTTGCCAACCTGCCGCCTCCCCCACCAGACTGTAGCCTCTCAACGGCAGGGACTCAGTCATTAGATGTCTATACCCCAGAGAAGTGCCAGCACCAAGCTGGGGATGAGGGCGAGGCAGCTGCCCATGATCACCTTTCAGCAGAATCCCTGACCCCGAGGGCAGGGAATGGGTTTAGTCATCTGTTCTCAGTACCCAGCCTCGTGCCTGGTCAGTCCTGATCTCGCTAAAGGTTAAACCAGGGCTTTCTCTTTTTTTTCCTAGGACCCAGGAGACACCTGAAATTAGTCCCTGCCTCCAGTCCCTCCATTAAATCTCTCCAAAAAGGAGCAGCTGACGGCATTCTAGTGGCAACACAGGGCCCTCGAGACCACAGGCAAGCAGACACGTGGCCCAGAAGGATTTCTGTGGGGGTTTTGCTTGTCCTGCCCAAGTGTTTGCCCAGCAGACTGCTCTTCTCGAGTTGCCAGGCGAGGTCACACCGCAGAGTCTCGCTGGGAGTGGGCACTTCAGACCCGGGTGCTGATTCAGCTGGAATGGAAGCATCCATTTCCTAAGCAGGTACCTCCTGCAGGCGTGTACCAGGGAAAGAGCGAGGCAGGCCTCTGGGAACTTGCTGGGTGGCACAAAGAGGTCAGGCTGAGCTTTACAGTGTTCCACAAAAACTCGCAAACTGAGTGAGCTACTTTAGGATAACATAATTGTTTTCAACTGGGGGGCAATTTGGGCCCCCAAGGATATTTGGCAATGTCTAGAGGCATTTTTAGTTGTCATAACTTGAGGGGTGGAGCTACTGGCTTCTAGTAAGTAGCGGCCAAGGATGCTTCTAAATATCCTACCATTGGCCAGGCATGGTGGCTCACGCCTGTAATCCCAACACTTTGGGAGGCTGAGGTGACAGGATCACTTGAGCCCAGGAGTTCAGGGCCAGCCTAGGCAATGCAGTGAGAACCTGTCTCTATAAAAAATAGAAAAAAAATTAGCCAGGCATGGTGACACATGATGTTTCCTTTTGGGATGATGAAAATTTTCTAAAATTGGTATGGCAAGAATGAACAACTCTGGGAATATACTAAAAGACACTGAACTGTACAATTTAAATGGGCAAAAGGTATGTGAATTCTAAGTTATTTTCATCTATGTTTTTATATGTATGTGAATTACATATCATTAAAGCTGTTATATATGTATAGATGCATACATATATAAAACACACACACAATCCTTGGCCGTCTCCATCTGGGCTTTGTGGAAAACACTAGTGGCAGAGTATAAGGCAGAGAATAATTTGCCAGGGACCTCAGATCCATCTGCTCTTGCCTCCTTGGTCTCACTGCTCAGAATCTGTGACCTCTGTCTAATCTCTGCTTTCTTCTCCGCCAGTCAGCCAGAGTTGAGCTTAAGGAGGCAATACCCTTCTGGATGGCCGTGAGTACCACAAGGGTAAATAACCGACATGGATTTCAGGACAGTCTTACTTCACATAGCAGACGTGTCCACTGGGCTCACATTGGATGGAGAAAAATCTCGATCTGTTTAAAGGAAGCTACAGGAAGCCAGCTGGCAAGATGAGTGTTGTAATGTGAGCAAACATCCCTTAGCCATCCAGCAGGTATGAAGTTGTGTCGGTTTGGTTTGCTTAAATCGGGAGCCACATCTGAGAAGAAAATCCATTGTTCAGAAAGGACGCACCATTGTAAAGAATATCATGTGGACAAAGTTTTGGTGCTTTTTAGGAAGCAGTTTAGTGCTCTGGCTAAATGAGGATTAAGCAGAAAAGACTTTTTGTTTCAACTCCTGTTGCTGGAAATCTCTCCAAAGAGTTCCCATTCAATCTCCTGCCTGGGTACATAGCTGCCAGGGAACAGAATTTAATGTTTGATGACTGAGTGACTTCCTTAGCTTCCAGTCTTTCTGAATTTTAGTTCACTACGGTGCAAGGCTATAGGCAGAAGTGTGGAAAACTGGAGTTACATTTGGCAGCTTGGTCTGCAGAAGGTTCAGAAGAGAAATTAATTTGAAGTTAAAAACCAAAGAGTAACACGACTCCTAACGAGGCTTATTTTTGTTTTGCTGTTCCTTGGTTTACTCCTGAAAGCAAATCCAGTCTCTACCATCACCTCAGGTGAGTTACTTCTAGGGGGCCTTTCTAGGGGGCTGGCTGATTTCTATGTCCTTACCTGGCTCTCCCATTGTGTGTCTGAGAACCGTGGTGCTCTGGCCCCTTGATATTTTGCTCTTTTCTGCATGCCATGATTGTATCAGAACTCTCTGTGAAGGCAGCAGATCAGTGCCACCGAGAAAACAGCATGCTCCAGAGAGCTGCGTGTACCGAGTGTCAGTATCTGGTGCCATTCAAGAAGATGGCAGGCTTTACAACATTGGATTCTCTTCCCAAACCGTCGGAAGGTGTGAAGTAAACAGCACTGGCCTCCCTTGAGAAGGCGAAGGATGCAGGTCATTCTGGTGTGAGGACTGGCTTGATCTCACAGAGCCTCACATCTGGAATTTGGGGTCTTGGTCTCCAGATGGGTGGCAAGGGAAGATGCCAGGACAGGAGTCCTGCCTGGCTGGATAAGCAATCCCACGGCTGGCTTTATGCCATCCCGGTGCCTCCCCCACATGCACTGCACATTCATTTCTCTACGCGTTCTTGTAGATGACAGGAAAATCTCACTTGGTAAAGCAGATGTGTCCATTGGGCCCCCGCTGGATGAAGGAAAGTTTCCCTCTGCTTAAGACTTAAAGGGAACTGCAGGATCTTCCCCATAGCCACGTGTGGGATGCTGGCCATATTCTCTCTCATTGGACAGTGAGTGAGGAAGCCAAGACCCACCGGGCTTGGCAACTTGCTTGAGGTGGCACAGTTAACACTCAGGAGGCAGGGCTGGAACCCAGGCCCCTGATGCCAGCCAACTGGCCTTTCTTCCACTTTGCTTCTGTGCCTTTAGAAGAAAGTTTCTAGGTGGGGAATTCAAGGCACAGGCAGTAATGTTTGCTCCTGGTCACTTGGTGAGTTGGGAGCAGAATGGAGACTAGAAATCAGATCACCTGAATCTCAGGCCAAGGTTTTGTTCCCAAAGGAGCAATGGTTTTAGTACTGTGTGTTTCTGGTGGGCATGGAACATCCATCATGAGTGCTGTGAGCTAGGAGGCTTAGAGAGGAAACAGGAAAACAAGAAGGGGTGAGAAGAGAAGGAGATGGAGGACAGCCAGGTGAACAAAGATGGGGCCCGGTGCCACCGAAACATGGAGACGTCTGCAGGGCACCTAACACACTGCTCCCGGCCCTCTGGCCTCAATCCCTATGGGTCTGCCTGGAGCCTCCTTTTTCATCCTATTTAGATTCATCCCAGTGCCTTCCCACTGATGCCTTCTGGAGAGTTCCCAAGGCTGTTCACCCAGGCCTGCCTTCACCTGTCTTCCTCGGTGGTTGGAGCAATCTGACCTCCCTCCCTTCCCACACAGCCTGCTCTCTGAGGGTGGCAGCTGCTGTAGTTAATGAATGGGTCCAAGCCACAGCCCACTGTGATGGGGAGGCCAGGAGGTGTCTTCTCCTCACCCCCCGAAGGCAGAGCTCACCCAAGGGAGTGAAGGGGAATAAAAGCTTTTTTTTTTTTTTGAGTCAGGGGCTCGCTCTCTCACCCAGGCTGGAGTATAGTGGCTTGATTACGGCTCACTGTAGCCTCAAACTCATGGGCTCAGGTGATCCTCCTGCCTCAGCCTCCTGAGTAGCTGGGACTACAGGTGCACGCCACCATGCTCAGCTAATTTATTTTTTATTTTTAGAAAAAGGGGTCTTGCGATGTTTCTGCGGCTGGTCTCGAACTCCTGGCCTCAAGCAATCCTCCCACCTCAGCGTCCCAAAGCACTAGGATTATAGATGTGAGTCATCACGCCTGGTCAAAGCTCTTCTTAATTGCAATAACAGAAGCCACTCAAATAAGTTTAAGCAAAAAAGGGGCTCCACCAGGTTATTTAATGGAATCAAGCCTCCAAAGGAATGAAAACATTAGCCAGAAAGTGCTCTAGCAACAGGGCAGCCCCCTCTCTCTACTCCGACTTCCCTTCTTTCCTTAGCACCCTCCATCTGCACAACACAACCTGGCTCTCTCTGGCTCAGGAGGTCTCCGTGGTGCCATCTGGTCTGTTCTCAGACATGAAGGACTACAAGGGACCACAGGGGTCTGTTCTCAGACCTGACCCACTTCCTGCTGGTCAGGAGTGGGAGCATGGATGGTGATCAGACGCCTTAAGGGGGACATCCAGAGAGAAGCGAGACAATCTAACCACTGTTAGTCTATCACTGGACTCCAGCGCCATGCCACCCTACACCCAGCTCCATGCCACCCTACATCCAGCTGTGTTGCCAGTTCTCCTGCAGCTCTGGGAGGGAGGAAACTTCTCCTCTGGGGCTGAAAGAGCTGTGTGGGTAAATTCCAGGACTCTTAAAAATAATCTGGTCTATATAAGTTTTCCACTTAAATATAAACTCCACGAAGGCAGGAACCTTGTCTAGAGTCTTGTGTTTCAGCCTTGTATCTCCAACACCTAGACCATAGTTGGCATTCAAATATTTGTTAATTGAATAAACGTATTTATTTTAAAACAGCTTCATTGAGGTATAACTGAAATACAATAACTGCACATATTTAGTGTGCTATTTTGGTAAGTTTACACACACACACACACACACACACACACACACACACACCCCATCACCAATAAAAATAATGAACATATTAGGTCAGGAGTGGTAGCTCAAGCTTGTAATCCCAGTACTTTGGGAGGGTGAGGCAGGCGGATCACTCGAGGTCAGGAGTTCAAGACCAGCCTGGCCAACATGGTGAGACTCCCGTCTCTACTAAAAAAATATAAAAATTAGCTGGGCATGGTGGTGCTTGCCTGTAATCTCAGCTACTTGGGAGGCTGAGGCAGGAGAATCACTTGAACCTGGGGGATGGAGATTGCAGTGAGCTTAGATCACGCCACTGCACTCCAGCCTGGGCAACAGAGCAAGATTCTGTCTCAAAAGAAAAAAAAAAGAACATATTCATCATCCTCAAAATATTCATCATTCCTCTTTGTAATCCCTTTCCATCCCTAGGCAACCACTAATTTGTTTTCCATCACTGTAGATTAGTTTGCATTTTCTAGAATTTTACATAAATGGAACCACACAGAATTTACTTCATTTATTTCTGTCATCTTTCACTCAGCACAACTCTCCTGAGATACATCTGTAGTGTTGTGAATGGTTTATTCCCTTTTATTGCCCAGTGGTGACTCCACTTTATGGAAAGACTAGTGTTTTCATTTGAATGTTGATGGACATTTGGGTAGCTTTTAGGTTTTGGTTATGGAAAAGCTGTGATGAACATTTGTATACAAGTCTTTCTATGAACATATGCTTTCATTTCTCTTGGGTAAATACATAGAAGTGAAATGTCTGGATCATATGACAGATGTAAGTTTTACTTTTAAAGAAACTGCCAAATCATTTTCCAAAATGGTTATAACATTGATTTTCAAATATTAAATGAAATTTGCATTCCTGGGATAAAACACTCTTGGTCAATATGTATTATCCTTTTTATATATTGTTGGCTTCAATTTGCTAAAATTTTGTTTAGAATTTTTGCATCAATATTAATGGAAGATATTAATCTGTCACTTGCTTTTCTTATACAGGTTTTTGTCATGTTTTGCTATCACAATAAGGTTTAGAATGAGTTGGGAAGTATTCTCTTCAATTTTTGGGAGAGTTTGTAGAATTGATATTATTTATTTCCTAAATAGCGGTAGAATTCACCAATGAAGCTATTTGGGCCTGGAGGGTATTTTTTTCTTTGTGGGAAGATTTTAAACTACATATACGATGCTTTTCATAGATATAAGGTATTCAAATTATCTCTTAAAATTTTTTTCAAGATATAATTCACACGTCGTAAAATTCACCATTTTAAAGTGTACTATTTAGTGGGTTTTAGTTTATTCACAAGGTAATACAATCATCACTACTATCTAATTCCAGAACATTTTCAACAACCTAACAAAAAACTCCATACTCATTAGCAGTCATGCCCCATTTTCTCCCATTTCTCTGCCCTGGGCACCACTAATCTATTTTCTGTCTCTATGGGTTTGCCTATTCTGTACATTTCATATAAATGGCATCCTACAATATGTGGCCTTTGTGTGACTGGCTTCTTTCACTTAGGATAATGGTTTCAAGGTTCACTCATTATAGCCTGTATCAGCATTTTATTCCTTTCTAAGGCCTGAATAGTCAAAACAATCTTGAAAAGGAACAAAGTTGGAGTATTCATACTTCCTGACTTCAAAACGGACTACAAACTGCAGTAGTTGAGATAGCATAGTACTGGAATAACAGCGATATATACAGCAACAAAAAATGAAGTCTAGAAATAACTCTTACATTTATAGTTAAGTGATATTTGCAAAGATTCCAAGACAATTCAATGGGAAAAAATAGTGTTTTCAAGAGATGGTGCTGGGATCATTACCCACATGCAAAAGAATGAAGTTGGACCCCCTATCTCATACAATGTATAAAAATCAACTAAAAAATGGATCAAAGACCTAAACTGAAGAGCTAAAACTACAAAAATTGAAGAAATCATAGGCATAAATCTTCATGACCTTGGATTAGACAGTGGTTTCTTAGATATGATGCCACAAACAAAAGCAGCAAAAGAAAAAGGACATAAACTAGATATCATCAAAATGAAAAACTTCTGTGCTTCAAAGGACAACATCAAGGAAGTGAAAAAGACAACACAAAAGAACTTGAGTTGAAAATTTGGGTTGAAATTTTTTTTGCAATTATCCATCTAATAAGGGACTTACATTTGGAATATTTAAAAAACTTTTATAATTCAATAATTTTAAAAACCCAATTAAAAATGAACAAAGGGTCTAAATAGACAGTTCTCCAGAGAAGATATACTAATGGCCAATTAGCACATGAAAAGATGTTCAACGTCATCAGCCATCTGGGAAATGCAAATCAAAACCACAATGAAACACCACTTCACATCCACTAGGATGGCTAAAATTTAAAAAAAAAAAAGTGTTGGTGAGGATGTGGATAAATTGAATCCTTATACATTGCTAGTGGGAATGCAAAATAGTGTGGCCCCTTTGGAAAACAGTCTGGTAGCTCCTCAAGCAGTAGCACATGACCCAGTAATTTCGCTCCTAGGTATATACCCAAGAGAAGTGAAAACATATCCACATAAAAACTTGTACATGAATGTTCATGGCAGCTTTATCATAAGAGCCAAAAAGTAGCAACAACCCAAATGTCCATCAGCTAATGAATGGACAAACAAAATGTGACATATCCAAACAATGAAATAGTACTTGGCAATAAAAAGAAATGAAGTACTCATACCTGCTTCAATCACATGGATAAACCTTGAAAACATTATGCTGAGTGAAAGAAGTCACAAAGGACCACATGTTGTGTGACTCTACTTATGTGAAATATTCGGACTAGGCAAATCCATAGATAGAGAAAGCTGACTAGTGGTTGTCTAAGGTTGGGGGATGAGGGACCTTGTGGGGACAGGTGATGCTGAAGGGGGATGGGATGATGTTTCTTTTGGGGGTAATGAAAATGTTCTAAAACTGATTCTGCTGATGGACATACATTTCTGAATACATTAAAAGTCATTGAATTGTAGACTTTAAATAGGTGAACTGTATGGTATGTTAATATATCTCAATAACATTGTTTTTAAAAAGAGTTTAGGCCAGGCGCGGTGGCTCACACCTGTAATCCCAGTACTCTGGGAGGCTGAGGTGGGCGGAGTACCTGAGGTCAGGAGTTCAAGACCAGCCTGGCCAATGTGGTGAAACCCTGTCTCTACCAAAAATACAAAAATCAGCTGGGCGTGGTGGTGGGCACCTGTAATCCCAGCTACTTGGAAGGCTGAGGCAGGAGAATTGCTTGAACCCAGGAGGTGGAGGTTGCAGTGAGCCGAGATTGCGCCACCATACTCCAGCCTGGACGACAAGAGCGAAACTCTGTCTCAAAAAAAAAAAAAAAAAAAAAAAAAAAAAAGTTTAAAAGCAAATATAAAAGCACTGTTCTACTGAAAGGAATACTCTGGGTAGTGGCCTTTTCCTAACTCGCTGTGTGTGGGGCGGCGAGCGCTGGGTCCCTTGGTGGGAATCTATGTTGCTAGTTAGCAGGCCTTGGGCCTCAGTGAGTCTCCAGTGAGGAGGGACAGTAGAGGAGGACAGCGTAAGAGCACGGGGAGAGGCCACCAGGAGGGACACAGGAAGGAGGGCAGGGAGGAGGCTTTCCTGTCCTGGCCCCATCTCTGCTCACAGTGGGGCCCAGGGAGGTCACAGAACTGCTTTGTTCTCCAAGCTTCCACCTGGGCAAAGCGGAAGCCCGAGCGCCTCCATGCCATGATTACTCCCTCTTCTCATCACAGAGGGTACCAGGAAAGTTCTCAAATTCTGGAACGGAGCCTGATTACATCAGCTGCTGTTCCAGGTTCCCGGAGGCAGATCTTGTCCCAGCTCTGTCTCTCATTAGCAGTGGGGCCTTAGATGAGCTTTTCAACCCTAGGGGCTCCTTTGTGCTCATCTATCAAAGGAGGATAGTAATTAACCTGACTCGCTTCTCTCAGAGGGTTGGTATGAGGATCCAGAGTTATGGGTGGGAAAGAACTCCCTAGGGTGCATTATTGTGAATTGTAGGAAATATTTCTGGGTAGATATGAGGGTATTGATCTTCCAGCTACAGAAGCCATTGGCTGATCACTCCTTCCCTAGCTTCCGACCCAGAGCATTTGCAAATTGGTTAGAGTCAGGCTTGGAAGGGCAGCTGGGGACAAGAAAACGTGGCTAAGACAAAAGACCTGCACGGAAGCACACCCATGACTCAGTCCTCCTGGCCTTGGGCTCCACCCAGCTCAGCAAGTGGGCTACTGAAAACCACCTTCACACACAGTGATGCCTCAGGCCTGTGAAACCAGGCCACGCAGGCCATTCTGTGCTCCCGGGCTTGCTCTCCTTCATGGGGAACTCAGACTCCAATTCCATAATAAAAGGCATAGGGATTGACAATGGGGAAAATTTGACCCCAAGAAGACCTCAGGTGAGTCCTGCGGATCACAATGGCTTCATCGAGCTTACTGCTGGAGTTTGCATGGTTCCTACAGATGGTAGTATTTGTATGCAGAAGACGCTGCAAAAAAAATCTTCATGACCATACCCTCAAGTCTCCCATACCCCAGAAAACCTGCTGGCCGTGTCATCTGAAAGCCAAAGGTGGGGCCGCCATGCCACAAAAGGGAGGGCAAGGAATGGCTCCCCCTTTCCTGCTGCCTTCACCCAGAAAACAAGGGGATCCTGCCAGGTGCATGATGGACAGCAGAGGGCAAACGTGTTATCTTGGAAGAGAAGAAAGCAAGAATAAGAGTGTGGGGGCAGCTGTGGGACCAAGGCCTGTTCATTTTATATATTTTTGGGAATTATTGAAAAAGGGAGGGAAAAAAAGCTGTATTCTTCCCAAAGTGACTGTGCCAGGGCAGACCTCTCAGTTGCTGCTCTGAGTGCCTGAACAGGGAAGTCGCTGGTGGACCCTTGAGTGAACACCTCTGGGAAGACAGGGCCCGCTCTCCAGTCTGTACAGGGTGGAGGGGTGATGGCGGCTCCCAGACAGTATCTACTCTGATTGGTCACTGCCGATGTCTGTTCAGATTGGTTGGTCCCAAAGCTTACCAGTTGTTAAATATCTTGAATATCACCTGTAGTGTATAACCACAGTACTAGAGGCAGGCTTTGGCCAAATTGCAAATGTGTCAACATTTAAGGGGGCTCTGTATTCTGGTCTCCTTTTGAGTTCAACTCCCTTCCCCTAGCCCAGTGCTTCCTAATTAATCCATTTTGACAAGTTCATTACAGTAAGAATTTTCTGACTTGTTCCCACTCATCTTCACTCCCTTTATCGGTATCTTAGAAGAGAAACTAATACATGGTCAACCACTCCAATACAATTTACTATTAGTGGTACAATTTTAGGTATCTGAGAACACAGAAACCTGAGTTATTATGAGGGGATGGAGCCAGCCTGAGGGAGGTTAAGTAACTTGCTTAGGCTCACATGGCACTAGTTAGTACCTGCCCACTCTACCTATGAGGAGGTTGTCCTATTTCCCGGGGGCATGGAACCCACCCTCACCCCACCAGCCTGTCCAGAAGTCTCCTCTTCCCAGAGGCTGCAGCCTGAGGCAGAGCAGCCACTCTGGGTGGGGAGGTAAGATTTATAGACCTGGGAGGTGCAGGGGCTCATGCCTATAATCCCAGCACTTTGGGAAGCAGAGGCAGGAAGATTGCTTGAGCTCAGGAGTTTGAGACCAGCCTGAGCAACATAGCGAGACCTTGTCTCTACTAAAAATAAAATAAAATAAAAAATAGCCAGGTATGGTGGCATGTGCCTATAGCCCCAGCTACTTGGGAGACTGAGGCAGGAGGATTGCTTGGGAGATGGAGTCTGCAGTGAGCTATGATCTGCACTCCAGCCTGAGCAACAGAGTGGGACCCTGTCTCAAAAAAAAAACAACAAAAAAAAACCTTACACACATGACACAGTGGGCACCTCAGAGCAGAAGGCAGTTGAGGGTCCCTGTCCGTGGACTCCTGGGCCACACGCTGGGGTGCTTGACCCTTTTCTTTCAGTAACCGAATAATCCAGGTTTACCACTCTTTTTGCAATGGGTAAACTGTTGCAGCAAACTTTCCCAACTTCCCACCTGAAAAGGTTACTGTGATAAAACCATGAATGTTCATTTTACATATTTTTGGGAATTATTGAAAGAAGGCTATGCCTTGTCGAACCATTGTTAACATTTTGGAGTTTTTACTTCTAGCCCAGCAGTCCCCAACCTTTTTGGCACCAGGGATCAGTTTCGTGGAAAACAATTTTTCCACGGACCGGGAAGAGGAGCTGGGAGATGGTTTTGGGATGAAACTGTTACACTCAGATCATCAGGCATTAGATTCTCATAAGGAGCGTGCAACCTAGATTCCTTGTATGCGCAGTTCACAATAGGGTTAGAGCTCCTATGAGACTCTAATGCCACTGCTGATCTGGCAGGAGGCGGAGCTCAGGTGAGGATGCTCCCTCACCAGCCACTCACCTCCTGCTGTGTGGCCTGGTTTCTAAGAGGCCACAGACAGTCCTGGTCCTCAGCCCAGGGGTTGGGGACCCTTACTCAAGTCTATTTTAAAAAAATGTTTAGTTATTTTCTCCTTGTTTTAAACTTATGATCATACCATCTTCATAATTCTGTATCTTGCTTTTCAAACTTACTATTATTACACAAAATTGTCTATGTTATTGCAAACTCTTCAAAAACATCATAGAACATACTCGTGTAACAATTCTATTTAGTGGATGAATGATAGTTTACCTAAGCACACCCTAGCCTCCAATATAATTTTGTAAGTTTAGATTTTCATGCATTGGGTTCTCTCTAAAGTGGTGATGTTTCCTAACATCTGTGCTCCATGTATCTAGGAATTAAAACTGTTACAGCTGGTCATGCAGCTTGAATGTCACTTTTTAACTTTAGGATGAGTTTCAAATTGTATTGAGATAGAATGAAAGGATATTACAGTGTCCCTGAGTCTCAAAACACTTTTACAAAACCCCTGAGGACATCTTTGTGGACAATGAAAAAATTTGGGTAAAAAGTATATAACTATGTAAATTGATAACTGGTTTGACGGCTAAATCCAAAGAATGTCAGTGTCACTCTGGAGGGGCGTGTCTAGTGGCTAGGCCTTTGGTCTAATCTCTTTACACATATTTTAACCAGTGAAATGAGTGAAGTCCTAGAAGACAGGCTTATAAATTATGAAGCTATAAGGGATAAGATTATGTGACAGAACAAAGATCCAAAAAGATCTCATCAGGTTACAATATTTGCAGGAAGCCAAGAAGATGAAATCTACAAGGGATGAGGGTAAAGAAAGTCCTGTACTTGGGCTAAAAAAAGATCAACCATATTCATGTAAAATAGAGTATACAGAGCTAACAGAAGTTAGTTGACTACAGGCTCAATGAGCCAACAGTGCAACCTGGCTACCGAAAGACCATGGGCAACATGAACAGCGTGATGTGTACAGAGCAGCAATGTCGCATCCCCACTGATGCTGTGCTAGCTAAATCACATAGCACCTGTTCTGGAAGATACATTTTAAGAAAGGGTCTGCCATGCCTATAATCCCAGCACTTTAGGAGGCTGAGGCAGGCGGATCACCTGAGATCAGGAGTTCAAGACCAGCCTGGCCAACAAGGTGAAACCCCGTCTCTACTAAAAATACAAAAAAATGGGCTGGGCGTGGTGGCTCACACCAGTAATCCCAGCACTTTGGGAGGCTGAGGCGGGCAGATCACGAGGTCAAGAGATCAAGACCATCCTGGCCAACATGATGAAACCCCGCCTCTACTAAAAATATAAAAATTAGCTGGGCAAGGTGGTGCATGCCTGTAGTCCCAGCTACTTGGGAAGCTGAGGCAGGAGAATCACGTGAACCCAGGAGGTGGAGGTTGCAGTGTGCCAAGATCGTGCCACTGCACTCCAGCCTGGCAACAGAGTGAAACCCTGTCTCAAAAAAAATAAATAAATAAAAACAAAATTAGCTGGGCCTGGTGGCAGGCACCTGTAGTCCCAGCTACTTGGGAGGCTGAGGCAGGAGAATCGCATGAACCCGGGAGGCGGAGGTTGCAGTGAGCCGAGACTGCACTATTGCACTCCAGTCTGGGCTACAAGAGCAAACTCCGTCTCAAAAAAAAAAAAAAAAAATGGTTTGCCAAGAAGGAGGTCAATGAAAGGGCAGTCAGGATAGTGTGAGCTCTGGAAATGCAGTCACCTGAATGGCCATCAAAGCAGCTGAGCTCAGTGGCTGAGAGCACAGTCTCTGAGCTGCCACTGGGCTTTGCAGTCCAACGCTGCCATTGACCAGGCAGGTGACCCTGGATAAGTTACTCTCTGTGCCTTAGTGTCTTCATCTAGACAATGGGGGCAACAACAGCACCTATTAGGTTGTTATGAGGATTTAGTAGGTTAACACCCATTAAGCACTTAGAAGAGTACCTGAATATTTTTGTATAGGGGGGCTTCTAGCCTACCGAGATTTAGAGGGACATGGTAGATGACTTCAAATCCTTGAATGCTGCCCTGAGGAAGAGAATTTATGCTTGAAGACCATGCTTATTCAATAGAAAGGCAGAGGCTTGGCTTGTTCATTAGCCAATTAGCATTGAATGAACTCATACAATGGATCAGATACTATGCTAGGTGCCAGGAATATAGAAATGAAAGAGATACATATGTTTTTCTAGGGGCCCTGCCAGGTCTGTCTGGGAAGAGGCATGTAAACAGATCATCACAGTAACGTGGGGATAACGGCTTTGCACAGCCAGAGGAAGGTGTGATTAACTCTTCCCTGGGTTGCTGGGTGAAGCTTCACAGAGGTGGGACATTTGAGCAGGGTCCGCAGGAGTTTATGTGGGAACAGAGGGAACAGTGTGTGGGACCAGAGCTGTCACTGGGTATGGTATTTTCCAGGGAATGGTGACAAGTCAGTTACAACACGAGGGAGTGGAGTGGCAGCGGATGAGGCGAGGATAAGGGCTGGTCTCTCCCAGCTCACAGATGTGTGAGACTGAAATAGAAGGTAACCACAAAAGGCAGGATCATCACAGCAATGCGATGCCCACACCCCCACCGAGCCTTCTATTTCTATACTACTGTCTTCTCAACAGGCTACCGCAGCAAAGCTAAATCAAGAAACCACATTTCAGGAGAAAACGGAAAAGGATTTGATTCAATTTTCTAATTATCCTTCTTCGATATAAACCAAAGAATATCTGCCTATAGAATAAGACAGTGTCCTGTTCCTGAGATGTTTACAACTTGGGTGTACCCAAGTGGAGAGACTGGAGCAATGACTGAAGGTCGGGTCCTTTACACCAGGACTGAAAACACCCTCTGAGAGGGAGTGAGTTCTCTCACCAGCAAATCTTGGGTATAAAAGGAAGGAGGAGCTCATTATTCAACACTTATGCACCGAGGCCCTCCCACTTCATTCCATTTAATAATATTCATTAATCAGCTGGAGAAAAAAAGACACATTACATACAGGGGAACAATCCTATGAATGAAGACCAACTACTCTTTAAAAACAACATGGACAGGAAATAAGGCAATGACATTTTTGAAGTATTGAAAAAAAATGGTAAATTCAGCATTTTTGTTTTTTTTGAGACGGAGTCTTGCTGCGTCGCCCAGGCTGGAGTGCAGTGGCACAATCTCGGCTCACTGCAAGCTCCGCCTCCTGGGTTCATGCCATTCTCCTGCCTCAGCCTCCCGAGTAGCTGGGACTACAGGCGCCCGCCACCATGCCCAGCTAATTTTTTGTATTTTTAGTAGAGACTGGGTTTCACCATGTTAGCCAGGATGGTCTCAAACTCCTGACCTCAGGTGATCCGCCTGCCTCGGCCTCCCAAAGTGCTGGGATTACAGGCGTGAGCCACCGCGACGGCCAATTCAGCATTTTACACCCAGGGAAAATAAACTTTAAACATGAGAATAAAAAATATACTTTCTAGGTAAACAAAGGATTTGTCACCAGCAAGCCTGCACTGCATGAAACACACTAGCTCCACTCCAGCGTCCCTAGCGGGCTGCAGACTTCCTGCCTGTTGAATTCTTCAGGAGCTTTGGCACTTGCCACAGGAGGTGGCAGCTCTCATGGTGAGGGGAGTACCAGGTGAGTGAGCAGGCTGGGCTTCCGAAGAGGGGGCTGTTGATCCCTTTGAGGCATTTTTTATTTATTTTTTTGAGGCGGAGTTTCACTCTTTCGCTTAGGCTGGAGTGAAGTGGTGCAATCTCGGCTCACGGCAACCTCTGCCTCCCAGGTTCAAGAGATTCTTCTGGCTCAGCCTCCCAAGTAGCTGGGATTACAGGTGTCTGCCACCACACCAGGCTAATTTTCGTATTTTTGGTAAAGATGGGGTTTCACCATGTTGGCCAGGCTGGTCTTGAACTCCTGACCTCAAGTGATCCACCTGCCTCGGCCTCCCAAAGTGTTGGGATTACAGGCGTGAGCCACTATGCCCAGCACTTTGAGCCATTTAATCAACTGCTTACCCCTAGTGGACAGCCAGACCCACAGGCACATTGGAAAGGGGGAACTTTGATATGAGGGAAGCAGCACAGCGTGGCTGATGTGCACTGAGATAGCTGGGCCAGTTGCTGAATAATGAAATACTGCAAGCTGACTGGTAAATAGCCACTACTCCAAGCCCCTGACTCCCTTGCTCCTCCCCTTGATCCAGCAATAAAGGGTGAACTGGTGGCAAGCAGGACGCCTCTAGGACCCTGCTTCAGGACCCTGGCTGGCTTCCTTTCTGATTGGTCATCTCCCAGGCCAGGCTTGTGCTTAAAGATTTATAATATCACCCCAAGCTCAGTGGGGTTGCTTCCCGGAAGGGTGGCCTGGGTGTGGTGTTCTTCTGAGAGTGGGTAGAAGAGGACCCCAGAGACCCAGGGACAGAGGGAAGAGCCTCTTCTCGGGATCCTCTTCTGCCATGGGAAGGGGACAGGGAGGCACTGAACGCCAACACAATGAGCTTTCCAAGTCTGCCTGGGTGTTCAGGGACACCTGACTCTCAAGTACAGCCTCCGTTCTAATCCCCTTGATCATATTTTTCCCTTTAAAAAAGGGATATTTCATAGCCTTTTAAATAAATCTTTTCAGCTCCACTGATTTGGAATAACATGCTTAGTGGCTTCAGAAGAAAGTGACCTTTCCTGCTAGCTGAGCCCTCAGAAAGTGCCCTTCCACAAGCTCATTTTCCCATGAAATCCAGCCTCCGCGGATGGCTGGGTTCTGCTCCCAGCACCAGCCCTGTGGACCCCATTCCTACTCTGGGGTCCTGGGAAAATCCTTCTCCACTCCCTGCACCCTGTGGGTTGCCATCTGCACTATGGAGACCTGAATATAAACACACAGACACTAAAAGGGCACTCTCTTGATCACCGGCAGAGACCCCATTTTAGTCACAGATTGAATATTTCTCCTCCTAGTTTCAGCTTGGAGAGAATTTGTGCTTTAGGAGAGCTTTCTGTGTGTTTTTCTCAGGCAAGAAGCCATCAAAGAAAGACAGAGTGCCCAGGAGAGGGAGGAAATGAAGTTGATCAACATGATTTTTTTTTTTTTTTTTTTGAGTCAGGGTCTCACTCTGTGGCCCAGGCTGAAGTGCGATGGTATAATCATAGCTCACTGCAGCCTTGAACTCTTGGGCTCAAGTGATCCTCCCATCTCAGCTTCCTGAGTGGCTGGGACTATAGGTGTGCACCACTATACCTGGCTAATTTTTTCTTATTTTTTGTAGACATGGGGGTCTCGCTGTTGCCCAGGCTGGTCTCAAACTCCTTGCCTTAAGCAGTCTTCCCAAAGCCTCCCAAAGCTCTGGGACTGTAGGCATGAGCCACTGCATCTGGCCTCAGCATGATTAAACCCATGTAAACCCCGCTGACCAGAGCTCCCACGCAAAGCCACTGGAAGCTGGCTGCATGTGTTTGACATCATGTACCTCTTTTCCTCCTTTGGGACCTCAAATTGAACCACAAACTTAACAAACTGCAGTAATTTGCTGAGCCCTCAATCAGACATTCAATCTTGCTGAACTGTGAAACCAGTGTTTTTGCTTTTAAATAACATCTAGTGAAGTAGTTCACACCAGAATGAAAAGCCTATGTTTTCCAAAATTATTGTTCGTATCACCTAATTGTTAAAAATCAAACCTAAACATAAACAGTCCTCCTATGGGTTTAGGTCCCTGGTGTGTGTAGCTTTCCAGTAAACTCGTGCCATGGGGTAGCAGGCAGTTTCCAAGGTGATGTGAGTGAGGCCCTCCAAAGTCATCATGCTTAAAACAATCCACATGACCCCTGTCACAGAGCCTGAGATTCCCACCATTAGCAGCCCTTCTGGTTAAGGCACCTGCTTCAGACACACCTGTGTTCTCTGGGAGGCATTCTTAGTCTCCTTCATTGTGCTGAAGTTTGAGAGCCACAGCTCCAAGCGTCAGCAAACACATCAGGAGCATCAGCTTTCTGTCCTGAGATAAGCAATCCCATGTCTTTGGGTCAATGGTTCTTAAAAGTTCAGGAGCATCAGAATCCCTTGGAGGCTTGTGAAAACACAGATTGCTGGGCCTCACCCTAAGGGCTGTTGTTTGAGATGGAACCTGGGAATCTGTATCTCTAATAAGTTCCTAGGTGAAGCTGAGGCTGCTGGTGTGGGGCCTCACTTTGAGAACCACTACACTAGTTGATTTTTTTTTTTTTTTTTTTGAGACGGAGTCTCACTCTGTTGCCCAGACTGGAGTGCAGTGGTGTGATCTTGGCTCAATGCAACCTCCACCTCCCAAGTTCAAGCGATTCTCCTACCTCAGCCTCCTGAGTAGCTGAAACTACAGGCACACACCACCACGCCTGGCTAATTTTTATATTTTTAGTAGAGACAGGGTTTCACCATGTTGGCCAGGCTGGTCTCAAACTCCTAACCTCAAGTGATCTGCCCACCTCGGCTTCCCAGAGTGCTGGGATTGCAGGCGTGAGCCACCACACCCGGCCTGCTAGTTAATTTTTAAGGCATCCTAATGAGATATGGAGGCAAAGCATGGAAGCAGTCTGATCTTGAACGAAGAAAGAAGACAGAGGGCTATGAAGCAGAAAGGCTCAAAGGCAGGCCAGTCCCGCAGGAAACAGACTTGCTTGAATGATCCACCAAAACACATGAGCCTTTGCCCAAATTCTGATGGGACCTTCCTCTTCCTTTCCTTCTTGGGTATTTTCTGCTTACTGCCCCTTTGAAAGGCGGATATGTGAAAGACAAGCGCCATGTGGCTTATGAAAAAATAGGCAATGAGTGTTTTTTTTTTTTTTTTTTGAGATGGAGTCTTGCTCTGTAGCCCAGGCTGGAGTGCAGTGGCACGATCTCGGCTCACCGCAAGCTCCACCTCCGGGGTTTGCGCCATTCTCCTGCCTCAGCCTCCCAAGCAGCTGGGACTACAGGTGCCCGCCACCACGCCCGGCTAATTTTTTATATTTTTAGGAGAGACGGGGTTTCACCATGTTAGCCAGGATGGTCTTGAACTCCTGACCTTGTGATCCATCTGCCTTGGCCTCCCAAAGTGCTGGGATTACAGGCGTGAGCCACTGTGCCCGGCTGCAATGAGTGATTTTAGGTCAGTCTGTCAGAAGCAAATAGAACTTGTTATGATTATCCCTTAGAGAGATAGAATGAGGAATGGATATGCTATAAATTCTGCCAGGGGATTAGAATTAAAGTAACTTGTATTATACCATACCCACCTAATTTTAGAAGTACTGCTGCAAGAACGATAGACCCGGCAATGGGGCCTCTATATGTGCCTTTGGCAGTCAGAGGTGTGAGCTGTAGAGGGCTAGCTTTACTGTAAATGCCATGATGCACGCTAGTCATAGAAGGTTACTGGATCAGGAGTTTGACGGTTCTTGAATGTTGTAGTGGAGATGAGCAGGTTTAGTGAGCCCAGGGTAAAATAAGTGCTACAAGCAAGGGTAGTGGGTGGTCCCCCCAGCAGCCCCAGCGAGGACTCTATGGTAGGAGGAGAGGTGGCCCTTCCTGGAGCAACACACTCTCACCGTGAGTCAAGCTGTCATCGTGCTCCTCAGGACCTCCGCATACTCTTGAGGTGGTTCCTGACCTTTCTTAAGCCTTACACAGTGCTCAGTGAAGTCTTAATGACATTTTTTTTCTCTTTTGAGATAGTCTGCTTCCTAATGGGATAAATTCAGAAGAAAGCACACTCCAATCCTTCAGCTGCCTCTTCTCAACACAAACAACGAAGAACTCATTAGCGGGCCTGCAGAGGAAGCGGTAGAAAGGGCTTGTCACAGGACCACGGGCTGAGAAGCCACCCTCAGGTGGGGTTGCAAGACTCGCCCCAAGGCCACTGGGTCAGGAGTGGGGTCCGTATCTCAGTGAAGGGGAAACTGACATCTGGTGTCTGCCTGGCATTGCCGTGGCATCTCTTTGGGCAAAGTTTGGTTAGTGATTTAGCCCTGCGTACATCTGAATGCACTTTGACAGCCACGCTTTTTCGTTTGACTCTAACAGGAATCCTATGAAATAAGCAGAATGGCCTGACTCTCCCGATTTGGCAGAAAAGACAATCGGGAAGTGAAGCTCTGAGAAAACAGTGGACATGGAGTCAAAACCCAGGCTCAGCCACTCATTGTGTGACCTTGAGCGAGTCTCCTTCCCTTCCAGTTTTGTCATCTGTGAAAAGCCAGGGATGGACAACATGGGTGTGAGGTCTTTTTACAGATCTATTCTAGGGATAAACTACATGAGCAAAAGGACTTGCCCAAGGTCATGCAGTTGGCGAGATGAGTGAGAATAACACAGAGGCAGTGTTTTCCAGACTGCCCCTGTTGAAAGGGAACATCCTCCATTGCCACCCACACCATCTCCCCAAGTGTGGGCTGCAGGAGCCTCTACATGGCCCCTAGACCTTGCAAAGACCAAGACCCCCAGGGGTGGTGCAGTAGGGGGCACACACCCAGCATGCATCCTGACTGCAACTTGAAACCTCGACGTGGCCAGTTGCTCACTAGAGAAGAGAAGGCCATTTCCTTTGGTATCTCCTTCACTAAATGAACCTAATGGGCACGTGCCCAGTGTCAGGCCCTGCGCTAGAGGAGGGGATGTGGGAGCAAATGAGACATACTGTCCACCCATGAGAAAGATGGGAGGCATGAGGACCAGGCTGCTGCACACTGCTGGGTGGGCGAATAAGAATTCATCCATGTGCCAGGAGGGTGGTGCGCCCCCACTCCCTGGGGACAGATGCTTCTGTGCTCAGGACCTTTCTGGACTATGCCCTGTATATCTTTTCACCTGGCTGTTTATTTGTATCCTTGAAAATGTCCTTCATAATAAATGTAAGGAAGTGTTACATGAACCTAACCCTAACCCTTACAGTAAATGTAAATAGGTGTTTCCCTGAGTTCTGTGAGCTCCTCTAGCAAATTAATTAAACTCAAAGAGGGGACCATGGGAACCCCAACTTGAAGCCAGTCCATCAGAAGTTCCGGAGGCACGGACTTATTAATATGACTCGTGGGAAGGAGGGGGCAGTCTTGTGTCCCTCAACATGTGGGATCTGATGCTATCTCCAGGTAAATAGTGTTGGAATTGAATTGGGGGACACCCAGCTGGTGTCCACTGAAGAACTGATTGCTAGCTTGCCGGTGGGGAGAAATCCCCAAGGTTTTGAGGTCACAGAAGTCTTCTGGGTATGTTGTTGTGGTGTGAGAGCAGAGGAAAAATGTTCTGAGAGTTTTTCCAAACAAGGCTCCAGTTGGATCACTAAGCCTATCGCTGGCCCTGGGCTGTCTCAGCCAGGGAGAAGGGGCATTTTTTTGTCCCACACAAAGGCACTCGCTGCAGCCCAGGTGAGCATGGTCTTCTTCAAAGGGAGTGGAGATCCATAAAACTTTAGAAGGGGTTAAGTTTCGAGAAGTTTGTGTGTAGACAGCATCCTCCAAGCACACTGGAGAGAGCAGATGCATGCCCCAGATGTACACATCTGACCACAACCAACCTACTGTCTGGAAGAAGTATGTGCTCTTTTTCTGAGAGTCAACCCTTCCAACCACACAAAATCAATGAACCCAACAGCTCCCTTTCTGCAATGTGCTAGTAGATGACTATTCTTCCATCTGTTCAATACAGTCAACAAAATTGATTGAGGGCCATGTCTTAGGTACAGTGATCAGAATCCATGGAGGGGAACCATAAAGAAGGAGAGACAGCTTTCAAGGGGCCAAGGGACTCTCAGCTTGGGAGAGTACAAAGAGACAGACTCAAATACTCCTAGGACAGAGCAGAGAGTGATGAGTCTTAGAAGATACCCATGATGGGATGGGGAAAGTGCCATGGGAATTCAGAGAAAGGAATGATTAATTCCAACCCAGAATCCGGAAAGACTTCATGAAGGAGACAGCGCTCAGAGAGACCCTCCATCAGGAGAGGAAGAGGCCTCAGATCCTGTGTCCTTTGGCCATATCAGCTGTGTAAGCTTGAGAAAGCCGTTTCTCTCTGTTTTAAAATGAACCATTTGCCCTAAGTGCTTCACAGCATTATGGGGATTAAACGAGAACTGATTTAAATGCACATTGGATAAATAAAAGCACCAAATATAAAGCCTTTCATCATCACTGTGGGAAGAGAGGGCAGAAAGCTAAAAGCAGAAAGTGTATGAGGGAGGAGGTGGGGTAGGGGTGGGTGGCATCTGCCAAACACGGGGTTGCAGGGATGATGTGAGCACCTACTGGGCTCATAACTGCCTCCAGTGATTTCTTTAACCTCCCACAGCGAATTTTATTAAAGAGAACCCGATAAGAGCAAGTCAGAACATCAAAATTCCTCTACATTGGGAAAATGAAAGTCTCAACCAGGGAAGTGGCTTCCAGTCCCAAGTGACAGGATAACACTAAGCCCAGCCCTCAGGGTTGCTGGGGGATCGTGTGAGCCTTGGTCTCTCCAGCTCCCAGCACTGAGCTTGGGTTTGATGTTGGCTCAGCAAATATCCATTAAATGAATGGATGCAGTCCTGACTGCTTTCCAAGGAATTTTACATTCATGGATCATTTTGATTCTTAACCATAAGCCAGAGGAGCAGACAGAGCACAATTATTATCCCTGTCAAAGAGGGGAAACTGAGGCTCCCAGGGGGTAAGTGACTATCTACATCCAAGCTAGCACTGTTAGAAGGAACCCAGACCTCTGACTCCTCCTAAAGGGTCCTTTGCTCACACCATGTCACCCCCAAAGAATTATTGCGATAGCCAGTTTACGCCACAATAAACCATCTTCCTGGACCTTCCTAAAGCCCTACTATGTGCTGTCTTAAGCTCTTTCCTTGTTGCAGCTCACTTAATCAGGTTCTTTCATCATATGATACTCAAATGTACCGGTTTATTCCAATTCAGAAGGTAGTTTTTGTGCATCCCACATATAAGAGTCTTGTGGATTTTCTAGGTTTTTTACCAAGTAAGAACAGATTTGGATTAAAACCCTTGGTTTGGTGGTTTGGAGTCATTGCTCCTTAGAAGAAAGAGAAAAAAGAAGCAGTTCAAGGAATTAGAAAGAGATACAAGGGCACTGTTTCTCCCTGCCTCCCCAGGCCCCAGCCCATGGACATTCCTTCCTACAGAGTTGGCTGTCAGTTTTGACAGATGGCTTGGCTGCAGGAGTGGGGCAGAGGGCAGGCTCATGGTTAAGGTCACTAAGTAATTTGTGGCACCAAGGAGCCAGAGCCAGCTGGGCTGATTTGGGGTCTGAAACCTGGGCTGGAGCCCAAGTTCCAGCCAGGGAGGGTAGGACAGGGAGCCCTGCTCCCTGCCCCCTGTGATGCCCTGCACTGCAGCTGTAGAGGGCAGATCAGTGCCCTTCTATGTGGGGGTGCTAAAGGAGGGCAGAGGAATGGGGCTCAGGGAGACAGCCAAAGCATGTTCAAGGTCAAAACCACCCTCCCCTTTCATGACCCACCCCAGCCCCTTGGATGATAACAGACTACTGTACACCTAATCCCAAGGAGATGTTTTATTCTAATAACATTTTTTGTAGCATCAAGGTTTGGGCAGCAGGCTGGAAGCCACAGCCAGCCCCCAGCTCTGTTGCAGGGTACATGGCAACATGCTCATGCTGAGGGGCTCAGAGGCACCCCTAAAGTGGCAGGAACCCGGGGCAGGGGAAGGAAGGGAATGTCAGAGGACTCCCAGCTTCTGAAGAGAGGAATGGATCAGGTAAGAGGAGGTCTGGGCCCTTGAGAACAACTCAGTGTGACATTTGTCTCCAGCAGAGTGGCCGGGTCAGCTCTGATCCCTGCAGTTGGTGGAGCATTTAGCACCCACCACGGGGAATCGCAATAGTACCGTCTGCCACCCATGGCTTTCACATCACACTGAGAAGCAAGAGCATCACGGGACCCAGGAGAACAGAGTCATTAGCTGGATAAGGTACAGTGAAGGATTAGCTCATCAGATCAACAATTTGTGCCTGCTGTCCACTGACTGAGAGAAATGGACACCGAATGGGTCAGCTTGGATGGGATGAGGGAGGTGAGACCAACCAGAGCATGAGGCTCACAGGGTGGGAAGCCTCAGGGTGTGTCCTGAGCACACAGGAAGGACATGGGATGGCTAAGTGGACAGCAGGGATAAGAAGATGCTAGAGGCAAATTCACCAACCACATAGTTTTCAAGCCATAGAATTTAGAGCTGGAAGAAATTTTGGAGATCGTCTAGTCCAGCTTCTGCAGGCACAGCTCAGGGTGATCAAAGCCACATAGCAGAGCCAAGACCAAGAACCAGATCTCCCTCCACGCCTCCAACAACTTTTCAGGCTAGTGATCTTCCTAGCACCCTCCAGCCTCCCCTAATTACTAACTCTAGTCCTCTGACTACCATGGAGCTAGGAATAGCTTGGGAATGCTGCAAGTATTCTTGGGGATTCTGTGGACCACCAGTATCCGCCATTCCAGCCAGACATACCTTGTGGGAGTAATGCTGATCAACGATCCTTGCCAACCCGAAATCCCCAATCTTGAGCACGAGGTCCTCTGTGCTGATGAAGATGTTGGCGGGCTTCAGGTCCCTGTGCAGCACGTTGGCGGAGTGGATGTACTTGAGCCCGCGGAGCAGCTGGTACATGAACAGCTTGGCATGCTCTTCTGCCAGCGTGCCCTGCTCCAGCAGGCGTGCCAGGTCGGTCTCCATGTACTCCTGGACGATGTACGCCACGCTGAACTTGAACAGCTCACCCTGCAGGTCAGTGCCCTTGGGACCGAGCACCTCGTACACTTTGACGATGTTGTCGTGGTCCAGGCGCCGAATGATCTTGATCTCTCGGAGCGCGTGCTTCATGCTGCGGGCATCGCTCAGGGCAATCTTCTTCACAGCGACCTTCCGGCAGGCCCGGCTGTCCACGGCCGACAGCACCAAACCATTGACACCGAAGCCCAGGGGTTGGAAGTCAACAAAGCGCCCACCGAGGTCATACCCATAGACACTGGCGATGCAGTCACCCTTCTCAGCCATTGTGGGCTCAGTGATCTGGAGCTGCCCAGGTAACACAGGGGCAGTCAGGAAAGGCCAAGTCTCGGCTAGCGGCCTCCCTCGCGCACCTCATTCTGTCAAGTCCCACGGCTGAGGGATGTGTTTTCTCCTAGTGAGGTCACTGCCACCAGCTCTCTGGAGACGAGAATGGCATATGGTCATGCTCGCTGAGCTGTGCTAGTTGGGGGCGCAGGCTGTCGTCTTAACCTGCATTGGGAGGGCTGTCTACTAATTCCTGTGTTTCCTGAACCCTTCTTAAAGCTTAGAATGGCTCATATTTCTTTTAAAGCTGGCATCTTGGAAAGAAAACCCAGTATCATTATCTATGGAATGTCAAGTTTTCTACCATAGTGGACTGCAAAGTAAAAGATGCAGAAACTCTCCCCTTTGAATACTTTGTTACAAGAGGCTCTTTCTGGCTGAAATGCAAGAGTTGTTTGCTGAGCTGAGCTCCTTAAGATGCTCCAAAGCTCAGCTGTGTCACAGCCTCTTTCTGTGTTCCAAGCAGTATGCAGGGATCCCATCAATGAATTCTGGAGGCATCCAGGGGCTTCTTTCTACCTCTCCTGTTTCTACCAGCTCACCTTAGATTCCAAAACCTGAGCCAGTCTGGTAAGCACTGGTGAAAAAAGCTGGAGAAACACAAGCACCTTTCATGAGCTCTACACCAAGTTACGCCTGAGGTTCCAAATGCAGGGGAGCTCAGCTGCCAGGCCAGGATCCTCTGGAGCCTTTGGATGTGGGCAGCATCCTCTTTCACCAGCTCATCCACGCCACCTCGCCCAAGACTGTATTCCACTGCACCAAGAGAGGCTGCAGGAATGTGGCATCTTTCAGACCAAGTCTCCTTCCCTGTCAAAGAAATAACGTTGGGTAAATTTCCACACTCCGGCTTCCAACACCTTCCCACTTGCGTCTTTTGTTAACCAGCCCAAGTGTTATTTGATCTGTCCAGCCAGCTGAAACACTGCTTGCTCAGGGGATTCCGGGGCTTTGCACTGCCCAGCCACCCTCCTGCTGTGCGTAGCACTCCCCTGGAAGAGACAGAAGATGGATTGATTTGATAAGACCATCAGATGCTGTGCCTCTTATGTCAGTGCCTGCTCCCCCAAGTTTAACATGTGCAAATTACGGTGGAGAATTATCCCTTCTGACCTTCGGAAAATTAATTTGTTTTATGCTCTCCAAACACACACATCAGCGCTAGCTAGGAAGGGTGAGAGTAGAAAGCAATGAGTTGCAGACAGAAAACAAAGGATCGATACTCGTGTTTTTGCACTTGGGTTCCTTTTCTTCCTTCTTTTACAAATGTCTTTGAACATTTTAAGAGGCTTTCACAGGGACTAAGATGTAATGACATTTGTATCTCTTGCTTTCCACGTAAGTTGAAGAAGCCCATGTACCAAATTACAAGGAAATAATGTTGCCACCTATAATAAAAGGACTCTCTTTGCCCAGAAACCAGGGTGCAGAGTTCCCAGTGCTATATCAAAACTGGCATGGTGAGCTGTATTCTTTTTGACAATGTGACCTCGCTCTTCAAAGCAATGGGTCAAATCTAAACTTCACTGTCCCTGCCCTCTGGTGGCTGTTGACTCAAATTACAGGTATAGGAACTAAGTGGGGAGGAAAAACCCTGCAAAACTAGACATGTAAATTCAGATCTCTGAAGTAAGGTAATATCATAGCGTCTAAGAGACTGGCAGGTTTTCTAAGTTCATAAAGACCACAGACACAC
Source organism: Homo sapiens (assembly GCF_000001405.40). NCBI lineage: Eukaryota > Metazoa > Chordata > Mammalia > Primates > Hominidae > Homo > Homo sapiens. The sequence goes on along the minus strand of NC_000018.10, from coordinate 50,662,202 downwards.
AAAGAAAGAAGACTGTATCCAACACAAAGGCATGAACTTGGCAGACTGCTGCTTTATTCTCATATCGCAGGGCCTCCTATAGAGACACTTTGCTATCTGAACTTCGCACAACTCTGCAAAGATAAATGAAGCAAAAACGATAGTCAACTCAATGCTCTGAAATTAAGGGGGCAAATTAGGGGACACAGATGATCTGAAATAGTAAACAATCAGATCGCCTGTAAAGACTTCTAATGAAGGAAATTTGCCAAGGGTCTAGAACATAGTAATTGCTTAACAGATGTTACCTATTGTTGCTGTTTAGTTAAACATTCCCTTACATTTGAATAAGATGTACTCAAGATTCTGATAATTTGTCAGATCTTCGGTAATTCTGTTCTGCATGTTTTTACTGGGTCCAGGAACAAAACAACCATAGACTTACAGAATTTCAGATTGGGAAGAAATCTAAGAAAACAAGGCCCGTGGTCCTTATCTGGAGATGGTACTGCCCTCCTCACCTTATTTGACTGGGAGTCATTACTGGTATTTAATGGGTAGGGCCGGATTTGCTAACCATTCTACCGAGCATTCCCACCTCCATGCCCAAATGCCCAGAGCACATCCACTGACATCCACCCCTCCACCCCTGAATGCCAACAGCACTTCCACTGAGAAACATCGATTCTGATTCCAGTTCTAACTTTACAGGTGAGGATACCAAGGCTTGGAGAGCACCAGCTTAGTGCTTTCAGCATACATAGGGTCAATATCCATCTGATGAATGGATAAATGAATACCATTCACTCTGTTTGAGGATGCCCAGCCACTAAGAGACAGTGCTGGGAGCACCCAGTGAACCAGATTCTATGGCCTGTGCTAGCGAAGTTGGCCTGGATACCTAACTCAGGGGAATCAAAGAGCCTCCACAGCTCTCCATTCTCTCCCTCCTTGACTCCTGCTGCCCAAGTCATGTAATGGCAACTACACTGAAGCTTCTCTTTCTCCCCACAAGCCTGGTCTGACTCCCAAGGGCATAGCAAAAAGAGGCAATTGCATATCATTATTTTTTTTAGGAAGAGACATGCTTAAGCCTTCTTCCTTTCCAGCTTCTGCTGGGTTGTAAACAGAGAGAGGAATGAGCACCTAAGCAGAGGGGATGACATCACAAGCAAGCTGAATGCAGGATTTGCTTGAGATCAGCTGCAATGCAGATAATCAGCGAATAATTAAGAGGTGCTTTATTTATTTTTAAAACTCTTTCCCTCTCATGCATGGGAGGGACTGTATCCCGTGTGTGTGTCTCTTTTTCAGTGGTCTTCCCAATATGCTGTCAGCTTAGGGGCCAGGTACGATGTCAACGTGGCAAGCCTCAATTCCAGCCACTCCACCTTTCTTGTGGGCTGCTAAATAGACTCTTTGCTGCCTGGCTTTTTTGCTTGTATCTTCCCAGTTCCTGAAATATTCTCCTGCTTCCCCACCACCCCCATTTGTTGAAATCCTATCATTCAGAATCCAAAGTCTCACTTCTTTCCTAAAGCATCCATCCTGGTTCTCAATGACATGTCTCCCTTTTCTAAACTCCTGTGGCACTCATGTGTACGCTGTGTTTGGCATTTACCATACATTAGCCTGGGCTGTTATTTAACTTTTTGTACATGTCCATCTCCCAACTAGACTGTAAGCTTCACAAGTAGCTTACAGGGCACAAAGTAGAGCATAGAAAATATCCGTTGACTGGAAGGAGCTGAGTACCGTTCATTATGTCTACACAGTGGTGATGCCCACGTTTCCTAGGTGGTCACTGTCCCTTGTGATACTTGCCATGGAAATTGTTCAAAGGGCGCATCTCACAACAAGCCCTAACCATTCAGACCAACTAATATTTCTGAACTTCAATCCTCTTAGTAACATATTCTGCTTAGATGCTGCCTCTCTTAGAGTTTCAGTGCTCTAATCAGGCAGCCTCTTGTCTGACCATTTCTCTGTTCCCATTTGAGTTTATTATTATGCCTCTCTTCTCAAGCCTCTTCATTTTCTGTTTCTTTCTTTCCTGTTTCTTTACAGAGCAATTCTTTCCAATTCCTCTGTAATTTGCATTGTAAGCCCTTTGCCTTTCTCCCTAGGTGGGCTGATTACAAGGCATCCACCGCCTAAGAAGTCTAAGGTTAGTGGTCCATTTCTTGCATGATATGCTGAGAGGTGTGGGCCCACTGGCCCTGGGGAGGAGCAGACTGGCATCTGGATGTGTCCACCTGGGCAGGGGAGTGGTTATGGCAGCTCTTGGTGTGGTGCAGCTTCTCAGGGCAAAGCCCAACCATTCTCAGCTCAAAGGTGGTGGTTCAGAGCTGCTCCGAATCACAGGTGTGATTTCAAACCCAGGGAGGTGGCATTCACTGTCTGAGATGGAAAGGTCACTCGTTCAATCGTGCTTGAATGACACCCAGCAAGAGGAATGCATGGAACTCTCACAAGAGCAGCCAAGGTCCCCACGATTCCATGGCTGGGCATCGTAATAAAACACAGGAATAGAAAGTTCTACCCTCAGGACTCTGAACAATGGAGTTTCAGCTCTCAACTGCTTTCTCACTGACTCTCAGGTAACAGCTTAGTTGAGGCCAATTAATTATTCTCTCACTCATCCAGCCTTTTAACATGCGGAGGCAAACCAGAGATGAGATGGCGTGTGCCAACTGTCCCTTTCTGGGATTCCTGGGGCTTTGGTTTACAAATCAGCTTTGGAAAGTCTAAATTTAGACTTACCTCCCCATCTGCTCAGATCCTCCCGAACCTCATGCTTTCGACTTTCCACAGGAACTATCTCCCCAGCAAGGTGCTGACATTTCACAGACACTGCTTTCTTCCCCTCTCCTGAACACTCTGAAACTTACAGGAAGCCCTTCTCCCGAGGAGCCGCTATTTCCAGCTGAGCATGCTATGCACTGCACAGTTCTAGGTGGCACCATTCACATCGCAGTCAGTCTGACTCCAAGGCTCATGATCCTAATGAGTCACTGTGGTCTATGTGAATGGAGTCCTCTAGACCAGGCATTGGCAAACTTTTTCTATAACGAGCCAGATAACAAATATTTCCATGTTTGTAGGACATACAGCCTCTGTTGAAACCACTCAACACAACTTAATTCTGCCTTTATAGCACAAAAGCAGCCACAGACAATATACCTGAACAAATGAGCATGGCTGCATTTCAGTAAAACTTTATTTACAAAAATAGGTGCTGGGCCAGATTAGGCTTGTGGGCTGTAGTTCGTGGACCTCTGCTCTAGACTCCGTGGGAACATCCTCTAGCTCATTCACAAGCAGGTCCTGAAGTGTGTTGGGACCCGGCCCTTTTCTGGCTCCTCCTGCACTGCACTGTCTCCTTCCTCTTGGACTCAGTCTTCCTGTTGCCCCTCAAGGCGACACTATCCCAGGCCTGGCCTCCTAGGGAGCTACCTAGGAGGTGAGGCTTGGTTCAGCTCATATGCAAATTTGATGCCCTCAGGGCCCAGCTCTCCAAAAGCTACCTAATCTGGCCTAAAGTCCCTTCTAGTTCTGCAATTCTGTGGTATGGCTGATGTGCCTTGCTCCGCAACCCCACTTGCATCTTAACAGAAGCCTGCTGGAGAGATGGTAAAGAGGACATGATGAAGATGGTGGAACTGCATGTCCTGAGGGTTTACCAGAGGCCAACGGCTTCACCTGATTATTTCAGTTGGGTCTTACAACACCCCTGTGAGGTTGATATCGTCCTCCATGGAGCTCCAAGAGGGAAGTGATTTTCCCAGAGTCACCCTCTGGCAGGTGAAGAATCTGGGATGTCAACTCAGGTTGGTCCAAGTCCAACACTCACGCTCTAATCGCCATAGTATGATCTCAGCCCCAGCGAGTGACTCTTACCACAAACCATCTAGGCTCAGTGTGAGTTTTCAGGCCCAGTGAGGGAAAAATGTGGGGTAGGCACACCTTGTGGTATGTCTCAAATTAAAGCAAGAGGCAGCCACCTTTTCAGCCTTTGTTCAACCCAGTATGGAGGCCACAGTAAGCCCATTCTATGGAAAGAGAAACCAAGAAATAGAATGTTGAAATAATATTAAAAGTGGAGTAAAAAACCCTTGATTTTAAACAACCACACCCCCACCTTCCATCATGTTCTTGACCTTTAACTGTGAACCTCAGCCATGCTAGAGCCTGTGGCACAGGGACTGGGCATCCTTGGGACGAGCTGGCTGACTTGCAGGCATCCTGACTAGCACGGCCTGTAGCTGACACTGACTGTGGCCACCTACCCAGGAAACGTTCCTGCTTCCTCCTCACGAACAAACCAGGTCTGGTTCGGCCATCAGGCAGCTGAGCCTACCCAGGAATGACTCCCAGTGGGTCTAAACCAGGGTTTCTCAGCCTCAGCACTGTCAACATCTTGAGCCAAGTGATCCTTAGCAGTGGGACTATCCTGTGCACGGCTGAATGTTCAGCAGCATCCCTTGCCTCGGCCTCCTAGATGCCAGTCACACCCCCAAGCTGTGACATCTGAAAGTGTCTCCAAACACTGACAACTGTCACCTGTCGGGGAGGCACAAAATCACCTCTGGTTGAAAATCACTGGTCTCAATCAGCAGTTTTCAACAGGGTTGGTGTTGGCATTTGAGCTGGGTGCCTCGGACTCAAGGTCAAGCTGTTGGCCAGGGCTGCAGTCATCTCAAGGCTCAAATAGGGAGGAAGATCGGCTTCCAAGCTCACTCAGGTGATTACACAATGACTCCGGCCTCAGCTTCTGCAGTTCTCTCTGTTTTATGGGATTGTACCATATACTATTGCTGGAAGTTTAACAACTCTGATCCCAACCCACTAAATGCCAATAGCGCTCCCTGGTCCCTGGGTCAGACTCACATTTCCCGGAGTCCCAGGAGGTGATGTCATCTCCCAAACCCATCCCTGTTGAGGACCATGAATCTAAACCAACTGTGGTAATACAATTCCCTCTTGGCAGTGATTGCTTTAGGGGTGGTCATATGATCCTGTTCTGGTCAACAAGCCTAAGGGAAAGCCTGCTGGGGAGTCCTAAGGGAAAAGGTTTCCTTCCCAAGCAAGAAGAAATCCTACTTCCTGTTTGTGGATGCGGTTGTAGAGGAAGTGGTGTTGGTGCTGCAGCAGCTGTCTTGAGGCCACGTGGGGAGGTGGCAGAGGAGTGTGGGACCTTGCTGGCATCGCTGAGGAGCTGAGCCACGCCTGCAACTACCCACCTCCAGCTTTCTTGCCAAGAGAGACTGTTAAGCCCTACTGCTGTTTAAGACATTTTTGCTTTGGACTTTTACATTTTTTTTTACTTGAGGCTGAGATGATCTGACAGTAACTTGCTCAGCACACGGTTGGTCTAAATGGAAAGTGAGAAGAGGTAGGACACATGGCTTCTGACCTCAAGAAGCTTATATTCATATTGGGGGAGTGGAACTACAACAATAATTATGGAAACAATGCAGGAACATTCAGGGGCCAACTGTGTGATTCCTACTATAAGCGTAGCAGGAAGCAGGGTGAGTCCCATCAGTCAGAGAGGCTCTTGGAGGATGTGGAAGGCAGCTTCCCAGATGCCCCAGTGATCCTGGTTTTCAGGCCTTGTGTCATCCCCTCCCCTTAAGTGGGTGCTGGACTCACTGACTCATTTCTAAAGAATAGAATTTGGCAAAAAGAATGGGATGCCACTTCTGAGATCATGTTATAAAGAGCCTGTAGCTTCCATCTGAGGTAATCACTCTCTCCTGTTCGCTTTTGGGGAAGCTGCTGCTCCTTCTTGAGGCAGCCCTATGGGGGGATCCCTGTGAGTTCTCAGAAATGGACCTGCTGGCCACCGTGTGAGTGAGCTTGGAAGCAACCCTTCCCTGAGTTGAGCCCTGAGTGGACTACAGCCCCGCCAACAGCTTGATGGACATCCCAGGACACCTCGAGTCAGAGGCACCAACTAAACCATGCCCAGATTCTTGACTCTCAGGAGCTGCGTGGTAATAAATGTTGTTTTTAAGCCAATAAATGTTGGGACATTTGTTATACAGCGATAGCTAACTAATGGAGAGGAAGGACTTGGAGATCTGCAGTTCTTGACTTTCTAAAATAGAGAAGAGGCCTTGAAAAGCCCTCCTTGAGTCTGGGGTCCTGGGTCTCACCTGGCATGGATCTCATTAGATTCCAGAGTCAGATAGAATTCTGGGGAGGAGGGGAACCTTACCTGTCTGTTTTCACTGATGTAACCCAGGGTCCAGGGCAGTGTCTGGCATATAGAGAGGGATTCAATAAATAAATATCAGTGGACACAGGAATGGCTCCATGTTTGCAGTAAGATTTTGGTTATGACACAGTACAACCCACATGGAAAGATAAATTTAAAAAGCATCCCTGAGGCCCAGAAAAGAAAGTTTTTTAAATCCCTCCAGAGTGAGTAGGGGCTAAAAGCAGGGGTTCAAGGGAGGAGGCCACACAGGCCCCCAAAAGCATAATGACCAGAGGTGTTTCCTCACCGAGTTAAGAACTGCTGTGTAACTGCTGATCTTTACCATTGAGACTCAGCCGGGTCTCACTCTCAGCGGCGGCAGGGGGACCCCCAGGAATTAGGAGAAACAACTCTCCCTGGCTTTCCGGCTTTTGAAATTAAGCGCTGCTCCCTCCACCCCAGAGGAGTGCAGGCTGCAGTGGTTCGTGTGGAGTGACCTGTGCATGCTCAGGAACTCATTTTCCTTTGCAGAAACCCTGATATATGGGCAGATGGCTGCTCCTAATGGTGCCGCCCATGATGCCAACCTTGGGCTACAGTCCCTATGCCTGTTCCTCTCTCATGCCCAGCACCACTCCCAGCCCAGGACCTGGGATGACCCTTCACAAACACCAGCCAGCAGGACACCAACCGACCCGAGCCAAAAGCCCAGCTTAGTCTAAAATAAATACATCTCAAGCAGAGGAACCACTGACAGGCTCTGCTGCCCATGATGGGCCTCAGGTGAGCCTTCTCCCCCTGGGACGTGTGAGCCTGTGGTGACTGCAAACATCTTAAGGTCCCTGGGAGGCAGTGATGCCACCCACCCTGGGTTGTGTTTCCCTCAATACGGTTTTCTAAAGAACACGCCTGTGGGGACACTGCTGAGAAAGAAACAGGAGGGGACCCTGTTATCTTCACCTCCCTGAGGTGGGGTGGTTAGAGGAAAGAATTGAGGGAGGGAAGAGAAGTTTGCAGAAGGAACATCAGATGCTGGGTGGGGAGTTCCCTCCTCCCCAAAGAGCAAACTCCAGGAGCGTTCAGGCTTTGCTCTGTTTTCCTTTTGAAAATTACGTAACCAGCCAGGGAGAACAAAGCCTTCCCATGCCTCTCAGCGATACTAAAATAGCACGGAGAGAAATTCCGGCTGCCTCGTCGGAACTCCAGCACCACATCAGCAAAGCTGGGGAAGGGGAGCATCTGGGTCCCTGCGTGGGAAGTCTGGGAGCCGGTGGCCACGGGCATAGCACCAGCTGCACAAAGGCCCCTGCCCAGGCTGAAGGCTGAGTCCAGCTTCTGGTCCACAAGTGTGCCAGGGGGCATGTGTAGCAGGTGTGTAAATCCTTCTGATTTTAAACGACTCCTGCAACCTTTGACCCTTGTAGATTCAAGGGGAAACTTCTCTTTTTAAAGGAAGGAGATCTGAGATAGCAGAAGATGGTGGCCTCTTTCAAAATCTAAATCAGTGCAATTATGACTTCAGTGGCTAAATAAGGTGAGGCCCTATTTGGGGCTTGCTTTGTTTGGGCTGTGTTCTGAAGGGAAGTGATCCCAGCCGGATCTGAGCTTCTCAGAGGAGAGGCAGAGCCTGCATCTTTAATTCTCCCACACTGGCTTCAGTACTTATTGAATGGTGCCTGCAGGCCACTGTGCCTTCCCTGAATTGGGAGATAACTCTGTGAGCCCACATTTAATAAGCCATCATGGGAATGCAGAAAGTCCTCTGGCAGCTCAGTGTTCAGACCTGAGTTTTCCTGCCGAATTTTGGGACCCATAAATGGGACCACTTACTTTCTACCTGCAGGGTTAGCCCATGGCAGGGATGCTCAAAGATCCTTGGCTTGTAGCCACAGGAGTCCGTATTATCTTGCTTTCGACCAGCAATGGCAGATGTGTGCCGTATATACTACTTCACTCCATTTTGTGCCTATGGCAGACATTGATAATCAGTCATGACTCTCTCCTGATGAGCCAGGAGAATCAAAGTCCTTCTAAAACAGCACTCCTGAGAGCCTCTGCCAAGCATCTGGAGCTGGCACTCAGTCGGAGCCCATGTGCATCGGTGGCCTTGACTCTGACCTCACGCTCCCATTGCTAACGGGATCTTTCTTTGTCTCTGGCACCAATCCCTGCCTTGTTCCCCAGGCACACAGTCCAACTGCGCTAGCCTTTATTGAGGGCCTCCTAGGTGCTGGGCATAGTCATACACATTCAACAACGTTTAAGTTGAAGTTTCATTAGTTACACTGTGAGGTAGGCGGAACTATTCTCAGTAGATTAATCAACTCAGCACAGTGCGTGGTGCACAGTAGGTGCCCTGCAGGTGCCCATTCTCCTCCGCTTCCTTCCATTTTGCAGAGAGTTGAAATGACTTCCTCAAGATCACACCCTAGAAGGTAGAGCCTGGGTTCTAAACTAGGCGTGGTTCCAACACCAGTGAACTCTGTCATCTCCCATGGGGCTTCCTGTTACAGAGCACTCTTGAGCATCCTTGAGTGCTTGCTTCTGTTTTTCTAATTTTCCCAGTTTCTTGGAGAAGGATTTACCTTGCTTCCTTAACTCATCTTGGGAACTGACATCCTTTCTCACTGTCTCTAGCCTCTGATCTCCAGTCTCGCTGAACTCTACTCACCAGCCATAAAAGGTATCTTTCAGCTTATAGATAATGTCACATTTCCCTTACCTCTGGGCCTTCACACTTGCTGTTCCTTTTGTCAGGAAAACCTGTTCCTTTTGTTAGGGAAACTGCCCACCTTCTCTTCGCCTGGTTCTTTTTTTTTTTTATTTTTTGAGACTAAGGTCTTGCTCTGTCACCCAGGCTGGTGTGCAGTGGCTCGATCATAGCTCAGTGCAGCCTCAAACTCGTGGGCTTAAGAGATCCTCCTGCCTTAGCCTCCTGAGTAGCCAGGACTACAGGTGCATGCCACTGTGTCCAGCTAGGTTTTTCTTTTTTAAAACTTTTGTAGACATAGGTTTCATCATGTTACCCAGGCTGGTCTCGAACTCCTGGGCTCAAGCAATCTTCCTGCCTCAACCTCCCAAGGTACTGGGATTACAGGTGTAATCCATACCCAGCCACTAATTCTTATTCATCCTTTAGGTCTAAGTTTAAATGTCCCTTCCTCCAGGAAGCCTTCCCTGATGTCTCCTTTCCCTTCCCAGACTAGCTTATCTGTTCAGGCTGTGTCCCCCTCTTAGCCCTTTTATGTCACTTTTCTCTCTGTTTCAGTTTTAACTGCTGTGTTTGATGTTTGACTGGAAGTGCAGTGAGGGCAGGAACTCATCATGTGCATCGCTCTATTCTCAGCACCTAATTCCTAACCTACTGCATCAATATTAATATCTGAGCAGTGCAAATGCATTCTCAGAAGCTCCATACTCCAGACCATAGTTTACAAATTCAAATTTCTAATACTGACTTCTTTCTACCCACCGAGGGATACCAACCAGACATGAGAATTTCACAAGTCTTATCTGATTTAAATCCTAGATTCAGTCCCTTTAAATTTCATAGAGTTCTTGACTTCCTTCCACCCAGCCCAGCCTGCCTCTTACCCAGGTGCATCAGCTCTTTATCCAGCTGACACATAGGCATGGCTACCTCCTACTATTCCCGGGGAGGCTAATCATTTGCAGGGGTTTTGCTCAGAGGCAACAAGAAATCATTCCTAAAGCAGAAAAAAGTGATCCCTCTCCCAGCGATTGCATCTCCCTGTTTTCTGGTGAAGAAATCTATTTTGACAGGTCAGGTCAACAATCCCTGGACCATACGGGGCTGTCAGAGTCCAGGAAAGCCAGGGAGCCAGGAGGCCTGGATTCTGGTCCTGCCGCTGCCTGTGAGCACTCCAGCAAGAAGTCTCATCTCTGTGAGGTGGGAATAACAACACTGCCCACTTACTCATGAGAGAAGAACAATCGGGCTGGCAATACAGATGTGCTTCCAGAAATAAGTACAGTCATGACCACAACCCAATTATACCAAAGTGAACAGCACCCATCGCGAATTAAGTGGGCTGTAGGGGCTGGTAGTGTGACCCCTTCTCCTGCCTTGGGCAAGTCTCAACACACCTCCAATAGTAGGGTGGCCTTCACACGGGAAGAGGTGAAACCACTGCACATGTGTTTTGAGTTTCTTTTCTGTGAGAGTTGGGAATGGAGACTGGCGGGAGCATCAGGCTAAATTATTTCTATCTCCTCTTCCAGGACACACAAAGACATCCAGCCTGTGGTGTGGGGTATCAAGGAATGAATCTACAATGAATTGCCAACTGGCTAACCAAGTCCATTATGGTGACACCATTCCCTCGGTTCTAACTTCCTGACTGCCGCCATGTGTCCGCTGCCCTCCTCTGTGGGTGCCTCCTTCATGGAAAGATTATGAAACCCTGAGAGTCAGACCCACATGCCACAGAGATCACATGGTAGGGACATGAGTGCTGGAGAGGAAACGTGGTTGTACACTTGCTTTTGCACTTGGCTCCTTGTTCTAGCAGGAGAAATACCAGGGAGCGCATTGATCTCCTAGGAACAAGGAATGCCCTGCAGGCCCATAGCGCATTCCACACACCCACAACCCTCTTAGTCTTGATGGTCAGGGCCCGTGGGAGGCCACTGGATCACAGTACACATGGTGAGAGAGGGAGAGAACTGGTCAGCCTCCAGGTGAAGAGCTCCCTGGAGGGAGATGACAAGGCATGAGGCTCCACCGACTGGGTGCGGAGTGGACAAGAAAGCAATGGAGCTCATGGACCCAGGGAGATGGGCAGTGGGGAATCCACTGTAAGCTCTCAGATGAGACAAAGAACAAGAGCCTCAACGGGAACCCCAGTCTCCCCAGCAGCACCTGCGTTCCTTGCTGGTTTGATTTCATGCTGAAAAAGGTGACCATCCAGCCTTCAGGCATTAGTCAGTTCATACTAATTACAGCAGGAACCCAGGCAACTGAAATCCAGAAAGAGGAAAGGACTCTTCCAAGGTCACTCCTGTTTTTGGAGCAGGCCCAACCCATTTTGGCATTTCTTGGGCCTGGGGCTAACCTTACAGGGCATCCTACGTCAGGTGAGGAAGGGGAACCTGATCCAGCCAGCAAAGGCCCGTGCATGGCCAGGATTGGCCAACTGCAAAGAAACAGCTCCTCCTCCTCAAATAATTAAGTAATAACTTTCTATCAGGAAAGAAAGAGTCACATATCGACCATGTGGCAGCAGCTACCAGCATTCCAAATCAGAATCCTCTCCCTTCACTACAACAGAGCTGGAGCCAGGCTGCCCTCAGGAAGCGATGGCAGGAGGGGACTGAGAATTAGCCCTGTCCTGGTGAGGAAGTGCAGGGCTGGTGCCTAGTACAGCACTTGGCCTCCACTGGGGCCCAGCCAGTGTTTGCTGGGTGAGGAAAACATCAATTCATTCTAGTGTGAGATTGGAGAGCCAAGCCCCCTTAAGGCCAGCCACAAAAGATGCCTCTGTTCAGGTGTAACCAAGACAGTGAATAAATCACAGGAAAGTGGACAGTCTCATGCCCACATGCATCGGTGGGAAACAAAACACTCAGGATCCTGATGATATGAGCCAGGGTGCAGGCCCAGGCTAGGGGAGCAGGGACAAACAGGAGGAGCTAGGGAGAGGAAAAGAGGAGAGAGAAAGGGAGGGGGTAGTGGAAAGGGGGCAATGGGCAGAAGGATGTCAAGAGAGAAGACCTTACCTCCAGCCCCAGAGGCAGCTGCCTGCCTTCTTTTTGAGTTGCTTTGCCGTGATTAGCACTCAGGACACAGAGACGGAGTATTCTCACTGCCTGGGAGCCTTGGACATACACTTGATATAGTCCTCAATGCAGAAAATACTGCAACCTTGACAACAGCAGCAGCACATTAGCTTGACAAATGCAATCCTGCCAGTAGCCAAGATCTCTACAGTTCTTCCAGGCACTGGGAGTCCAGGACAGGAACTGGATTTAACCTGCACAGTGTAGTTATTTCACTGGGAACCCAGATCAGGGCTGGGGCCCCAGCCAACACACTTGGATATTTGGCCTGCAGCGGGCTGGATGGTGACGCACTAAAGCATTCCTTTGCCTCTACACACTCCAGATAAATGAACCTCAGGGTTTCATGAGTTCTCAAGAACCAGCAGAAACCAGGCTCTGTCTTCTTGCTATGACCCGGGGTCCTTATGTGCTGGGAACAAGAGGAAGTCAATGGGTTTGGGCAGGGGCTGCCTGGGGAAGATCTCAGCCACCCCGCAGGCTTATATAGAGTCCTACTTCCAAGCTACCCTTTGGGAGGAAGAGTACTTGATAGATATTGCCTTTAACCCAATGCATGGGCCAGAGCAACTTGGGGCTCAGAAAAGTACTTAAGGTGGTCAACTTATACGCATCATGCACAGAGCTTCCTTACGGAACACACACGAAGAGGTAAAGGCTGGACAGGGAGAGGTGGGGCTGGATCAGGTCAGCATAGGCGGGAGGGGCTGCCTCTCCTGTGTTGATCACTTCCCACCTGGAGGAAACCAAGTGAGGATGTTGTCATTGAGCGTGGCAGGAGGGGACAGAACCCTCACCTGTCCAGTGCAAACCTTCTGGGTGGAAGGCAGATTGCTTTTAGAACTAGGCCTTTTTATATTGCCAATGACAAAATCATTTTCTTTTTTCAAGGAGTGATGTCAATTGTTTTTCGTTCTGAATCAGTTTCAACTGCCTGAATTGCAAATTAGGATCCCAAGTGTGGGAGTGGGTAGACAGAGTCTGAGGACACCTCAAGGGGCCTAGCCTCAGAAAGCCTGAAGAGCAACTCAAGTGGGTCTCACACGGGACTGAGCCAAGGGCCCCTAGGGGATCAGATCACTGGGGTTGGGATGGAAGATTGGCACCCAGGGCCTACCCCCATCCCTAGGTTTAGTTTTATAAGGCAAGTGTTTCTCTCACATAAAACAAAAAGCAAAACAAATCGCCTTTGAGAGTGATCTCTTTTCACCCTGTGGATCATTTTGTCTTTTCTTTGACATAATTGCAGAGAGGCGTAGAGTCCCAGCTTCAAGTCTACCCTCATCCAGGCTCCAAGGACCTAAGGTTCTCTCTACCTTCCTTTGAGTTGTCAGCAATGGTGGCTGGGAGTAAGGCCTGGGACAGTCTTGCTGACCTGCCCCCATGAGGCCACCTCCCAGGGCAAGCATAGCGAGGGTAGGGGTGAGGCTACAGTAAAGCAGGGAGGTAAAGCCTTATCGTGGCGATGCTGCAGCCTGTCCCCTTTCATCCGCACTGCTTTAGGGTAGGTCCTGGACATCTCTAAATACCTAGATGCTACATCATGCCACCTCTAGCTTTTGTCCCCTGCAGCAGCTGGGTGTGAGAACCATTTACTTTTGCTTTCCTGCAGCAGAGAGCACTGTAGGATCTGTGGCATCCCTCAATGAATATGTTCAGAATAAACCCTGCAATGCTCTCTCTGCCGCCCTCCTGCATCCCCTGCAATCAGTCTTCCTTTCCTCAATTATTCCTAAAACATATCTATTCATTTCATTCTGTTAAAAAGTTTTTTTGAATAGCTCTCCACTGCCCCACAGGTTCCTCACACACAAGCTTCTCACACAGCCCCCACGGTCATGCCTGCACCTGTCTTCCCCACTCTCCAGAGGCTGCCCCCCACACCACAGCCACACAGAATGGGGTGATCTTCCCTGATTCACCACATTCTCCACACACGCAGGTCCACCTGCTTGTGACACTGTCCTCTCTGTTTGCCTGGAGCAACCCTGCTCATGCTGTGCTGAAATGTTACCCTGACACCTTCAGAGCTAACATCCCTCCAGTTCACAGAGCACAACACACACACCCACAGTGCTTATCTCATGGGACTCTCTCTCTCTCTCTCTCTCTCTCTCTCTGGGTCTTTCTTCCCATCATACTGGGAATCCCAAGAGCAAAAGCATGGTGTCTAGATTTACCCTTATACCTCCAACCATGTATGGTTTCTGGCATGTAGTAAGTATATGCTCAATAAAAAGTTGATGAATAAAAAATGATGCAGGGGTGGGAATGGGCCTAGGGACTTGAGAGTGGCAAGTGTTTGGAAGAGGTGCTTGGGGGAAGTGAGTCATAAAGGTGCCCTTCCCTGAAGGGTGGGATTTGCTGGGGGAATCATGGATTAGCTCTCTAGAATGACAGCAGAGGCTTAAGAGGAACATGTGGAATGAATGGTTGAGCACTGAAGACCAGGCTGGGCTCACAGACTACAATGGCACAGCAGGCAGGAACTGTGGCAAAGGACAGAAAATGGGGAGGTCAGGAAGGAGCTGAACGAGGTGTGGAAAAAGGAATAAACTAAATAGGGGTGTGAGAGTTCAGTGGCATCGAAAGAAGCTGGGAGTGGAGAAGGGATTGAGCCGACGGTAAAATTCTGGTAACAGCACATGCTCTCTCAGGCATCATACACAGGCAAGGCTTCAAATGACACAGTAGGAAGACCAGCTTAGAAGAAAACCTGGACAGCAACTGCATGCCCCTCCCTCGGGTGTTCATTTCTTTTTCTTCTCCAGGCTTTCAGATCATCGCACTGACAAACTCAAGATGCTGAATCTGGGTTGTTTACCAAAACTGAGTACAAGTTATATCCTCAGGCTCGCTTCTCAACTTCCCTCCCTCAGGAGCAGCCACACCACAAGACACTGTGTAGCTTACAGACCATTTTCAATAAATTCTCCTTACGAATCATTTTGCCTGATTCTTCTGGAAGCCTCAGCTGCCACAGACAGTTCTTTTATTGTTTGGTAACCCCATGGATAGCAATAAAATCAAGATGAAAACACATTTGCAAAGCAACTTTCACTGTCCAAAGCACTTGCATGTAGCATTATTGAATATTTAATACTTTCATGTAATATTTATAGAGCATCACTATGTACCAGGCAATGAGGATCCAGTCCTGGGCCCCATGGAACTTACAGTCTGGGAGTGGAGGGGCAGATGTGATGCAAATAATGGCAAAAAATTGTGACTGCAGATGATCACAACTGTGATAAGTATATGATGGAAAAGTACAGGACGGAGGTAGCAAGGAGACCATTACTTTGGGGAGAAACAGCAGGCTCCCTGAAGAAGTGACATTTAAATTGAAGAGTGAGTAGAGGCTATCCAGGAGGTGGGCAAGGGTCCATACCATGACCTCGAGAAGTCTGTTGCTGGAGGAATAGAGAGACGGCTAGAGAGATAGATTCTGCTGGGCCATGGGAGGCCACAGGTAGAAAAATCAAGTTGAGGAAAGAAGTGGGGCCAGATGGGGAGGACCTATTGTGCTCCCCTCTGAGAAAGCTTGAGCAAGGGGGGTCATCATTATCTGTCCTGTGAGGACACAGAAGCTTCCTGGTTGGGTTCGCTGGAGCCCTGGGGACAGAGATCATTGCAGACCCTGCTGAAAGTCTTTGCAGCCCCCGTCCCTCTGCAGTTCCACTTTGTCTATGCTCAGGGGGTCCAGGCTTGGTGCCACTCTGCTCCATTCCGTGCTCCCAGTGGGATCCCTCACTCGGGATGGCCAGCTCCAGGTGTGCTTCCAGGGCACAGAGGACCCAGGGACAGAATAGGACGAAGTCACTCTGACCACCAGAAAACAGCCAAGGGTAAGTCACCCTTGTAGTGCTCCACTAAAAAAAGTAAAGATGCCTATGTGACTTGCTGGAAAACGATGGGAGAAGGCAAAGGCCCATGGAGGAAGAGCTTCAGGGACAGCCTTGGCTGGAGAGGGGAAGGGGAATCTCTAAGGGGAGGTGACTCTAGCAGGGAGTACAGTTGAGAACCTCTGGCTTAAAAACAAACAAACAAAAAACACCAACTCTGAGCTCAAGTCTGACCTCTGCCACTTACAGATGCTGTGATGTTGAGCCTCAGTTTCCTCGCCTGTTAGCTGGAATTGATGCCTTCCATTTTTATCCCACAGGGTTTTTGTAAGAGTTAAAAGCAACAGCTATGAAGTCAGTGTGAAAAGTAAAAATACCACACAAAAGATTGCTGAAATAATCACATAGATCCCATTTACCTTCCAAACTAGACAGTAATAACAGGAAACAATGTACTTCATCTAACCTAGGAACATGCCATTATTACCTCCACCTTACACATGGGAAAACTGAGGTATGCACTGGTTAAGGAACTTGCCCAAACATACCCATCTGGAAAGTGGCAGAACTGGGCCCCAAACCCCAGCCTTCCACCCTCAGATGCCATGCCCTCAACCATTAGGCTCTGCTGCCTGAGTGAATTAAATGCCCCAGGACACCTACTAAGAGCTGTCCTGACCATAAGGCCCGTGTAATGAGTGACACAATTAAATTCCCATTGGCTTGCCATGCACCCCTTGACAAGGGACTGCCCTTCTCCGGCTCTGTTTCCTTTTGAGGTCAGAACAGGAATCCCATAAGTAGGCTCATTGTAGAAAAAAAAATTAAAATAAGATAACTGTGGCTTCCACTGTTGGCATGAAATGGCTGTCACTGTGTAGAGTGTCTAATAATCACACACATTCATGCATTGATTCTCATATGCCCATCTCTCCTCCAGTCCGAACACAGCAAAATCATCTCTGCTAATTTTGAGAGCTCATGGTGCTGTCATTTCTAAAGCCACTATGGACAGCACGTTGGCGTTCACCTCTTATCTTTAATCGCAGCTGTCATTTCTAAGGCCACTATGGACAGCGCGTTGGCATTCACCTCTCATCTTTAACCCCAGCTGTTATTTCTAAGGCCACTATGGATGGCGCATTGGCATTCATCTCTCCTATGGATGGCGCGTTGGCATTCACCTCTCATCTTTAATCCCAGTGCTGTAGATGTTCAGCAGAAAGCTCCCTTGCCTCTGAGCGTGTCTTTCGCCATATCCCGCCTTCCACCAGTTCTCCCTGCCACTCTCTCCCAGCCACCCACTCCCTGGCCTGCAGGCCTCTCCTTCTGCTCTCCCTCACCTTCCCTCTAGATGGCTCTCGCCTGCAAATCCCCATCCCATCCATTATTCTCCACTGCAAGTTTGAGCAGTGTCCCCTTAGAATAGCCATGTGGCAGCTTCTAGAAGAGGATGGAGGTGGGAGTGGGTGGGATGATGGGGGAATAGCACGTCTTATGCAAATGGTGAAAAAACATCTATCGGCCTGGTTCCAAGGTCGCTTGCTGTTCCTTTTCTTTCTCTGCGGTGCCCTCTCTTCCTGCTTTTCAAACACTCATACTCTTCCCTGTTAGCACTCACATTGAGGATTTGAGCTCAGCCATTTTCTACTAAGATACCAGGTTCCCTTTCCCAGGGGATTTTTATGTTAAGCTTTATCTCTATGGAATGAAAATCTACATCCTGGTTATAAATGTTAGGCATCACTTTGGCTATTTTGGCGATGCGGGGAATGGCTTTCAGCACATTAAAAATGACATTGCAGAGGCCATTTCCAGGGCTTGGAGAGAAAGGAAGAGGGAGGGGAAAGGAGCCCTTTGGAGCAGTGGGTAAAGGATAAGGTAAGGAAAGCAGTTCCTTCCCTGTGTCTGTTCTCCCTGCTCTAGGAACTCCTGAGGATTTTGCTGCATGACTGAATAGGCTTGGGGCCCTCCAGATACCCAATGGCAAGTGTGACTTTGTCCCCAGCCAGCTAGTGGATCCTTGCCACTCAGTGGTTCCAATCTGGTGATTACCCTCCCATCCCCCGACCCTCAGTCTTCCTGTCAGCTGCTCTTCTGTCTCCCTCAACCTCCCCAGGTGTCATTTACAGGGGGAAGCTCTTACCAAGGCAACCAAAGGTGAACATTATTTTACCTATCATGTTGTTCCCCCCTTCCCTCTCCCAACCAAATGAAAAGTTATCTAAGCAAAGTGTCCTTTTCAGTGCAGAAATCTCAAATCTTCTTGGACTCAAGTCCAACTGGAAAGCAGCTGCAAAGAGAAGGGGAGGCAACTCAGATTTCTACTAAGATGTGGATCTGCAGGCATTCATCTCCCTTTCCACCGAGAGGGCATTAAAGTTGATAGTAAGGGGATCTTTTCATCAATATAACCCCATAATGATGAAGAGAACAGGACGGGAACAGTCAGAGGACAAGGGATGTTAAGACATTTCTGAAAGGCAAAGAATTCAATTGTCTTGGCCCAGACTGCACAGTGAGGTGAGGGTAGGTGCAGGGGGCAGCCGTGGAGGATGCCGTCAGCCCCATGGATATTTGGAGAGGCCCTAGACTGAGGTCAACAAGAGGCAAGACCGGCAGGTGGGAGGGGCTAAAACCATGGGATTACTTGAGGCTTGCATGAAACTACTGAAGCCTCCTTCCACCACCCAGACCTCTGTGTGTAAAAAAGCAGGCGGTTCCTTCTCCCTCCCATCTCCATCCTCTTAAGCCTCAAGTGGCAGTTCTGAGGGTACAGTGTTCTGAGTCGCACTGGACAAGAAGATATGGGATGAGAATTAGTGAGGAGGGAATTTATTTTATTTTATTTAGAGATGGAGTTTCATTCCATTACACAAGCTGGAGCGCAGTGGCGCGACCTCGACTCGCTGCAACCTCTGCTTCCCAGGTTCAAGTGATCCTCCCGCCTTAGCCTCCCAAGTAGAGTAGCTGGGATTACAAGTGTGCACCACCATGCCATGCCTGGCTAATGTTTGCATTTTTAGTAGAGACGGGGTTTCACCATGTTGGCCAGGCTGGTCTCAAACTCCTGACCTTGAGTGATCCGCCTGCCTCAGCCTCCCAAAGTGCTGGGATTACAGGTGTGAGCCACTGTGCCTGGCTGGGAATTGTTTTTAAATAAATTCATAATATAAATGCTGCTTACTGGTTTTCAACTTCGAGAATCAATCTGTAGGTAAACATGTCACAAACAACATGTAAATGTCATCAACTTTGACAATGTGAAGAAAAAATACAGTGGAAAAAATATTGGGGAGGTAGAGGAAAGAACGAGGGAAGGAAAACAAGTATATTCTCATATTGAGTTGAGAGCTGCTGCTAAAAGTTGATGGGTGGAGAAATGAAAGTTAACGAATAAAGCACCAAAAGGATAATCAACACTAGCACTTTAAAAAGTCTGAATTACTATCAAAATCAAATATGCTGCAGGACAGGCGTGGTGGCTTATGCCTATAATCCCAGCGTTTTGGGAGGCCAAGGTGGGCGGATTACCTGAGGTCAGGAGTTCGAGACCAGCCTGGCCAACACTTGCCTCTTTGGTGACACTGGCGTCCCTGGATAGAATGGCAGTTCCTCATTTGTTTACCTTTACTTTTGCAGGGGTTCAGTGATGCTGGGCCATGAGATCTGACCTGTGGCATATCTGAACAAGAACTATTCTATCAGGTTCCACATGCAGTGTTCAAAGGCCAGATGGTCCCCCTGTGGTTAACACCCTGCAGGGGTTGTTCAACTCATGCTTCCCTGTGTTTATATTACAGGGCAAAGTTGCTCCTGAAAACAGCATCCTCATAGGCCTTATTACTTGAGTTTAGGCAATTTCTCAGAGTTTTTCTTCACTAACTATATTGGGGTGGTTGTTTCATAAAATAAGATAAAGGAAGAAGGGCAAAATGCATACACCAGCAGTTTTTCTAAACCAAATATGAAGCATACTTAGTAATTTAATTTAGAATGATCAATTGAACCATCACCCGAAACCCATTTCCTAAAATCCCCTGGGGTGGAATTCTTCAGCTCTGGAGCATGGGCTGGACTTCCCAATCTTCAAGTCAATTTCCTCTTCCCAAATATACAATAATACATTTCAACTGACAAGCAAACAGCAGCTAAACTGCGGGGAAAATAATTTGCCCCAAATTATTAATTAGAATTCATTTAGGGGAATTTCATTAATTGGGATATTGCTTAGACTTCTTTTAAAGTGGTTATCATTGACTTATTTTAATTACAATCCCCTGACTTTTACTAAAACCATTAATGGTCATTAATATATACTGTTATATTTACAGGGCCACAAACATATTTTGTTTTACATGTAAAAATGTAAGTTATATAGAATGTCAGGTCTAAAGGGCTTTCGGAAGTAATGTTGCCACAGAAGGCTTTTGTAAAATACAAACCCTTACAGGAAACCAAGTACATATGAGGAGAACTTCTAACAGTTATTGAACACTTACAAGATAGATACAGAATTATGCTATTTAGCATAAATTTACTTTACTTTTAGTATAAGTTTTAACTATTTAGTTATAAAGACAATGAGAACATTGAACCTGATTCTTATGTAATAATTATCTAGTTTATTTCTAAATGTTGTTTACTAGCATTTTATTGAGAAATCCTAACAGATAAGTTACAGCAAATGGTACAATAACTTTTTTTAAACAGTTCATATTGATAATCTCAAGTTATTTTTAAGTTAAAAAGAGATGGCAGAATAAACTGTGGACAGCTAAAAATCAAATTAGCATATTGAGGGTTTCAGTATGTTGAAATTTGATAAATAACATATTTGAGTGTTATTTTGGTTACAATTTTTAAAAAGATAAAAGTATATATATATTTTGAAGTTCAAATCGAACATCTATAGAACAGAGTGTGTTATTTGGATTATAATTTTAAAAAAGATATAGATTTTTTAAAAAGTTCAAATCAAGTATCTATAAAACACCAAAGCACCTTTAAACACAATTTAAAATCTACAAACCTGTATGAACTTCCCTACAGATAAGAAAACTGAGACCCAAGAAAGGTAGGGAAACTTGTCCAAATCCCATCAGGATTTAGTGACAGGCTGAGATTAGAACCAACTACTGATAATCGTCCAGCCCTCTTTTTATATTCTGTGTTTCAGAGGAATGCTTTATGGGGATTTCTATGTGGAATGTGGCTCCTTCAGATCTTCAGTGAGCCAGTGAGAAGACAAAGAATGGAGCCTGGCTTCATGGGTCACAAACAGGACTTCTCACTCAACTCTCCCCTTTTTTTTCCAGGTGACAGCTGATGCGGATCTTCTGACATTGACAAATAATCATCTTTGGCAAAAGCAGATTTAAAAGACAAAAACGCTGATTTGTGAATTTGCAAATAATCTTTGTTTGCTATAGGACATCAGCCTTTTCCTTATTTTTCTAGGTACCTTCATGGAAGCCCGCTCCAGTCTCTAAGTTGTCCCTTCCTCTCCTTCCCTGACTGCGCAGGCACTAATGCATCAGTGTGTGTGTGCGTGTGTGTGTGTGTGTTTAAGCCAACAGAAGGGATGAAAGATGAAAATAGCCATAACTGGCTGGGTGCGGTGGCTCATGCCTGTAATCCCAGCACTTTGGTAGGCCAAGGCGGGTGGATCACCTGAGGTCAGGAGTTCGAGACCAGCCTGGCCAACATGGTGAAACCCCATCTCTACTAAAAATACAAAAATTAGCCAGACGTGGTGGCGCACACCTGTAATCCCAGCTACTTGGGAGGTTGAGGCAGGAAAATCGCTTGAACCCAGGATGCAGGGGTTTCAGTGAGAGCTGAGATCGTGCCACTGCACACTCCAGCCTGGGTGACAGAGCAAGACTGTCAAAAAAAAGAAAAGAAAAGAAAAGAAAGATAAAAAAAGAAAATAGCCACAATCCCTGCTCTTTTGGTAAGGGCATCCATATAATTTTTTTTTTTTTTTTTTGTAAACAAGAAGAATGTCCTGGGGACAAGAGCCGATTAAGATCTGTGTATAAGTCCAAGTTTCTTTGGCATGACCTCAAGGTGACAGAGCATGGCCCCTGAATAGCCATGCTGTTGATATGGCCCCCAAGGGGGTAAAAAGCCTATTTGGTTGTATGCCTCTGATTTCCTTCCAAATGCTTCATTGTTGACAGGAAGGGACTCTTCTACTGCTAGTGTGGTTGTTTTTGCTGTGTGCCCTTTTGCTCCTGTCTGTCTATATAAAGATCACGTATGTGTGTAGATATATATAAATAACACTGGTCTATGCTCACAGTTCCTGAGATGAATATCTTGCTCTAATGTTCCCTTGTAGAATAAAAGGTTTGTGACATATTTAAACTGATTCCATTAGGAGAACAAAAGAAAGTGAGGTGGCTATAAATATCAGACGCTAGTTCAGACCTGTGGTTAGTTGCTAATAGAGACAATTATTAACGAGCGAAGAGTATATAAATAGCATAGATTTCTCAAGATAGATGCCTGTCCCACTGTTCCAGGTTCCTAATGGAATATTCTACCAGGTGAGCTAATCAAGGGAACAAACTCTTAATCATCCCAATGTCCAACAAGGAAGGACTAATTAAATTATGATACGTCACCTGATGGGGAAGAAAAGTTATGTTTGAAAAGGCCATTTAAAGACATCGGAAAACGTGCATGATGTGGCGCTAAGTGATAAAATGTTACTAAATGGTGCAGAGTCTAATCCCTTTTATGTTTTAAAATTGTATGGCAAAAAGACTAGAAGGGTCATCTTTTAACATTTTGCTTATTATCTGTGAGTGGTAGATTACAGAATTTTTTTCCTTTATAATTTTCTGCATTTTCTCCTAAATTTTCTACAATGACCATATATAATTTTGGAACATTTATATTGAACCATAAAAGTGGTTCAACACTAAGATTACAGCTTTTTCTCATTTACCCCCACCTCCCTTAACAAAATACCAAACTCTCAGAGCCCACTCAGTGAACACCATGGAAAAGGGTTTTTCAGGATGCAAACTACATAGAGAAAAGGCAGATGACAGATTTCTGTCTCAGAACTTAACTAATTTGGCTCAGGCTTAAAGATTTCTGCTTTCTTGGTTCACTCCCATTTCCAGTCATCCAGCTTGGCACCAGCCCTTAGGGAATTACTTTATGTCTTCAAGGCTGCTCACTTCCACCCACAGGCCAAGGTTTAGCTGTGTTTTTCTCCATTCCCCAGGTTTCTGAAACAGCAAGGCCATTTTGAGCCTGGGGTACCAGGGCGCCCCCTCTTGACTTAGGAGGCAGCTGCTCTCCCCCATCTGCCTGGTCACCTACATGACATTCCCAGGTTGTGCCCATATAAGGCCTTCCTCCTCTGTGGAGGCCTGCAGATAAGCAGACCTGGCTTGGAACCCTGGCTCTGCTGTTTCCTAGCATAGCACCTTGGGCAGGTGGTTTAATACTGCTGAGTCTCAGTTCCCTGTCTGAAGAACAGGATAATCAAATCCACTTCTCAGGGCAATATAGAGGCTGGAGATCATGTACACAAGGACATTGCTTAGTGCCTGGCAGGGAGCAGCCAGTCCGTCAACAGCAGCTGCTAATAGGATTAGGATGCTGCTGATGCTGCTGCTGCTACTGACTCTCAGTTATTCCTTCCAGAACTTCATCTCTCTCCGAAAAGACTCCCACATTTCTTTTCATGTTCATTTCTCCATGCTAGAACAACTGCATTAATGCAACAGTGCTGACTTAGGTTTCAACTCCCTTGGCTCCTCTTGGGTCGTTCACCTCTAACCTACTGTGACTTTGGATAGGTGGTCTCCCAGAAGAGAAAGTGACACCCGGCAGTAAATACGGAAACCTTCAGGGTGCAGCGGCTCTTGGCAACTCCAGGATGCCTGTTGTTGTTTGTATTAAAAGTGCTGATGCCTCAGCTATTCAGCTGCAAGGGGAAAGACGTGCTGCCTTACTCAGGCAGAAGGATAAATTCACTTTTGAAAGGCAAGCTCACGTCCTTGGATAAAATATGTCATGCTTGTTTGAAGGATTGTGATTTATCATAATATTTTTCTAAGACTTCAAGGCCTCCAATGTTAAATCTAGGACTGTAAACCATGCCATAAGCAATCTAAAATGAGGCAGAGATTTTTTCCACTCTAGAAATAGCTGCCAAACAGACAGATTCCACCCAATGCTCACTCGCATGTTGCCAACCTAGCATCGCATCTCATCATTAGCCAGGAATAGAGCAATGGATATGAAGTTAGAACCAGTGGAGAGAGGGGAAGGACCCAGCATTAACCAAGTCAGGACCTTTACATGCATGATGCCCTTAAGGTGCACAAAACCCACTTGTTAGACTGACTTGTATCCTCCAAATTCATACGCTGAAGCCCTAACCCCTAGTAACTCAGAATGTGATTGTATTTGGAGACAGGGTCTTTAAAGAGGTTCTTAAGGTAAAATGAAGTCATCGGGGTAGGCCCCAATCTAATATGACAGACGTCCTTATAAGAAAGGAGGTTAGGACGTAGGCCACACACAGACTGAGGGGCAATCACGTGAGGACGCAGTGAGAAGGTGGCCACGTGCAAGCCAGGGAGAGAGACCTCCAGGGGAACCAACCCACCAACACTGTGATCTTGGACTTCAAGCCTCCAGAACTGTGAGAAAATACGTGTCTGTTGGTTAACTCACCCAGACTGTGGTATTCTGTCACAGCAACCCCAGCACACAAATACACCCCTGTGCAGGCATTATTCCTATTTTACGTATGGGGAAACAGGTGCATAGAAGTAGCCTGGCTGGGGCCACACTGCTGACAAGTGGCAGAGTCAGGCCTTAAACACCTGTCTGACTCCAAAGCCCATCCCCTGTCCTTTACTTTAGCTGGTTAAGAGTGAGGGGTTTTGAGTCAGGGTTCTTTGGTTCAAATTCTGGCTCTGCCATTTCCTGGCTCAGTGGCTTTGGGCAAGTTGCTGAACTTCACTATACCTGACCTTCAACATGTGTCAAATGGGGCCACAAAGATCTCTACTTTGTTTGCTTGTAGATGGAATTAAAGAATTAAAAAATGAACTAATACATGTAAAATACTTACTGCCTGACCCATGCTATGCGCTCAATAAAAGTTAGCTAATATTATTACTATTAATGCCATGATTATTATTATCACTGTTGTCACTGAGGGATCCTCAATAATCTGGTCCAAACTTCTCATTTTGCAAAGTCAGTGAAGTGAGACCCAGAGATGGGAGATGTCTTAGAAGGGCATGAAACCAGGTAACTGAGCTCCCGTCCAGTGTTCTCACCAGTGCTTTGGGAAGACTCAAAGAAACCGAGGTTTGGATGCAGGATTTTGTTTCTAAGTGGTTTTAAGATTAGGGAACAGAAGCAAGCAGGAGGCTGTGACAGGAGTTGGGAAATTGATTCTGGGCCTTATGTTCTCATCGTGAACAGAGATGATCTCACATACTCCACCCAGCCACCCCTGAGATTACCGTGAGACCACAAACACCAATACGCAAAAGCATCTGAGTGACGTAAGACACTATGATGCAGCGTCCAAAGTGAAAAAGAGTAACTCCTGAAGATCCTTGTGGGCCAGAAGGAATCAAGGATGTACACGAAGACCCTAAAAATTCAGCTTTAGGAAAGTTCAGGGGAGATTAGGAAACATTGAAAGGTTCCCATAGAAAAGCAAATGATGGATATGGATATTAATAGATCTTCAGGAGGTTGCTGAAAATAGGGCAAAGCAGACATGTCATGTGGAACATTTTATGTAATGGGGCTGTCAGGAGTCACCCCATGGGTCTCATGCAGGAGAGGCAGCCCCTGCCTAAGAGAAGAGGGGTCAGGAGGAGTCACCTGGTTACAGAGCAGCAAGACTAAAGAGGTTTGGAACTATTCTGCAAAACATGCAGGTATTTAGTCCACAGATACTTACCAAGCACTTCCTAGCTGCCCTGCCCTTTGCTCGGAACTGGGGATAAAATGAACAGTCAGACATAGCCCCTGCCCTCTTGGGGCTTCAGTCAGGTGGGACAGAGAGATATTGATCAAATAATCACAGAAATGGAAGTTGAGCTGCAGATGGAGGTAAGAACTTACAAGGAAGTGACCCTGACGTTGCGAGAGCACGTATTGAAGGGATTTGGGGCCAGGACCTGAGAAGGTGTCACTGAGTTAGGGGTCCTTAAGCTGAGAACTGAAGAATAAGCAGAAATTAACTAGGCAAGGAGGGAGAGGGAGAAAGTGCTCCAGATAGAAGGAAATGGGTGTGCAAAGGCCCCAAGCCTGAAGGCAGCATAGAATGCAAGGAAGTGTAAGTGCAAGAGAGGCTGGAGTGCAAAGAATAAGGCAGGGAGTGGAGTGAATTGAGTCTGAGAGAGTAGATTAGACCATGTGACCATGTGGACCAGGCCATCAAGGCCTAGTGGACCACACCATGGACTATAGTGGACCAGGCCATGGGCCTTTGGGGTCACATCCTGGGGCCTTTGTGAACCATGGAGGCTTGTGGACCGAACCATGGGGCCTAGAGGACCAAGCCATAGGGACCTTATGAACTAGACCATAAGCACCCGTGGACCAGACCATGGGGGCCTGTGGACCAGACTGCAGGGGCCTTGTTGAATAATCATGAGGGTCTTATGGACCAGGCATGGGGTCTTATGGACCAGGGCCTAGTGAACCAGACCACGGAGTCTTGCAGATCACATTAAGGAGTTTGGTCTCCTAACAACAGAAAGTCACTGAGATGTTTTAATCAGTAGATCACAAGATCATATTTGCATTTTTAGGGATGATTCTGACTACAGTGTGGAGAATGGATTGGTTGGACTACGCTACAGAGATAGCCCAGCTTGGGAGCTTTTAAGGTAGTTGAGGGGATTGATGATAGTATCTTGAATTTGGATACTTGGATAGTATTTGGGTGGTGCTGGTGGGTATAGAAATGAATGCATAGATATGAGAGAGATTCAGCATGTCAAATCATCAAGCACAGTAAAGGGCCCGAATGTTGGGGGTGATAGGGGGCATTGAAGTTGAATCCTAAATTTCTGGCTCATACTACTAGATATATGGGGATGCAAATGCTGAGAAGGAAAACTTGGAAGAGAGACGGGCTCTGGGTTTGGTTTCAGAATCCTGTTGGTTGAAGTCATTTGACATCCATGAGGAGATACTGACAGGAGGCACTGATGTTAACTGAAAACCCACTCTGTGCCAAGCACCATAGGAAGCCCTGGAGATATAATGATTAGTAAGACAGATACGCTGCCCTCAAATAGCTCATGCTTAGCCTTGGCTGCACTCTGGAATCACCTGAGGAGTTTGACAAATATGGATGCCAGGATCCTTCCCCTGGAGAGTCTCAGTTGATTGGTCTGGAGCGCCAACTGAGCATAGGGATGTCTAAGAACAACCCCGCTGATTCTAAGGTGCAGTCAGGATTGAGCACCACTGCTCTGGAGTGTGTAAGACCTGGTGTGGCTTGAGTCTCATTACACAGAAGGAGGAGATAGCAAAACGACCCATGATTGTAGGCCTTAAGAATTTAGAACAGAAACACTGAAGCACATTGGTATAATGGGAATAATATTATTTGGATATTAAACCAATATATTTTCATCCTTGGTAATTCCTGGTTCCTAGTTGTTCCCTGGCTCCCTAATTAAAAGCTGAGCCTGGCTGTTTCAGATCACAGAATTTCTTCCATGATCTACAAAAACACCTCTTATGCCTATGGGGAAATTTAAAAATGGATGACAGTTGATCCCCACTCTAAAAGAGGTAATGCTCTAATAACTGATGTAAGTCAAATATGACAGAAGGCAGGATGTGATCCACGCCAATGATCAAGGAACAAAATAAACGCCAAGGGATTTCAGAGAAGTAAGAGACTACTCGTGTTCGGCTACCGTTTCCCAGTCCTGACAATGGACCACTCAGATCTTTCACTCCTGGAACTGACCTCACCTTGTTCTTGAACCCAGTCTGAGAGCATGCGTTCCTCAATTTTTCAGAAAAGGAAAAAAAAAAAAGAAAAAAAAAACACCTGACAGCCATGCTGAAAAAAGTTGCACATGCCAGGCAAACAACACTTGAATTAATGCACACCAGGTGCTGACATCCTGCCCCTTTCAGGAGCAGAACCAAGAGTTGCTCAGAATACCCCCGCTCAGCTCTGCTCCAGTCCTGATAGGAAGGGAGGCACCGGTTTTCATTGAGCATATTTGGAAAAGAGAGAAATGGTGCACCTGAGAGTTATAAAAAGGTTTCTTTCTGGGAACCACAGGGAGCTGGAAAAAAACAAATTCTGAATTTCAACCTCTTACCAAACTACTGTTCTCCTACACCTCCTCCCCCTCCCCAAATCCAAATTTATGGCACAATGTTCCTGGAATTCTTACTAAGGCCCCCACCTAGTTACAAGCAAAAGCAACACACCACAGTGAAAGCAGATGATCCTTCCTACCTTAGATGCAGAATTGGCCAGCTGACAGAAAATCCTATAGTCTCGCAATTCTCCAGAAGTGACCACAGATAAAATCAAACCGACACACGGCAGCTCATCACCAACCCTATCAACCATCAGGAGGAGACTACAAAGGAGTATCAGATGGAGTCCCTGCCCTCCAGGACTTTATAGTAAGATTTCGGGAGTTTAGGTTTTATCCCTTAGGCAGTGCAAAGCCACTTAAGGCTTCTGAGCCTTAGATCAAAGTGTTTTGGGGAGATTAATCTGGCAGCAGCCAGCCCAAGTGGCTGCGGTGGGAAGCCACTGAGCAAAGAGAGGTCCCCTGAGAAGAATCAAGCCCTCAGAGCCCACAGTGTTGTCAAATATGCTAGGGATGCAGGCACTAGAACAGTCTCTGCGCCAGGACTTGTTATGATGTTTATACATCAACTGGGATGAATGCGCACTGCTACAGGATGTGGGACCTCTTCAAACCCTTCTGCCACAACAGGCCAGGGCCCAGGCACTCTTACTGGGTCCAGCGAGGGTGGGATGGGCACAGTGGCTCACTCCCAGGCAGACTTGTTTCCAGGCAACCATTCCAGACAGACACATGTCACTTTTGCCTAAAAATTTCCAGCAAAAGGGATTCCCCAGTGCCTTCGCAAAGTCTCTAGACTCCACGAGAAGACCTTGTGTCCTTTCCATCTCTCTTATGCCACAAACCAGCTGTTCCCCTCAGCAGAGGAGACAAGAGCTGTGCTGATTCTTCCCTGCCATACAGAGACATGGGAGCTGGAGTGTGACCTCGGCACACCCATTTCCTTATTGTCCAGGAATCCAGACTACAGCCTTAACCTTTGTTAAGGCTTTTAGTAAATTACTCCATCAGTCCAAGAGACAATTAAAACAAAAACAAAATAGCATTGTGTTTTTATAGCATTGTGTTTTTAGCACAGCGGTATATATAAAAAAAATCAGGCCAGGCGCAGTTGCTCACACCTGTAATCCCAGCACTTTGAGAGGCCAAGGCAGGTGGATCACCTGAGGTCAGGAGTTTGAGACCAGCCTGGCCAACATGGTAAAACCCTGTCTCTACTAAAAATATGAAAATTAGCTGGGTATGGTGGTACATGCCTATATTCTCAGCTACTCAGGAGCCTGAGGCAGGAGAATTGCTTGAACCTGGGAGGCTGAGGTTGCAATGAGCCGAGATTGCATCACTGCACTCCAGCCTGGATGTCAGAGTGAGACTCTGTCTCAAAAAAAAAAAAAAAAAAAAATTAAACCAGACTCAGTCTCTGTCCTTAAGGAATGATTAAAGTCCAGAGGTGTATAATATAACTCACAAAATTCCATAACGAGACACAGAACATGACAGAACATGAAAGAATGCAAGAGACAAGGTTGAGGGAAATACTACAGGCAGAGGGGATGCTGGATGACTCATTTGGAAGGGAAAGATCAGGAGCAGCGTCTTGACATTTGAGACGGGCACTGGAATGACAGATTCTGACATAACACAAAAGAACTTTGCAAATCTAATTATTTGGAAATCAAACAGCAACAAAAAGAAAATTGGCCTCCCCTCACTGAAGAGAAGAAACACAGAGTCTGCAATCCACAGAATGCCCACGGTAACTCCCAGCCACGTGAAATTTGGAGAGAAATACGTGGCTTTTGCCAGCAAAGAGGAGGCCGCCGCCCCAGGGGACCTAACCCAAGGCCACCTGAAATGCCACCTTTTCCCCTCAACGGCATGAAATACTTGGTAGGTTTGACACTCTGGGGCCCCATTTGGAAGCCTCTAACCACAGTAGGGCCCATACCTAGGAGATCAAGCCAGCAGCTCCCCCACTGTGCCTTTCTCACGGCCACCCACACGTGCCAACAGCAACAGACACCTAACACTTACATGGCACTTTCCAAGTTCACTTTGTGCTTTTACAAACATCTCTGATTCTCACAACCACCCTGAGGCAGGAGGCACTCTGAAGTGTTCCTTGCTGATAAAGATTGTATTTATCTTGCTGATAAAGTTGTATTATTTCCTACTGTGTTTAGTATCTGTCTGAAAACACATTCTAATCAGACAACTTTTCCACGTTTGGCTTCAGCACATCTCTCCAGGAAGGACACTGTGAGGCCAGTAGGTTTTTGCCCTAAGAGGACTGACCATCATCTGGGGGCCACACATGGAGAGTTAAAATAACAATTCAAGGGGCATCAGAAGTCAGAGTCTGAGTACTAAATACAATGGGAAGATGCTGGTACAAAATGAGTTTGCAGGACAGAGCAAGCACACGGTCCTGGACTGAGCAGAAAGCCACAAAGTTCAGGAAGGGTTTGAATGATGCCTCACACTTAGGAGACGCTAAGTTGACCCTCTTTATTCATGGTAGTTACATTCTAATATGGTCATGTTCCTGCCAGCCTCTGATGGCAACAATGGAGTGGTCTCATGGACATTGTTAGTGAATTTCCTCTTCCTTTTTCTGGATGTACCAGAATATTGTTGATTCGTTAACATTGAACTCACAGCCAACCGTATGTCTGATCAAAGCTTATCTAACACACACATCTTCTCTGTGAGGCACATCACAGCCTCCCTGGGCTTAGGAACACTAGATAGCACCTCAGCGCTATGCTTAAGGAGCCATTTCAGAACTGCAATATCACCATCAACAAAAAAGCACAAAAATGCAAAACAAAAAAAAGTGGCACTAAATAGACTGCGAAGACACTTGTTTGCAGTATGAGAGCTGAAACCAGAAGGCAGCGTGTCACCCTGTCTGACCTCGGCCGGGAATGTGCATGTCAGGCGAGTCAAATTTTTCACCACTCTGTGCACATCAGCGAATCACTGTGAAAGGACTGTGAGTGCTGGTTTGGGGATACAAATAAATTTTAGGGAGTAGTAAAATTGGCAAATACAGAATCCATGGGTAATGAAGATCTACTGTACCTTGGTCGGAGAAAGGCTGTAAACAGAGGCATTTGGTACCTGTCTGTGGAACTGAACCAAAGTTGCAAAGACAGGTGAGGCTCCCAGCTGGGAAAAACAAATGTGGAGGCTGATTCAGGGAGAGAGGCTGGTTCTGTGTACTGGAGGGATGGCAGCGGCACAGCCAAAAGGCAGACGTGGTCAGACTGCGGAGGGCTGTGAATATTAGGATGAGGAGCTAATCCTAATATTTGTTTACCCAGCAGACCACTAAGCACCTGCCAGGTGCAGGATCAGAGGAGTGCAGAGGAGTGCAGAATTTTAGTTAGGACCTTGAAGGATGTGTCCGAAGAGGATGACATTGTGGACAGAGGAGCTGGGTCAGGTCAGCACCTATATCCTGGGTACTCCTGGATGCCCAGAATGGCTACGGAAGGTTGGTCTAGAGAGAAAGAGAGGAGGAAACAGGCCAGATGCAGTGGCTAACACCTGTAATCCCAGCACTTTGGGAGGCAAAGGTGGGTGGATCACTTGAGGTTAGGAGTTTGAGACCACCCTGGCCAATATGGTGAAACCCTGTCTCTGTTAAAAATACAAAAATTTGCTGGGCGTGGTGGTGCACGCCTGTAATCCCAGCTACTCAGGAAGCTGAGGCATGAGAATCGCTTGAACCTAGGAGGCGGAGGTTGCAGTGAGCAGAGATCGTGCCACTGCACTCCAGCCTGGGTGACACAGACAGGCTCTGTCTAAAAAACAAAAAAGACAGGAGGAAACAGCTTTGGGGCATAAATCCCTCAAGTCTCAGTATCTATCCAAAGGGAACTCGGCCAGCATCCTACCAGACCGAATGCCACTATGGGTTAGGCGTTCCCCTCCCCCATCTCCCAACACAGGAGGTTCCTTCAGGTTCCCCATCACACATTCACCTGCTGTTTACGTGTCTGTCTAAAGCTAATGTTCATTAAAGCCCTTAACATGCCCAGACACATGCACATGTTTAATAACGTGCCTGGTCCTACAACAGTGATGGGCATCATTATTACGAAGCCCAGGTACAGACAAGACCCTCAGTTTTACCTACTCACAGCAGCCCTTGCTTGCTCACTGCCGAATCCCTAATGGCTTGGAACAGAGCCTGGGCCTCCAGGTGATTTCTTAAATGTTAACTGATTTCCATCGCTGATCTTCCAGCTGAGTGGCATTTGGTTAACACAGAACCTCTGAGCCCCAGGCTCAACCCCCAACCCCCTGCCTTCTCCAGTGGTTTCCAACATGGTCCAGCCTCAAAGACGGATGGCCCATGGGGTCACAGTGCCCCACGAAGCTCAAAAGGACCATGCATTTAGCTGATGCTCTGCTGTCGCTGTCTTGAATTTCTTCATCATTTGTGAACAAGGAGCATGAATTTTCATCTTGCACTTGTGCCCTGCAAATTATGTTCCTGGACCTGCCTCCAACTCTCTGACTTCCTCTCCCACAGAGTGCTCCACTGTTGGCCAAACTTGAGGACCAGAGACAAGTCTGTGCAAGTAGCAAGTGCTTTGCTGAAAACTTTCCATCCTAAATTAAAACATACATTTCTATTCTGGTTATGGAGCCAACTAATGCGTGTAACTTAATCACACTGTTGTTTGCTCAGTCTGGCTATAAACCATGTAAACGCCAGCCTCCTGGGAGCTTTCTGCTACCGCTTGGGGAATTAACAACACACGTCAAGCTTGTTACATGATTCTCTCAGGGTTCTGCTCTGGTTTCTGCTCTCAGAATTTCTAAGCCTGAATACACTGCATTTCAGCCCTGAGCAATGCCCTCCCTCATCTTAGCGAATGTGAGCACTTACTCTTGAGAAAGCCCCCACAAAGCAGAAAGAACGAAGTCAAGCAATGAAACTCTAATCACATATTGCTTCTACCCTTCCGCATTAGGTATACCACAAGGCTTCAGCCCTGAAATCTCTTTCTATAATGTGTTTCCAGAAGGACAAAGAAAAGAAATACTTTTCTCCCCAGTCTAATCTGGATATAAAATAAAATGAAAAATCGACAAATCACTAAATGTGCCTGGGTCTTATTTTATTAATCAAACAAATGGGTTGAACAACTTACCTAAATGTAATAAACCATGGCCAGAGAGAACAGTAGTTGGCTGTTAGCTGAGACAATTGTGATAGACAAATGCCTGGCACCATTGAGTGATGCAGCAGAGCCCACAGGAGGAATGTGGGTGGGAGAGGAGAGGTCGGAGGGGCTATCAGAAGATCCTGGCTCTAGCCCTAGTTCTGCTCCTGATGGGCTCTTAAAATTGAGTTGACACCACTTCACTCTCTGGGCCTTGCTTCCCTCCTCTGAAAAACACTGACATAAAAATATTTGGTGATAGTGAGAGATTAAATAAGAACATGGATCCAAAAAACACTTTGCGAAATCTTAACAGCATTATTCTAAAATATTACATGCTACTTGGATAAGGCGTTGCGTGTGCTTAACGGGCCCCCAAAAGGCCAACATTTGATTCTAGCAAGTCCCATGGAAACTTCCAGGACCCTGCAAGGATTTCAAGGGAACCCAGGCCCCAGGGAGGCGAGATCAGACGGCAATGGAAAGAATTTCTACTCCCTGTGGCCTGCCAGCCCTTGGCCTCCTAAAGCGATCAGATGTTGGATTTGGAAACAGCGAACCCGATAGAATTCTTCACACTTCTAATTACTTCATGATTTGTACACATTTTGGCGGTTGCTTCAAGGCTGTTTTATTAATTCGCAGATTTTCACTATTTTTGCTTCTCCTTTTCTTGCCAATTAGCTGAACTAGCTGCAACTCAGCATCTGGGGAGGGCTACAATGGGAAGCAGGCCTTCCCCCTCCCCAGCCCCTACTGCCCGGGAACCCTACCTCGGAGCCAGTGTCAGGAGTCACCACGCAGACCAATGGGTGTGGTGGCCTGGTGGGAGCTTATTCCCTGATGACAAAATCTGTTTCCTCTGCTTTGAAAGAACACCTTGAGTCACCTCTCCCAGTCTGTCTAATGCTTGCCTGAGCCCTGTGGAC